>NC_000023.11:74280723-74583754 GCF_000001405.40 Homo sapiens | reverse complement strand
TTTGTTTTTTTGTTTTTTGGAGGATTAATGGTAATATACTGTAAATTCAGTAAAGCACTGGGCATTACCAGATACACCTTAGCACTATGAATAACATGAACTATCATTTTAGCAGTTTAAGTGTACCTTGTAATCAGCCCTAGGGCAAACGGTATCAAGGTGTTTTATTTCCAGAAGTCTCAAAATAGACTGGAATAAAAATTTGGTGAATTCATCAACACAGACAATGGGTCCACGTCTTGCAGCTACAGCTGCTGCAGCTACTCCTGCTGTCCGCACCGTTCCACAGTATAAATATGCTGCGGGAGTTTGCAATCCTCAGCAACATCTTAATGCACAGCCACAAGTTACAGTGCAACAGCCTGCTATTCATGTACAAGGTCAGGAACCTTTGACTGTTTCCATGTTGGCATCTGCCCCTCAAGAGCAAAAGCAAATGTTGGGTGAATGGCTGTTTCCTCTTATTCAAGCCATGCACCCTACTCTTGCCGGTAAAATCACTGGCGTGTTGTTGGAGATTGATAATTCAGAACTTCTTCATATGCTCAAGTCTCCAGAGTCACTCCATTCTAAGGTTGATGAAGCTGTAGCTGTACTACAAGCCCACCAAGCTAAAGAGACTGCCCAGAAAGCAGTTAACAGTGCCACCGGTGTTCCAACTGTTTAAAATTGATCAGGGACCACGAAAAGAAACTTGTGCTTCACCAAAGAAAAATATCTAAACATCGAAAAACTTAAATATGGAAAAAAATATCAAAATATAAAAGAAGGAAACTGAACCGTATGTACCGAGCAAATGCCAGGTCTAGCAAACATAATGCTAGTCCTAGATTAATTGATTGAAAAACAAAAAACACAAAAAAAATAGTAAAATATAGAAACAAATTAGTGTTTTATAGACCCTGGGAAAAAGAATTTTCAGCAAAGTACAAAAATATAAAACATTCCTTTCTTTAATTTTGTAATTCTTTACTGTGGAATAGCTCAAAATGTCACTTCTGTTTTAAGTAACAGAATTAATAACTGAGCAAGGAAACGTAATTTGGATTATAAAATTCTTGCTTTAATAAAAATTCCTCTTTAACAGTGAAAACAAAAACAAAAATTGGGGAATTGTTAAATGGTCATCTCAGCCCCTTATTACGTGTGCTCTTGGCCCCAATTATGACAATTTGAAATATGAAATGACTAGAAAGATTCAAATTGCAGCTTTTTAAAAACTATGCCCTGCCGGGTGCAGTGGCTCACATCTGTAATCCCATCACTTTGGGAGGCCGAGGCAGGCAGACCACGAGGTCAAGAGATCGAGACCATCCTGGCCAGCATGGTGAAACCCCGCCTCTACTAAAAATACAAAAAGTAGCTGGATGTGGTGGCATGCGCCTGTAGTCCCAGCTACTCGGGAGGCTGAAGCAGGAAAATCGCTTGAACCTGGGAGGCGGAGGTTGCAGTGAGCCGAGATAGCGCCACTGCACTCCAGCCTGGTGACAGAGTGAGACTCCGTCTCAAACAAAAAATATATATATGTGTGTATATATATATATATGTATACGTGTGTGTGTATACACGTCTGTATATATACGTGTGTGTATATGTATATATATGCCAGCCAGCTTATTGGTATGCAAGAAAATGCACTTTAAGTTGCCTTGGGCAGCCATCAGCATTCCAAGAACTTTATTGCTGAGAAGATATTTGGAACTTGTTTAAATAGCTTTTAGAAACAACTTTATGAACCACTGCGAAAAGCAACCCTGTTTGATTTGTTCACACGCGGTAGGGTATGCCTGTAATCCCAGCTACTTGGGAGGCTGAGGCAGGAGAATCGCTTGAACCCAGGAGGCGGAGGTTGCAATGAGCTGAGATCATGCCACAGCACCCCAGCCTGGGAAACAGAGCAAGACTCTGTCTCAAAAACAAAAAATAGATAAAATAGTACCAAAACCTTAAGAAATGTACATACTGTAATTATCCATCTCCATTCAAATACGTTGTAACTGCTAGATCTAGTAGGTATTTGAGGAGTAAAAGTTCATGGGTGAATAAGGGCTCATCTGAATCTCATTTGTTTCCTCAGGAGATAAATGTGTATTCTGCTCCTACTATTAATACATCCTTGGCATTCTGCTGGTCTGTGGTTTCTCTTCCCTGTGTCTTAGGTAGGGTGGGGACCTGAAGTCTAAAATATCGCTGAGTTTCTCAGTGGACAGTGTTGGTGACTGTGGTGTACCTACTTTTTAAAATTCACAATTTGTCTTCTGTATGCACCAAATGCTCTAGAATAGCACTGTCCAGTAGAAATATAATGCATCACCACATATAATGTTAAATTTTCTAGCAGCCACATTACAAAAGGTAATGTGTAAAGATACTAATTTTAATAATGTTTTCATTTAACCCAGTAAATATTTAAACATGTAATCAATATAAAAATTTTTAGTGGGATATTTACATTTTTTTCATACTGAGTTTTCAAATTCTGGTGAGTATTTTACACCTATAATACATTTCAATTTGGACAAGGCACATTCCAAATGCTTAATAACCACAAGTGGCTAGTGACTACCATATTGAACAGTGCAGCTCTAGAACAATATGGAGGAATGTGATTAGGTAGGATGCAAATGGGGTTGACTTTTAAAAGTTCGCTTATGAATGTGCATAGGCACAACTTATCTGCTCAACTACACCACGCCAGAACTAAAGCCTCATTCTTTTAATTGTGCATCAAAGCTGTCCAAGCTTACAAAACTACCACCTTTCTCCTTCCCTTAAAAAAAATTATATTTTTTTGAGACAGAGTCTCACTCTTGCCCAGGCTGGCATGCAATGGTGTGATCTTGGCTCACTGCAACCTCCACCTCCTGGATTCAAGCAATCCTCCTGCTTCAGCCTCCCTAGTAGCTGGGACTACAGGCGTGTGCCACCACACTGGGCTAATTTTTGTATTTTTAGTAGAGACAGGGTGTCACCATGTTGGCCAGGCTGGACTCGGATTCCTGACTTCACGTAATCAACCCACCTTGGCTTCCTAAAGTTCTGGGATTACAGGCGTGAGCCACTGTGCCGGGTCCCCTTTTGCGGTTAAAAGAATACACTCCCAGCCTGGCGTGGTGGATCATGCCTGTAATCCCAGTACTTTGGGAGGCCGAGGCGGGTAGATCGTCTGAGGTCAGGAGTTTGAGACCAGCCTGGCCAGCATGGTGAAAATTCGTCTCTACTAAAGATACAAAAAAAAAAAAAAAAAATTAGCCGGGTGTGGTGGCGTGCACCTGTAATCCCAACTACTCGGGAAGCTGAGGCAGGAGAATTGCTTGAACCTGGGAGGCGGAGGGTACAGCAAGCGGAGACTGCGCCACTGTCCTCAAGCCTGGGCAACAGAGTGAGACTCCATCTCAAAAAAATAAATAAATACATACATACATACACTCCATACCAAAGTTTGAAATCTATTAAGAATTAGCAAAAGCGAAAGAACTTGGCTGGCTGAGGATCCTGTGATTAGAAGTTAGGAAAGCCCACCTCAACTGCAGCGTTATATAGCAGCCGATAAATAGCAGTTATATTTATTTATTGCAGGAATGAGCACCCAAACTTTTACATAGAGCTTCTCTTAGTTCAGTTCATAATATATGTTAAAATAATACAAATAAATAACTTCCAAGCAGTTCATCTGAAATAGCTGTATTTGAATATTCCTGGCATTTGTTAGGAACAGCTAACCTGGGTTTACCATCTGTTTCCACTTTGTAGTTAAGTATTAAGTGATAGCATATGTTTAAGTGAGTTTCAAGTTAGTTTTCTGGGGTGGAAGGAGAAAAGTTGACAATATGAGAATAAAGGCTACCAGATCAGAACGAAAGCAAGTATTTTCCAACACCAAGTCTCTAATGTCATTTCTGAAAGTGTGTTTTGTTTTGTTTTGTTTGGCAACATGGAGTGAAATATTAACAGTCCTCTGAAGAAAGAGCCTTTGGAGTTGAGGTTTTGGAGAAAGCTGATTCGTTTGACTTGGTTTGTACTTTCTGTGTGAGTGTAACATAACACTTTCTGTGGCCTTTTTAAGAATCTGAAAACCAGCTGGGCATGGTGGCTCATACCTATAATCCCAGCAATTTGGGAGGTCGAAGCAGGAGGGTCACTTGAGGCCAGGAGTTTGAGACCATCCTGGACAACATAGTGAGACCCTATCTCTATGTCAAACAAACAAAATAATCTGAAAACCTACTTGGTAGTAGAGGACAGATGTTGGTTTCTAGCGTGGGTGACTCCAACCTATCTGTAGTACATGAATCCAGCTGCTAACTTGGAAGATGCCAGAGAAGCACATCACTCAGCCTTTCTTTTTTCTTTTTATTTCTTTTTTTAATAATCTTGGGTGTAACCCCATCTAGATTGAAGGCAAGAATTCAGGAAAATTCATTCATTGTTTTGCCTTGGCCCTCCCCTTTCCTGGAAGAAAGAAAATAATGGAACAGTGTCTGTTGGCACGAAGGTACAAGATTGTTCCTAAAACAAGAGACCAACTCAGCAAGCAACTAAGCCCAAATTCTGCCCAATCGCTCTGATGGAAAAGAAACCTTCCCCTAATAATGAAGCTATCTTTTTTTTGCCTTGCTGCAGTAGGCACTGAGAAGTTATCTTCTTCAGCATCTGAATTAATCCCCTTTCCCCACTTTTGGGGACCAGAAGCATCTATATATTTAAACAGGAAAATCAGTCTAATCTGCTAAATAGAAATTACATTCCAAGCTTCATTTTAGTATAAGTGCTGTTTAATAGCCCTTGTATAGACATGGGCCCTGACTGAACCCTTTCTCTGTCTTTTAAAGACAGGTCAAAACCACCTGCAGAGAAAAAAAAGCTGGAGAGGACATTTTGTTCTTTGCTTCTATCCCACCCCAAGGTGTTCCCTTCAGTATTGTTATTGGTATGTTTGATTTTGTTTTGTTTTTTTTTTTTTTTTTTTGAGAGAGTCTCACTCTGTTGCCCAGGCTGGAGTGCAGTTTTGCGATCTTGGCTCACTGCAACCTCCACCTCTTGGGTTCAAGCGATTCTCATGCCTCAGCCTCCCAAATCACTGGGATTACAGGCCCACACCACCACATCAGGGTAATTTTTGTATTTTTAGTAGAGACGGGGTTTTGTCATGTTGGCCAGGCTGGTCTCGAACTCCTGACATCAGGTGATCCACCGGCCTCAGCCTCCCAAAGTGCTGGGATTACAGGCATGAGCCACCGCACCTTGCCGGTATGTTTGATTTTGAATACCTTATAGGTTAACTGCCCAGCATATATAAACTAGACCTGGCTTAGGCCTTATTTCCTGTTCAAAAATACCAGCTTATAAACCAAAGCCTAGAAATGAGTGGGCTAGGTTCCTGACTCTGACGTCTTTGTGGATGACTCAAATATCTACCTATAAGTGTTCCAAAGAGGTACCATGAGACTCACAAGAAAGTATACTGCAATTTATACCACCCACCCTCTCCAGTCACCACCACTCTACTACACACTCTTTGCTCCCACTGAAAGGTTAACATGAACTGCCAGTGTGGCCTTGAAAGGGAGGGGGAGATAGAGAGATGGTTACAGATTGATGAGTAGGTCATATACCAAAATATGTTGAATACTTACTAGCTGCCTGGCCTTTTTACATTTGTCCTCTTAATATGTTATTCATAACAATTTGGGGGCAATTGGATATTTGCATTTTATAACAGAATCAGAGGTTAAGTGACATGCTCCGGGTCCCACTGCCAGTATTGATCATTCAAGAAAATATTTTAGCTGGGCACAGTGGCTCATGCCTGTAATGGCAACACTTTGGGGGGCGAAAGTGGGAAAATTGCTTGACGCCAGGAGTTCAAGACCATCCTATGCCACATAGTGAGAGCCTGTCTTTACAAAAAAAAATACTAGGAATCTATGTCTCAAGCACTGTTCCAAGTACAAGGGGTACTGTGGTCAACAAGACCAAGACCCCTGCCATCATGGAGGTTACATTCTTTCTTTGTTTTTGTTTGTTTGTTTGTTTGTTTGTTTTTTGAGGCGGAGTCTCGCTCTGTCGCCCAGGCTGGAGTGCAATGGCGCTATCTCGGCTCACTGCAAGCTCCGCCTCCTGGGTTCACGCCATTCTCCTGCCTCAGCCTCCCGAGTAGCTGGGACTACAGGTGCCCGCCACCACACCTGGCTAATTTTTTGTATTTTTAGTAGAGACGGGGTTTCACTGTGTTAGCCAGGATGGTCTCGATCTCCTGACCTTGTGATCTGCCCACCTGAGCCTCCCAAAGCACTGGGATTACAGGCGTGAGCCATCACGCCCGGCAGAAGGTTACGTTCTAATAGGGATAGGCAGATAATATTTTTGTAAATACAAATTCAGATACTGCTTTAATGCTGGGAAGCAAAGTAGATGGGGTGATGTGATTGTGACTGAGATGTGATAGGGTGGTTGGAGAAGACCTGAGGAGGTGATCACAAGCTGAGACCTGAATGAATAGATGGAGGCAGAACCTTCCAACTCCAGGGAATGGACTCAGCTCATTATCTGGAAGGAGGAAAAGGGGCAGTGTTGAACTGGGGAAGCAGTACAAGTTAAGGCAGGGCCAGTTCATAAGGGTTGTATAGTCCAAGGAAGGGAGATAGAATTTCATTCTGAGATGAGAAGCTGTTGGAGAGTCTTAATGGTAGGAGTGAAGTGCTCTTACTTAAATACTACTAAGTGGCAAAATCAGGGCTAGAAGACAGATCTGACTAGGGCCACTGCATGACACCACAGCAGAAGACTTTCCCATACCTATCCTTTCCTTCCCCAGGTGGAAGTGCAGGGAAGCTGAGTACCCAGTACCCTGGAGACAGCTCTGCCTTGCTGTAGGCTTTTGACTTCTCTTTCCAGGTTTCCTTCCTTTCCTAAGAAACTCAGCTTGTGAGATTCATATAAACAGTGATGTGGCTCTTTGTGTTATTTTAGTCTAATCTGGTTTGAATGACCTTTTTTAAAAAAAAAATTAAGACAGGGTCTTGCCCTTTTGCCCAGGCTGCTCTCAAACTCCTGAGCTCAAGCAATCCTTCCACCTTGGCATCCCAAAGTGCTAGGATTACAGGCGTGAGCCACCACAGCCGACCTGAATTACCTTTTTCTGCCATCGCTGAGAAAATTAGCAGCTAGGACCCAATATCACAAATGAGACAAAACAAGCTTCTCCCTGATAACTGGGCCAGCATTGTTGTTTTGTTTCGCTAATAACTGTAGGGATAAGGGTTGCCCAGATAATGAAGAAAAGGGACAGCTGAGTTCTTAATTTTTTAAAGAGCTGATTACACAGATCCTTTTCATTAGATGCCACTTGGTGATTTCTTTACTTGTTAGTGATTTTACTGATGGGTAACCTAAATTCAACAAGTAAATTTAACATATATTTTGGAACAGCTAATATGCCCAGTCACCCAATCCAGCTGCCTAGATCCAGGCACGTCTACATTATAAGTCATCCTGAGACAATTGGTGGCAGGCAAATGGGAGACTGGATTAGCTGTTTCCAGTTATTGTGGGGATATGGGGTCCCAATCTTGGTGTCCAGGTTCTTAGTTCTGGGTTTCAGACATAGGTGCACAAGTTCTGGGGCAGCTGTGGGAGCTAAAGGAAAGACAATGACTAACTACAGCATAGAAGGCCAAGCTACATGGAAATTAGCTCCTTTTCTGCTTGTTTTGATAGCATACATTGTTTCTCTATTCTAGATAATTAGGTCCATCTTACAGTCCTACTTCATCTCTCTTTCATGCCACTAATTGTTGGGGTGAATCTGATGGTGATTTCATAGCCACATTCCCTCTGGATCCCAGCAAAGTCTAAGGATTTTTAGGGCTGCAGGTGAGTGTCCATGGAGCCTGACTCATCTGCAGAGGTGTCTTCTCAGCCTAAACAATAAGTTTTGGGAAGAGGCCCTAGTTCAATCGATGTGAAAACAGCTACTGGTTTTAACCTGGCCTCTTGAGTTGCTGTGATATGGGCTTTAGTCCTATTTAGGACACTCAGGAAAGTTAACTCCTGGGGGCTTCCCTGCTCAACCCCCCTCAAACTTCCCTCTATCTTTGTTCCTTCAAACAATCTATTCACCTGGAGATCCAACTGAATTATTAGAATGTGTCTGGATAAGGACACATGGCCCCAGGAACTTGTCTAAGAGGCAGTATAAGGGTCCAAGACCTTTACAGAAATGAGCAATAATCTATTCAGCAACTGGTCCATGGAGAGTTGAAATGGGGACCTAAATTTGTAGTGAAAAAGAATAAAGGTTTAAGAGCCAGTCAGGCTTAGATTCATAGTCCTTTTACAAGCTGTATCATTTTAGATAACACACTTACCTTCTCTGAGTCTCAGTTACTCCCAGTTCTGCAAAGTGGGAGTAATGATGCCTACTTTGTTGGGATGCTTAGAGATCACATATGTAAATTTCCTAACACTTTAATGGTAGAGACATTTTATTGAACTATAATTAATAAGGTAGAAAATTAGTACTACCCAGCATGGGAGGAGGTGGTTGGGCCAACCTCCAGTGGCTGTGAGGTTGTGATTTTCAGACATTTTTCAAAGACGAGTGTATAAACTGGGGCACCAGCTTCAATAAAGATGAAAACAAGCTCTACACAGTAGCTCACACCTGTAATTCCAGTGCTTCAGAGGAGGCCAAGGAAGAAGGATCACTTGAGGCCAGGAGTTCAAGACTAGCCTGGGCAGCATAGAAAGACCTTGTCTCTACAAAAAAATAAATAGCCCGGTGTGGTTGCACATCACATGTCTGTAATCCCAGCTACCTGGGAGGCTGAGGCAGAGGATCACTTGAGCCTAGAAGTTTGAGGCTGTAGTAAACTATGATCACACCACTGTACTCCAGCCTGGGCAACAAAGCAAGACCCTATCTCTTAAAAAAAAAAAAAAAAGATGAATACATTGGCCAATGATCTTTGGATACCCAAGAAATTCTACCAGGTTTGTGTGAAGATGACAGGCAAGGAGACAGACACAGTTGCTCTAGAATAATGCTTGTCCATTATGAGACAGTACGAAGTAAACAAAAAAAGCCCATATAACAGGTCCTTGCTTTATTAGGTAGGTATACTAGGATTATACCTAATTGCCTGCGAAGCAACAAATCAGTGGCTGAACATTTGTTGCTATGGCAACCTTTTTTGCTCAACATCTAGCTGCTGTTTAGAGGCTACAACAGGAACTAGACAGGCAAATAATTAGATATATCAGGCATAAAACCAAAGAAAAAAAATATGCTGCTGAAATAAAATAATTGGCATACACACACACAAAATCTTACAAAGGTTCTTTTAAAATGTGCATGTGTCTCAACAAAGATTCAATACATGTTGAGTGACGCTAAAAAAGAAATCTTGGATACAGCTAGAAAAGCTTGAGAAGGGAAAGAAATGTGAAAAGTGTAGATTTTAGGCCCAAGGAAAACTCGTGTCAGAAACCAGGGACTCTGGCTGGGCGCGGTGGCTCACGTCTGCAATCCCAGCACTTTGGGAGGCCGAGGTGGGCAGATCACCTGAGGTTGGGAGTTCGAGACCAGCCTGACTAACATGGAGAAACCTCATCTCTACTAAAAATACAAAATTAGCTGGGCGTGGTGGTGCGTGCCTGTAATCCCAGCTACTCGGGGGGCTGAGGCAGGAGAATTGCTTGAACTCGGGAGGTGGAGGTTGCGGTGAGCCGAGATCGTGCCATTGCACTCCAGCCTGGGCAACAAGAGCAAAACTCCGTCTCAAAAAAAAAAAAAAAGAAACCAGGGACTCTCAGAATCTTACCTAGAATTTCTCCTGTAATTGGAGGTCCTCTTTGCTAGGAATGGCAGCTCCCAGGTATTCTTTATCAACCTTTTGAAAAATTTTTATTGAGGCAGTGTCTTGTGTTGCCCAGGCTGGAGTGCAATGATGAGATCATAGCTCACTGCAGCCTTGACATCCTGGGCTCAAGCAATCCTCCTGCCTCAGCCTCCCAAGTAGCTGGGACTACAGGCACACACGACCATGCCTGGCTATTTTTTATTTTTTAATTTTTAGTAGAGACAAGGGCTCACTATGTTGTCCAGGCTGGTCTCTTAACTCTTGGCCTCAAGCAATCCTCCTGCCTCAGCCTCCCAAAGTGTTGGGATTACAGGCATGAGCCATCACGCCCAGCCTCTCAACCTTTTAGACACTGTTTCTAGGAACCTTCTATTTTTAATCAGCATCTCAAGGTCTGAGTTAAACTCAGACTTTCCTTTGTTCTGAAAGGAGTGAAGCTACTCTTAGGTCAGAGATACCCTGCAAAAAAAACCACTGAGGCAATTCATCCAGAGGGAACCCCTCCTCGTATTACGTCATCCACCACACAAAGCCCTGCTAACTTTTCCTCAACATGCACAGGATGTTTCAAGATTTCAGCCATCAGAGATTATAGGTGAGAAAAAAAGCAGTATTAGACCCTTCATTCTTCTCCAACACTGTTCAACTTTCCCAACCCCATAGTATTGTTCCTTTAAGTAAAATTGTTTTTCTTTTGATTACAGAAGAAATTTCCCCATGGTTTACACCAGTGACTCATAAATCTATATCTCTAGAAGTGATCCCTCCCTGGAACTTTAGTTTTTTTCCTAGTTGTTTGTTGAATATCTCAACCAGAATATTCCAGGCACTTTAGACACATGGAATATCTTCCTTCTATCTCAATAGGTGTCACTATGTAGTGTTCAGCAGTGGACTTGAACTGCTAGGCCTAGCTAATAAGTGGGCCATTTCTCAACAGAGAAGATCATGAAATAGGCAAGAAGCTTCTATGAAATCTTGAACATAACTGAGCCAGAACTGAAGGCTTCCTGTAAAGAGTTAGGAATGGAGGCTGAGCTTGGTGTCTCACACCTGTAATCCCAATACTTTGGGAGGTCCAGGGGGGTAAATCACTTGAGGTCAGGAGTTCAAGACCAGTAGAGATGGTGAAACCCCATCTCTACTAAAAACACAAAAATTAGCCAGTGGCGGGTGCCTGTAATCCCAGCTACTCGGGAGGCTGAGGCAGAAGAATTGCTTGAACCTGGGAGGTAAGGGTTGTAGTGAGTGGAGATCGGGCCACTGCGCTCCAGCCTGGGGGACAGAGCAAGACTCCATCTCAAAAAATAAAAATAAAAAAAGTTAGGAGGGGAGGTTAGAAAATCTACCCTAGGGCCAGACGCAGTGGCTCATGCCTGTAATCCCACCACTTTGGGAGGCCGAGGCGGGAAGATCACCTGAGGTCAGGAGTTCAAGACCAGCCTGTCCAACATGGTGAAACCCCATCTCTACTAAAGATACAAAAATTAGCCGGGCATGATGGCAGGTGCCTGTAATCCCAGCTACTCGGGAGGCTGAGGCAGGAGAATCACTTGAACCTGGGAGGCAGAGGTTGCAGTGAGCCAAGATCGCACCACTGCACTCCAGCCTGGGCAACAGAACGAGACTCCGTCTGAAAACAACAACAACAACAACAAAGAAAAGAAAAGAACATCTACCCTAGGCTGGGCGTGGTGGCTCAAAACTTTGGGAGGCCGAGATGGGTGGATCACTTGAGGTCAGGAGTTTGAGACTAGCCTGGCCGACCTGGTGAAACCCCGCCTCTACTAAAAATACAAAAGTTAGCCCGGTATAGTGGTGGGTGCCTGTAGTCCCAGCTACTCGAGAGGCTGAGGCAGGAGAATCACTTGAACCTGGGAGGTGGAGGGTGCAGTGAGCCAAGATCGCACCACTGCACTCCAGTCTGGGCGACAGAGCGAGACTGTCTCAAAAAAAAAAAAAGAAAAGAAAGAAAATCTACCCTAGTAATATATATTTAAGTGTATGACTGCTAAAAAAAAATGTTGAGCTATCTAGAAGTGGAAAATCCAGTAGGAACATGGAACTCTCAAGGGAAATCTGACCAACAAGAAGAGCTAGAAGAATTTTGGTGTAAGGGAATGTGATGGAAGTGTGGGCAAGTTGATGCTGGAAAGCACATTGGTGAAAGTTGTTGAGTTTTGAGAGCTCCAAAGAAGAAGTTTAGATCTTAGGACAGTAATAAAGGTTGCAAAGTCTCAGTACTGCCCTAATAGTTGAGTAACATTGGGCCAGTCATTTGCCCTTTTGGCATCCCGGTGACCCTGTTTGTGAAATAAGGGATTTGGCCTAATTATTTTCCAGCTAATTCAATTTTTTATTTTTATTTTTTTACTTTGAAATATTTAAAAATTCTTTTTTTTTTTTTTAATTGAGATGGAGTCTCGCTCTGTCGCGCAGGCTGGAGTACAATGGCGTGATCTCGGCTCACCGCAGCCGCCACCTCCCAGGTTCAAGCCTCCCGAGTAGCTGGGATTACAGGCACACCACTACGCCCAGCTAATTTTTGTATTTTTAGTAGAGATGGGGTTTCACCATGTTGGTCAGGCTGGTCTCGAACTCCTGACCTCATGATCTGCCTGCCTTGGCCTCCCAAAGTGCTGGGATTACAGGCGTGAGCCACCACGCTGGACTGAAATAATTATAAATTCACAGGAATTTGGAGAGATAGTAGAAAGGTACTGTATGCCCTCCACCCAGTTTCCCCCAATGGCTACATCTTATGTAACTATAATACAATATCATAACCAGGAAATTGATATTGGTACAATGTGTGTGTGGTAGTTCTATGCTGTTTTATCGTGTTTAAATCCTTACAGCCACCGTAGCTATGAAGATGCAGAACTATTCCATCATCCTCAAAGATCTCCCTCACCTACCAATTTATATTCATACTCATACCTGCTTCACCCCCACCACTTCCCAACCCCTGGCAATCACAAATTCCTCCATCTCTATCATTTTGTCATTCTGAGAATGTTATATAAAAGGAATCATACACTCTGTGACTTGTTAAGACTGGCTTTTTGTCATTAGCCTAATGCCCTTGAGACCCATCCAAGTTGTTGCATGTATCAATAGTCTGTTCCTTTTTAAAGCTGAGTAGTGTTTCATTGTGTGTATGTACCACAATATTTAACCATTCACCTATTACAGGACTTTATGGTTGCTTCCAGATTTTTGATATTACAAATAATTCCATGAATAATCATGTAGAGGTTTTGTGTGGACATATGTTTTTACTCCTCAGAGATAAATGCCCAGGAGTACAGTTTTGGGTTGTGTGGTAATACATAATTACCTTTTTAAAAGCCTGTCAAACTATTTTCTACAGTGGCTGTAACATTTTACATTCCCACAGCAATGTATGAAAGAGACAATTTCTCCATGATCTCACCAGCATTTGGTATTATTTGGTAATATTTTATAACCATTATTTAGCTATTCTAATGAATGTGTAGTAACCTTCATTTGCATTTCCCTAATGCAAGTAATGTTGAACTTTTTCTTTTCTTTTTTCTTTCTTTTTTTTCTGTTCTTTTCTTTTCCTGTTCTTTTCTTTTCTTTTATTGAGACAGGGTCTCACTCTATCCATCACCCAGGCTGGAGTGCAGTGGCACGATTATGGATCACTGCAGCCTTGAGTTCCCAGGCTCAAGTGATCCTCTTGGGAGGGGGTTTCACCTTGTTGCCCAGGCTGGTCTTGAATTCCCGGGCTCAAACAATCCTCCCACCTCAGCTTCCCAAAGTGCTGGTATTACAGGTGTGAGCCACTGTGCCCAGCCTTGAACATCTTTTCATGTGATTATGTGCCATACATATATTGTCTTTAATGAAATGTCTCTTTATGTCTTTTGCCCACTTTTAAATTGGGTTATTTGAGGTTTTTCCATTTTTTTTTAATATTCTGGATATGAGTTTTTTGTTAGGTATGTGATTTGCAAATATTTTCTCCAAGTGTAGCTTGTCTTTTTATCATCTTAACAAATTGCGCCCCCTCCCCGTCCCCCTCTCCCTCTCCCTCTCCCCACGGTCTCCCTCTCTTTCCACGGTCTCCCTCTGATGCCGAGCGGAAGCTGGACTGTACTGCCGCCATCTCGGCTCACTGCAATCTCCCTGCCTGATTCTCCTGCCTCAGCCTGCCGAGTGTCTGCGATTGCAGGCGCGCGCCACCACGCCTGACTGGTTTTCGTATTTTTTTGGTGGAGATGGGGTTTTGCTGTGTTGGCAGGGCTGGTCTCCAGCTCCTAACCGCGAGTGATCCGCCAGCCTCGGCCTCCCGAGGTGCCGGGATTGCAGACGGAGTCTCGTTCACTCAGTGCTCAATGGTGCCCAGGCTGGAGTGCAGTGGCGTGATCTCGGCTCGCTACAACCTCTACCTCCCAGCCGCCTGCCTTGGCCTCCCAAAGTGCCGAGATTGCAGCCTCTGCCTGGCCGCCACCCCGTCTGGGAAGTGAGGAGCGTCTCTGCCCGGCCGCCCATCGTCTGGGAAGTGAGGAGCCCCTCTGCCTGGCTGCCCAGTCTGGAAAGTGAGGAGCGTCTCTGCCCGGCTGCCAGCCCATCTAGGAAGTGAGGAGCGCCTCTTCCCGGCCGCCATCCCATCTAGGAAGTGAGGAGCGTCTCTGCCCGGCCGCCCATCGTCTGAGATGTGGGGAGCGCCTCTGCCCCGCCGCCCCGTCTGGGATGCGAGGAGCGCCTCTGCCTGGCTGCCCCATCTGAGAAGTGAGGAGACCCTCTGCCTGGCAACCGCCCCGTCTGAGAAGTGAGGAGCCCCTCCACCCAGCAGCCGCCCCGTCTGAGAAGTGAGGAGCGTCTCCACCCGGCTGCCCTATCTGAGAAGTGAGGAGACCCTCTGCCTGGCAACCGCCCCGTCTGAGAAGTGAGGAGCCCCTCCACCCAGCAGCCGCCCCGTCTGAGAAGTGAGGAGCGTCTCCACCCGGCTGCCCTATCTGAGAAGTGAGGAGACCCTCTGCCTGGCAACCGCCCCGTCTGAGAAGTGAGGAGCCCCTCCGCCCAGCAGCCACCCCGTCTGGGAAGTGAGGATCGTCTCTGCCCGGCAGCCACCCCGTCCGGGAGGGAGGTGGGGGTCAGCCCCCGCCAGGCCAGCCGCCCCGTCCGGGAGGGAGGTGAGGGGGTCAGCCCCCCGCCCGGCCAGCCGCCCGGTCCGGGAGAGAGGTGGGGGGGTCAGCCCCCCTCCCGGCCAGCCGCCCCGTCCGGGAGGTGAGGGGCGCCTCTGCCTGGCCGCCCCTACTGGGAAGTGAGGAGCTCCTCTGCCCGGCCAGCCGCCCCGTCCGGGAGGGAGGTGGGGGGGGTCAGCCCCTCGCCCGGCCAGCCACCCCGTCCGGGAGGTGAGGGGCGCCTCTGCCCGGCCGCCACTACTGGGAAGTGAGGAGCCCCTCTGCCCGGCCACCACCCCGTCTGGGAGGTGTACCCAACAGCTCATTGAGAACGGGCCATGATGACAGTGGCAGTTTTGTGGAATAGAAAGGGGGGAAAGGTGGGGAAAAGATTGAGAAATGGGATGGTTGCCGGGTCTGTGTAGAAAGAAGTAGACATGGGAGACTTTTCATTTTGTTCTGTACTAAGAAAAATTCTTCTGCCTTGGGATCCTGTTGATCTGTGACCTTACCCCCAACCCTGTGCTCTCTGAAACATGTGCTGTGTCCACTCAGGGTTAAATGGATTAAGGGCGGTGCAAGATGTGCTTTGTTAAACAGATGCTTGAAGGCAGCACGCTCGTTAAGAGTCATCACCACTCCCTAATCTCAAGTACCCAGGGACACAAACACTGCGGAAGGCCTCAGGGTCCTCTGCCTAGGAAAACCAGAGACCTTTGTTCACTTGTTTATCTGCTGACCTTCCCTCCACTATTGTCCTATGACCCTGCCAAATCCCCCTCTGCGAGAAACACCCAAGAATGATCAATAAAAAAAATAAAAATAAAAATAAAAATAAAAAAAATAAAAAAAATAAAAAAAAAAACAAAAAAAAAAAACAAATTGCTTTGCAAAACAAAAGTTTTTACTTTTGGTGAAGTCCAGTTTATTATTTTTACTGTGAATTGTGCTTTTGGTGTCATGTCTAAGAAACTCTGCTCCAAGCTCTAGGTCCTGAAGATTTTCTCCTGTTTTCTTTTAAAAGTGTTGTAGTTTTACATTTTACATTTAAGTCTATGATCCATTTTGAATTTATTTTTGTGTCTTTTTGCCTATGGATAGCCAATTACTCCAGCACCATTTGTTGAAAAGTTTATCATTTCTCAATCAAATTGATTTTGCACATTTGTGAAACATCAGTTGGTCATAATTGTGTGCCATACTATGTCAAGCTTCTCTATTCTATTCCATTGTTCTATATATCTATTCCTCTACTAATACCACACAGTCTTAATTACTATAACAATAATAATTCTTAAAATCAGATGGAGCTGGGCACAGTGTTGAATGCCTGTGATCCCAGCTATTTGGGAGGCTGAGGCAAGAGGATCCCTTGAGCCCAGGAGTTCAAGGCCAACCTGGGCAACATGGCAAGACTTTGTCTCTAAAAAGAAAAAAAAAATCAGATGGATTGATTCCTCCCACTTTATTCTTCTGCAAAATCAATGTAACTATTCTAGTATTGTTACCTTTCCATATAAATTTTAGAATAATCTCATTTATGCTTACCAAAAAAATATAATGCTAGTATTTTGATAGCGTATGTCAGTTTTTTCCAAATTGATATCTTTGTTGAGTCTTCCAGTCTATGAACACAGAATATCTTTCCAGTTATTTATGTCTTCCTTGATTTCTTTCATCAGTATTTTGAAATTTTCAGCAGAGATCCACTGTACATTTTGTTAAGTGTGCATCTAAGTATTTCATTTTCGTTGTAGTGATTAGAAATGCTGTTGCATTTTCAACTTCAGTTTCTGCATATTCATTGATAGTTTATAGAAATATGATTGATTTTTGTATGTTGGTGTGTTGATATTGTATACTGAGGCTGAACTTATTAGTTCTGTAAGGTTTTGTTATATTTCTGGGCATTTTCTATATAGACCATCATGTCACTGCCAAATAGTTTTATTTACTCCTTTCCAATCTATATACAACTTATTTATATTCCTTGCCTTCTTGTTTTGGCTAGAACTTCCAATACTGTGTAAATAAGAGTGGTGAGAGTGGATTTGTATTTGTAGATGCTCTTTATCATGTTGAAGTAGTCCCCCTTCATTCCTAACTTGCTGCAAGTTGTTTGGTTGTTGTTTTTTTTAAATCATGAATAGGTGTTGGATTTGGTCAAATGCTTCTTCTGCACCAATTGGTAGGATCATATAATTGAAAAAAGATCATAGGATTCTTAATTTGTTGATATGGCTTATTACATTGAGTGAGCTTCAAATATTAAGCCAGCCTTGCATATTTATAATAAATTCCAATTGGTCATGGTGTGTAATTCTTTTTATACATTATTGGATTTGGTTTGCTAATATTTTCTGAAGAATTTTACATCTGTATTCATAAGGTATATTGGTCTATGGTCCTTTCTTTTTTTGTACTGTCTTTGTTTGGTTTTAGTATCAAGGTAATACTGACCTCATAAAATCAGTTGGGAAGTGATTTCCTACTTTTATGTTTTCTGGAAGGGATTATATAAAATTGCCGTTAATTCTTCTTTGAACATTTGATTAAATTTTCTGATGACTGAATGACTGGCTCCACATAGGTTTTTCTTTTGGAGAAGCTTCCTTTTCAGGGAACTTTTTAAATTTTATTTTTAACTTATGAGGGAATATATTAGATCTATGTATTTGTGGGGTACACAAGATATTTTGATACAGCCATGCAATACATAATAATCACATCATGGAAAATGGGGTATCCATGCTCTCAAGCATTTATCCTTGTGTTTCAAACAATCCAGTCATACTCTTTTAGTCCTTGTAAAATGTACAATTAAATTATTTTGACAATAGTAACCCCGTTGTGTTGTACTATCAAATACTAGGTCTTATTCATACTTTCTGGTTTTTTTTTTTTTTTGTACTCATTAAACATCCCCACTACCCTTCCCAGTCTCTGATAACCACGCTTTTACTCTCTATCTCCATGACTTCGATTGTTTTGATTTTTGGATCCCACAAATATGTTAGAACATGAGATGTTTGTCTTATGTGCCTGGCTTATTTAACTTAACATAATGATCTCCAGTTCCATCCATATTGTTGCAAATGACTAGATTTCATTGTTTTAAGGCTGAATAGTGCTCCATTCTGTATATATACCACATTTCTTTATTCATTCATGTGTTGATGGACACTTAGGTTGCTTCCAAATCTAAGCTATTGTGAACAGTACTGCAACAAATATGGGCATGTAGATATCTCTTCAATACACTGATTTCTTTTCTTTTGGGTAAATTCCCAGCAGTGGGATTGCTGGATCATACGGTAGCTCGATTTTAACGTTTTTTGAGGAACATCCAAACTGTTCTCCATAGTGATTATATTAATTTACAGTCCCACCAACAGTTTATGAGAGTTCCCTTTTCTCCACATCCTCTCTAGCATTTGTTGTTACCTGTCTTTTGGATAAAAGTCATTTTAACTGGGGTGAGATGATACCTCATTGTACCTTTGATTTGCATGTCTCTCATGATCAGTGATGTTGAGCACCTTCTCATATGCCTGTTTGCCATTGGTATGTCTTCTTTTGAGAAATGTCTATTTGAATCTATTGCCCATTTTTAATTGGATTTTAAATTAGATTTTTTTCCTATAGAGTTGTTTGAACTCTATATATTCTGCTTACTAATCCTTTGTCAGATGGGTAGTTTGCAAATATTTTCTCCCATTCTGTGGGTTGTCTCCTCACTTTGTTTGTTGTTTCCTTTGCTGTGCAGAAGCCTTTTAACTTGATTTGTCCATTTCTGCTTTGGTTGCCTGTGCTTGTGAGGTATTACTCAAGAAATTTTTGCCTAGGATAATGTCCTGGAGATTTTCCCCAATGTTTTCTTGTAGTAGTTTCATAGGTTGAGGTCTTAGACTTAAGTGTTTAATCCACTTTTATTTGATTTTTGTACATAGCGAGAGATAGGGGTCTAGTTTCATTCTTTGGCAAATGGATATTCAGTTTCCCCAGCACCTTTGATTGAAAAGATTGTCCTTTCCCTAATGTGTGTTCTTAGCACCTTTGTCAAAAATGAGTTCACTATAGATGTATGGATTTATCTCTGGGTTCTCTATTCTATTCCACTGATGTGTGTCTGTTTTTAAGCCAGTACCATGCCATTTTGGTTACTATAGCTCTATAGTATAATTCAAAGTCAGGTAATGTGATTCTTTCAGTTTTGTTCTTTTTGCTCAGAATAGCTTTGGCTATTCTGGGTCTTTTGTGGTTCCATATAAATTTTAGGATTTTTTTTCTGTTTATTGAAGAATGACATTGGTATTTTGGTAGGGATTGCATTGAATCTGTAGATTGCTTTGGGTAGTATGGACATTTTAAAAATATTGATTCTTCCAACCCATCAACATGGAATATCTTCCCATTTTCTTGTGTCTCCTTCAATTTCTTGCATAGTGTTTTATAGTTTGCATTGCAGAGATCTTTGACTTCTTTGGATAAGTTAATTCCTAGGTGTTTAATTTTATATGTGGCAATTGTCAATGGGATTACTTTTTAAATTTTCTTTTTCAGATTGTTCACTGTTGGCATACAGAAATGCTACTGATTTCTGTACGTTGATTTTGTGTCCTGCAACATTACTGAATTTATCTGTTCTAATAGTTTTCTTGTGGAGTCTTTAGATTTTTCCAAATATAAGATCATATCAGCAAACAAGGATACTTTGACTTTTCCCTTTCCAATTTGGATGCCCTTTATATCTTTCTCTTGTCTGATTGTTCTAGCTAGGACTACTAGTACTATGTTGAATACCAGTGGGCATCCTTTTCATGTTCCAGATCATAGACAAAAGGCTTTCAGTTTTTCCCAATTTGGTATGATACTAGCTGTGGGTCTGTTGTATATGGCTTTTATTATGTTTAGGTATGTTCCTTCTATCCCAAGTTTTTTTTGAGGATTTTTATTATAAAGGATGTTTAATTTTATCAAATGCTTTTTCAGCATTCATTGAAATGATCATATGATTTTTACCCTTCATTCTGTTTATATGATGTATCACATTGATTGATTTGTGTATGTTGAACCATCCTTGCATCCCTGGGATAAATCCCACTTGGTCAGGATGAATGATCTTTTTAATATATTGTTGAACTCAGTTTGCTAATATTTTGTTGAGGATTTTTACATCAATATTCATCAGAGATATTGGCCTGTAGTTTTTTGTTTTTTTTTTTTTAACATGTCTTTGTCTGGTTTGGGTATCAGGGTAATTTTGGCCTTGTAGAATGAGTTTGGAAGTATTCCCTCCTCCTCTACTTTTCAAAATAGTTTCAGTAGGATTGGTATTAGTTATTCTTTACATGTTTGGTAGAATACAACAGTGAAGCCATTGGGTTCCAGGTTTTTCTTTACTGGGGGACTTTTTATTATGGCTTTGTTCTCATTACTTGTTATTGGTCTGTTCAGGATTTGGATTTCTTTCGTTTACAATCTAGGTAGGTTGTATGTATCTAGGAATTAGTCCATCTTTTTTCTAGATTTTCCAATTTATTGTCACGTAGTTACTTGTAGTAGCCACTAGTGATCCTTTGAATTTATGTATTATCAGTTGTAATGTCTCCTTTTTCATTTCTGATTTAATGTATTGGGATTTTCTCCTTTTTCTGAATTAGTCTGGCTAAAGGTTTGTCAGTTTTGTTTAACTTTTCTGAAAATCAATTTTTTGTTTCATTGACCTTTTGTATTATTTTCATTTCAATTTTATCTATTTCTGCTCTGATCTTTATTATTTCTTTTCTTTTACTAATTTTGGCTTTGGTTTGCTCTTGCTTTTCTAATTCTTTAAAAGGCATTATTGGATTGTTTATTGGAAGTTTTTCCTCTTTTTTGATATAGGTACTTATAGCTATAGACTTCCCTCCGAGTACTGCTTTTGCTGTATCCCATAGGTTTTGGTATGTTGTGTTTCCATTATTATATGTTTCAAGAAATTTTTCAATTTCCTTCTTAACTTCTTCATTGACTCACTGTTCATTCAGGAGCATATAGTTTAATTGCCATGTATTCGTATAATTACCAAAATTCCTTTTTTTTTTTTTTTTTTTTTTTGAGATGGAGTCTTGCTCTGTCGCCCAGGCTGGAGTGCAGTGGCATGATCTCGGCTCACTGCAACCTCCGTCTCCCGAGTTCAAGCAATTCTTCTGCCTCAGCCTCGTGAGTAGCTGGGATTACAGGTGCCCACCACACACCCCGCTAATTTTTGTATTTTTAGTAGAGACGGGGTTTCACCATGTTGGCCAGGCTAGTCTCGAACTCCTGACCTTGTGATCCTCCCACCTCAGCCTCCCAAAGTGCTGGGATTACAGGCATGAGCCACTGCGCCCAGCCCCACTTTTTTTTTTTTTTTTTTAATTTCTAGTTGTATTCCATTGTGGTCAGAGAAGATGCTTAATATTATTTCAATTTTTTGAATGTTTTAAGACTTGTTTTGTGATCTAACATATGGTCTATCTTTGAGAATAATCCATGTGCTGAGGAAAAGAATGTCTATACCTCTTAGATAAAATGTTCTGTAAATATCTATTAGATCCATTTGATCTATATTGCAGATTAAGTCTGATGCTTCTTTGTTGATTTTCTGTCTGGAAAATCTGTCCAATGCTGAAAGCACAGTGTTGAAGTCAACAACTATTATTGTACTGGGGCCTATCTCTCTCCTTAGCACTAATAGTATTTGCTTTGTATGTCTGGGTGCTCCAGTGTTGGTTGCATATTATTTACAATTGTTACATCCTCTTGCTGAATTGACCCCTTTATCATTCATTATATAGTGATCTTCTTTGTCTCTTCTTATAGTTTTTTTCTTGAAATCTATTTTGTCTTATATAAGCGTAGTGACTCTTACTCTTTTTTGGTTTCCATTGGCATGGAATATCTTTTTCCACCCCTTTATTTTCAGTCTATGTGTGTCTTTTTTTTTTTTTTTTTTTTTTTTTTTTGAGACGGAGTTTTGTTCTTGTTGCCCAGGTTGGAGTGCAATGGTGCGATCTCAGTTCACCGCAACCTCTGCCTCCCAGGTTCAAGTGATTCTCCTGCCTCAGCATCCCAAGTAGCTGGGATTGCAGGCATGTGCCACCATGCCTCGCTAATTTTGTATTTTTAGTAGAGACAGGGTTTCTCCATGTTGGTCAGACTGGTCTCGAACTCCCAACCTCAGGTGATCTGCCCACCTCAGCCTCCCAAAGTGCTGGGATTACAGGCGTGAGCCACTGTGCCCAGCCCTATGTGTGTCTTTATAGGTGAAGTGTATTTCTTGTAGGCAATAGATTAATGGGTCTTCTTTTTTCATCCATTCACCTACTCTATGTATTTTGATTGGAGAGTTTAGTCTATTTATATTCAATGTTATTATTGATAAGTAAGGACTTACTCTTACCATTTTGTTATTTGTTTTCTGATTGTTTAATGGTCTTCTCTTCCTTCTTTCTCTCCTTTCTGCCTTCCTTTTACTGAAGTGATTTTCTTTGATGGTATGTTTTAATTGTTTGCTTTTTATTTTTTGTATATCCTTTGTATGTTTTTTGGTTTGAGGTCACACCTCTCCAATTCTCCAGGATTGGTGCCTGGTGCCTTATTTAGTTCATTTAGTGAGGTCATGTTTTCCTGGGTGGTGGTAATGCTAGTATATGTTCTTCAGTGTCTGGGCATTCAAAGGTTAGGTATTTATTGTAGTCTTCACTGTCTGGGCTTATTTTTTAGCTGTCCTTTTTGGGATGGCTTTTCAGATATTTGAAAGGACTTAGGTATTGTGATCTAAGCTGTATCTGCTTTAGAGGGAACCCCAAGCCTAGTAACACTGTAGTTCTTGCAGACTTGTAGAGGTACCATCTTGATGGTCTTGGACCAGATTTGTGAGAATTCTTTGGGTTACCAGGCAGATACTCTTGTTTCCTTCCCTTACTTTCTAGCAAACATAGAGTCTCTCTCTGTTATGAGCTACCTAAAGCTGGGGGTGGAGTGACACAAGCACCCATGTGGCCACCACCACTGTGACTGCACTGGGTCAGACCTGAAGCCAGCACAGCATTGAGTCTCACCCAAGGCCTGCTAAAACCACTCCCTGGCTACTGCCTATGTTTGCTCAAGTCCCTGGGGCTCTATAATCAGCAGGTGGCAAAGCTAGCCAGGCCTATGTCCTTTCCTTCAGGGTGGCAAGGTCCCCCAATCCCCGGGTGGGTCCAGAAGTGCCATCTGTGAGTGAGGGACTGGAGTCAAAAACTTTAGAAGTCTATGTGGTATTCCACTCTATTGTGCTACTCAAACCACACAACCCAGACTTTCCCACTTTTCCCTCCCCTTTCTAAAGGCAGAGGAGTCTCACACCCTAACCACTACCACCCCAGGCCATGAGGAGTACTGCCAGACTATCGCCAATGTTCCCTTAAGGCCCAAGGTCTCTTATGTCAGCTTGTCGTGAATGCTGCCTGCCCTAGTCAGTGGGCTTCTCTCTGGCCCAAGGCAGGTCCAGAAATGCCATCAAAGTCGAGTCCTGGAATCGGGGACTCCTAGGGGCCCGCTTTTTGCTCTAAGCCCCTGTGGCTGTGCTGGCATCTAAGGTACAAGACAAAGTCCCCTTTACTTTTCCATCTGCTTTTCTCAAGCAGAAGGAGTTTTTTCCCATAGCCACTACAGCTGATAATGTGCTGAGTCTCACCTGAAGCTAGCAAGTCTCAGGCTCGCCCAAGGCCCTCGATGTACCTGGCTGTCGCTGCTGGTTATTCAAGGCCCAAGGGCTCTTCAGTTAGCAGGTGATGAATGCTGGCAGGACTGGGTTCTATCCTTCAGGGCAGCAGGTTTCCTTCTGGCCCAAGGTGTGTCTATAAATGTCATTTTGGAGCTAGGTCCTGGAATGGAGGCGTCATGTCTCTGACTGGTGCCCTAACCTGCTGTTGCTGAGCTGGCATCCAAGATGCAAGATAAAGTCCTCCCCACTCTTCCCTCTCCTCTCCTCACCTCTTTTCCCTCTCCTCTCCTCAAGCAGAAGGAAGGGATCTCTTTTGGAGCTGCAGGCTGTGTAGCCTGGAGTTAGCAGAGGGGTGATGCCAGCACTCCCTTGGCTACCCCAGCTGGTGTCTCAGTATGTTGTATTTTGGAATACTCATCAACTCTGGTTAAAAGACATCTTCCAGGAACTATTTCCTCATTGCAATCAGATCCATGCATTACGGGTCAACAGCACCCAACTGGTAGAGACAGTACCAGAGGCAGCCCTTAGTCCAAGAGAACTAAGCAGCCCCTTGCATGGCCTCTGGATTGATTGCCAGTGAGGGGCTGCCAAACTGTGGGTGGTACCTGAAAGGGCTATCCCAGATGAGCCCCCAAATTTGTAACCACCTGACAGGTTCGTCTTGCCTGCTGCCCAGATAGATTAATATCAAGACAGAGGAATTACAAAAAAGAAATACTTTAAAGCATGTAGAGCCACCTAAATGGAAGACCAGAGTTTTATTACTACTCAAATCTGCCTCTCCCAAAATTTGGAGGCTAGGGTTTTTAAAAAAATAGTTTGGCAGGCAGGGGGCTAGGCAATGGGTGCTGCTGATTAGTTGGGGATGCAATTATAGGAGTGTGGAAAATGGTCCTTTGTGACTGAGTCTGCTTCTGGGTGGGGAACACAGGACCAGTTCAGTCATGAGTGAAGTCATCTGGTCATCAGAAATGCAAAAGTCTGAAAAGACATATCAAAAGGCCAATCTTAGGTTCTTCAATAGTGATGTTATTTACAGGGGTAAGCGGGGGAGTTACAAATCTTGTGACCTCTAGAACAATGGCTGGTAATCATTTAACTAAACCTACATCTTAGAATTCAGGGCTCTTTCATAATCCTAATCTTGTGGACTTTTATTAGTTTTATAAAGGTGGTTAGTTTGGCAAAGGGCTGTTATCATTTAAACTATAAACTAAATTTCTCCCAAAGTTAGCTTGGCCCACATCCAGGAATGACCAAGGAAAGTTTGGAGGTTAAAGGCAAGAGGTTAAAGGTTAGATGAGATTGCTTCCACTGTCATAATTGTCTCACTGTTATAATTTTGGCTGGGATGAAAGTCTGGGCTCTCTACATAGTCTTCTTTAACTGCCCAATGAGTTCACCTTGCCTGCTGCCTAGACAGAGCCAATTTATCAAGATAGGGACATTGCAATAGAGAAAGAGTTATTCATGCAGCACTGGCTGTGCGGGAAACCGGAGTTTTGTTATTACTCAAACCAGTCTCCCCGGGCATTTGGGGATTGGAGTTTTTAAGGATAATTTGGTGGGTAGGGGCCAGTGAGTCAGGAGTGCTGATTGGTTGGCTTGGAGATGAAACTATAGGGAATCAAAACTGTCCTCTTGCACTGGGTCAGCTCCTGGGTGGGGTCACAAGATCAGATGAACCAGTTTATTGATCTGGGTGGTGTCAGCTGATCCATCAAGTGCAAAAAAAAGATCCATCAAGTGCAAAAAAGCACTGATCTTAGATTTTACAATACTGATGTTATCCCAGGATCAATTTGAGGAGGGTCAGAATCTTGTAGCCTCCAGCTGCATGACTCCTAAACCATAATCTCTAATCTTTTGACTAATTTGTTGGTCCTACAAAGGCAGTCTAGTCCCCAGGCAAGAAGGGGGTTTGTTTTGAAAAAGGGCTGTTATCATGTTTGTTTCAAAGTATAGACTATAAACTAAGTTCCTCCCAAAGTTACTTCGGCCTACACCCAGGAATAAACAAGGACAGCTTGGCGGTTAGAAGTAAGATGGAGTTGGTTAGGTTGGATCTCTTTCACTGTCTCAGTTATAATTTTGCCATGGCAATTTCACTTCTGTAATGCTATCCTGGTGATGGAAAGGAAGGGTGGTATTGTAAGTTACAGGAAGATGAAAATGGTTATCTAAGCTTTCTACCTCACTTTTGCTAGCTGGGGTGGAAGTGGAATCACAGTTTTTTCCATGGGGTTTGGCTAGAGTAGAGCAGCTATTGTGTAAAAGTTTTCTATCTTGCTAGGCTGCCCCTTTCCTGGTTATTTGGCTAGAAAAAGCAAGATTTTATTGGGCTTTTTATGTCTGTACCCATTCACATTTCTGGGTTGCTGGCTTCTCCAGCACCACATCTGAGATGTATGAGGCAAAAAAAAAAAAAAAAGGCCAAAAAAAGCAGAGCACTTACCTCAGGTGACTCAATACTTAAGTTCTGAGGCTTTTAGCTGGTCTGCTTTTTTCTCTCCACCTTTCAGAATCATTTTAGGTTTGTTTTATATGAAATATTCAGCATTTTAAGCCGGTCTTCGTGGGATGAATAAGAAAAAATACATATAATCAGTCTTTCCAGAAGTGTAAGTCTCGATTGGACATAACTTTAAAAAAATGTTTTAAACTTCAAACAACAGAATCATTTTTTTTTCAATGTTAAAACCATTATTCTGATTAAAGAGAAGGAAGAAAGGCCCAGCACTCCACAATCTATTGTTTTCCCAGATATTCAGTGAACCTTGCAGTACCTCTGTAAATCCTCCAAAGATTCACAGAGCACAGTTTGAAAATCACTGGACCTGAAGTTCTCCACTATTTCAACTCTGACCTTCTTTGGGTCTTTGATTTCCTCCTGGTAGGACTGATAGACTTAACCAATTTAGTTAAGTTTTTCTCACTGAATTTTCTCACTGTCTTGTAGGCTGTTTCCCCAATAAGATGAAATCTTCATAGGGCCTATCCCAGTTAGATAAATACATCTATTCTTGCGTTAAGGTATTTCCCACTGGTATGTGGATTAACTGGTAGACATCAGGAAGTCCTAGCTGGCACACATTTGTCATCAAGTAGAAATGGTTGAACTACAGCAAGTCTGTAGAAAAGGTAGTGTGACCACCTGTAGAGTTATCAATCACTTTAAAAGGTGCAACCAAAGGGGTTGCAGAGTCAACAAACAGGGCAGTTCCAGAATGGGAGGCAAGGAGAAGAAAGGCAGTTCAGAAAGAGAAGACAGTGGCAGCAAGAAGGACTAAGGTGGAAGTGGCCTTGACAGAGTGCAAGGAGGGTAACAAGAGGGTACACAGAGTTCTTTTCAGTTTTGGATTTAGGGCCTGATGTAGATTTTCAAGCTTTTGAAGACACTGATTAAATTTTGAATTAGTCTCTTTCAAGGAGGTAACTAGAGACTCCATTTCTTTATTTTTTCTTTTTTTGTTTTTAAATTTTTGTGGGTACTTGGTAGGTGTATAACTTTATGGGGTACATGAGATGTTTTGATACAGGCATGCAATGTGAAATAAGAACATCACGGAGAATGGGGCATCTGTCCCCTCAAGCAATTTATCCTTTGAGTTACAAACAATCCAACTACACTCTTTATTTTAAAATGCACAATTAAGTTATTATTGACTATAGTCACCCTATTGTGCTATGAAATAGGTCTTATTCATTATTTCTAACTATTTTTTTAGAGCTTTCATAATACCAGTTGAAAAAGGCCTCCCAGGCCGGGCGCAGTGACTCACACCTGTAATCCCAGCACTTTGGGAGGCTGAGGCAGGCAGATCACCTGAGGTCAGGAGTTCGATACCAGCCTGACCAACATGGAGAAACCCCGTCTCTACTAAAAATACAAAATTACCTGGGCATGGTGGTGCATGCCTGTAATCCCAGCTACTCGGGAGGCTGAGGCAGGAGACTAG
Organism: Homo sapiens; assembly: GCF_000001405.40. Classification (NCBI taxonomy): domain Eukaryota; kingdom Metazoa; phylum Chordata; class Mammalia; order Primates; family Hominidae; genus Homo; species Homo sapiens. The sequence continues at coordinate 74,556,039 of NC_000023.11, read as the reverse complement.
CTTGAACCTGGGAGGCAGAGGTTGCAGTGAGCCAAGATCATGCCATTGCACTCCAGCCTGGGCAACAAAAGCCAAACTCTGTAAAAAAAAAAAAAAAGAAAAAAGAAAAGAAAGGAAAGGAAGAAAGAGAAGAGAAAAGAAATAAAAGAGGCCTCCCATTGCTTTTGAAAAGTCCAGAATTCTCTCCGCTCTAATTGTGCATGTTGATAGACTAATTTAGGCATATCAAAAGTTCCCAATTGTTGCCAACAAAGCTTTGAGTCATCCTGGGTTATTTGCATCCAGGATCCTAAATATTCACAGGAGTTTTTCCCATAGTTTTAAACATATAGGCTGCTGGAGTTCCCAATGGTGGCTGGCCAGTGACCATTACTTTAGTGGGTGAACTACCTAAAGCACTCACCTAAAGAAGTCAACTTCAGAGTGTAACAATAGAGCAGGTGTTCCTGCTTAGAACATAAGAATTAAGGTCTACCTGCAAACCAGATGGATTGCCCTATTTAAAGAAAATAAAACCTCCTAGATCTCAACCTAAAAGGAGATCTTGGATCCAAGAATGCTTACCCAACTCTTTCCTACCATGCCAGAATTCAACTGGACCTTACAGCATCCTTGCTGGCACCTAGGCATTGATTGAGGCAGTAGAGGAAAAGAAATTGGGGACCACTTTGGATCCTATTCTCATCACCAGAAATGTTAACAAAATGACTATGAGATCTACAGAGGAAGAAAAAATGAGAAAACTTTTATTTTCAGAGCAACAGTCTGCAGAATGGAGAATGTAGCCTCCAGGGAAACTGTGAGTATGCATTCTACAGAAGGGAAGGAAACAGCAGCATTTAAGCCTTCCAGGACTTGTCTTACATGTATATTCATCAGGTTTGGTAATATCTATAAAATTTACAGGGAAAGTCAAGCACATGTGCAGTGAGTTAACATATGTAATATACATATTATGTTCACTTTGGGATGGGGTTTTAACATTAAAATAAGGTTGTTACAGGTAGTTAGGCATAAGCAGGGCAGGAGAGGGCTCTCCCCTCAACCCACCAGGAATGTCAGGCAACCATCAGGTGATGGCTCAGCAGTTACCACACCGCCTCTCTAAAAATGACAATTTGGCAGCCGGTGCCAGGGAGAGACAATCTCCTGAAGGTCCACAGCTGTCACACTAAAGTGTTAATTGAACACAAGTGCCAGGGAGAGGCAACTTCCCAAACAGATAAAAACACTTGAGATTGGTAATTGGCTTTCAGTAAAATCTCAGGAGTTGGGCGAGTGAGCCTGGGCATGTGCATTAAGAGACAAAATGGTGGATTCCACCAGAAAAGGGAAGAAAGCCTCAGATGGGCACGCATACAACTTCCTAAACACACTGCGCATGCTCACTTCCCAAGCATAAGGGCATTGCGCATGAGGGCAGCCCACCCTAAGGGAAGAATCATGGGAAAGGGGTACAAGACGCCGAAGGTGGGCCCGCATATAAAGTCCTAGCATCAAGGTTAAATGCTGCACTTGTCCTTCAAGTTGCTTGCTTGGGTCTCTTCCAAGTGTACTTTCTTTCTTTCCTGCTCTAAAGCTTTTTAAATAAACTTCCACTTCTGCTCTGAAACTTGCCTCAGTCTCTTTTTCTGCCTTATGCCCCTCAGTTGAATTCTTTCTTCTGAAGAGGCAAGAATTGAAGTTGCTGCAGACCTGTACAGATTTGCCACTGATAACTCAGATACCTTCTAACCCAACAAGGTGGAATTTGCCTTTTTAAGTCAACAGGTGAACTATAGGGCACAAAGACATTTTGTGCACAGTCTCTGTAAACTGGCTGGAACTGGTTTAGGGTCTTTAGCTGTTTATCAGGAATGAATTTTTGTAAGGTTAATCTATCCAGTTGGTGCCACTGGCAGGATCCTCAAGGCAGACGTGTCCCAGTTGGCTGGTGGTCAGGCAGTCCACAGGGGTCAGTTGGGCAGTGTTTTGTTAGAACATGTTCCTGCCTACTTGTAGGAAGGAAAACCTTATGGCATTTAACAAACCTTATAGTATTTAACAAACCTTATAGTAATTAACAATGTAGGAGTACATGACTAATCCCTTTTCCTTGCCATGGTGGCTTACTTTTTCTCTTTTTTAGAGACAGAGTCTTGCTCTGTCATCCAGGCTGGAGTGCTGTGGCATGATCATAGCTTACTGCAGCCTTAATCCTGGGTTCAAGCAATCCTCCTGCAACAGCCTCCTGAGTGCATGGCTAGGACTACAGGTGTGTGCCACCATGTCTGGGTAATTTTTTATTTTTGTAGAAACAGGGTCTCACTGTTTTGCCCAGGTTGGTCTTGAACTCGTGGGCTCAAGCCATCCTCCCACCTCAGCCTCCTGTGCTGTTGGGATTATAAGTGTGAGCCACCGTGGCCCGCTGTGGCCACTTAATTTTCTCTCAAATCTCTCATCTCAGCCACAGAGTCCATCTCATCTGTAAGCTGGCATTATAATGTTGATACCTTTATTTATTTTTATTTTTTTATTTTTTATGTTTTTTTGAGACAGAGTCTCGCTCTGTCGCCCAAGCTGGAGTGCAGTGGTGCCATCTCGGCTCACTGCAACCTCTGCCTCCTGGGTTCAAGCAATTCTCCTGCCTCAGTATCCCAAGTAGCTGGGATTACAGGCGCATGCCACCACAGTCAGCTAATTTTTGTATTTTTAGTAGAGACAGGGTTTCACCAGGTTGGCCAGGATGGTCTTGATCTCCTGACCTCGTGATCCGCCCGCCTCGGCCTCCCGAAGTGCTGGAATTACAGGCGTGAGCCACCGCACCCAGCATGTTGATACCTTTAACTCCTGATTTCCTCTTAGCAATTTTCCATCCTCTGACCTCCATCCTGGTCCTTGGCTGTAAAGTCCCACTGGCCCATGCTGTATTTGGAGTTGAGCCCAATCTCTCTCCCCGACTGCAAGACCCCGTTGCAGTGGTTCTTATACCTATCACGATGGTCCTGAATAAAGTCTTCCTTACCATGCTTGAATAAGTATAATTGAATACTTTTTAAAATACACACACAGAGGCCGGGTACGGCGGCTCATGCCTGTAATCCCAGCACTTTTGGAGGCCGAGGCAGGTGGATCACTTTAGGTCAGGAGTTTGAGACCAGCCTGGTCAACATGGTGAAACCCCAACTCTACTAAAAATATAAAAATGGCTGGGTGCGGCGGCTCACGCCTGTATCCCAGCACTTTGGGAGGCTGAGGTGGGCGGATCACCTGAGGTCGGGTGTTTGAGACCAGCCTGATGAATATGGAGAAACCCCAACTCTACTAAAAAAAAAAAAAAATACAAAATACAAAATTAGCTGGGCATGGTGGCACATGCCTGTAATCCCAGCTACTCGGGAGACTGAGGAAGGAGAATCACTTGAACCCGGGAGGCGGAGATTGCGGTGAACCGAGATCACGCCATTGCACTCCAGCCTGGGCAACAAGAGCAAAACTCCGTCTCTAAATAAATAAATAAATAAATTTAAAGAAATAAAAAAATTAGCTGGGCGTGGTGGCAGGCACCTGTAATCCCAGCTACTCAGGAGGCTGAGACAGGAGAACCGCTTAAACCCGGGAGGCGGAGGTTGCAGCGAGCAGAGATCACGCCATTGCACTCCAGCCTGGGCAACAGAGCGAGACTCTGTCTCAAAAACAAACAAACAAAAACAAACAAACAAAAAAAAAAACACGTGGGAGACACCCAAGGAAAAATGAGTAAAATGAGTAAAAATGAATTTGTTCAACTGAAACAAAGAAAGTGGGGTTGGGGTGGAGGGTGCGGTAATGGGGAGGTAACCAGGAAAAGGACAGTAAACAAGGGTAAGGTTTGTAATGCAGATTTAAGTTGATGTCTTCCCTATTGATAAGAATCTCTCATGATTTAGTCATCCTTCTTTTCTTGGTACTGAGGGAGAGACACCCTTGCAAATGAAGATTTTCTTTATAGATGTAAATTTCCCTTATAAAAGGGTAACTTCTACTCTGTATTCAGAGCTTCTCTTGCATCTGCAGTTTCTCAAAACAATCAGCTCAAAATAATCCTTATGCCAAAAAAGGCATACTTTTGAGTGGCATATTCTAGTCTTCTACAATCATATTTTGTGGTGGCATATTCTAGTCTTACACTGTCTTCTCAAGTGGCTGTATCATTATGCATTCCACAAGCAATGAATGAAAGTTTATGGTTTGTCATTGTTTTAGTTCAGCAGGTCTAATAAATAGCAGTTTCAACAAGTGTGCAGTGCTATCTCATTGTTCGTTTGTTTTTTTAGACCGAGTCGCACTCTTGTTTCCCAGGCTGGAGTGCAGTAGCGCGATCTCGGCTCACTGCAACCTCCACCTCCCGGGTTCAAGCGATTCTCCTGCCTCAGCCTCCCGAATAGCTGGGATTACATGCATGCGCCATCACACCCGAACAATTTTTGTATTTTTAGTAGAGACGGGGTTTCGACATGTTGGCCAGGCTGGTCTCGAACCCCTGACCTCAAGTGATCTGCCCACCTCGGCCTCCCAAAGTGTTAGGATTACAAGCGTGAGCCACTTGCGCCTGGCAGTGCTGTCTCGTTGTTGTAATTTGCAATTCGCTAATGATATGTGATATTGAGCATCTTTCTGTATGCTTATTTGCCATCTGCATACCTTATTTGGCGAGGTGTCTCTTTATATCTTACCCATTTTTAATTGGGTTGTCTTATTTTTTAGTTTTGAGAGTTCTTTGAGTATTTTGAATACAAATCCTTTCTCAGATATGTATTTTACAAATATTTTGTCCTGTCTGTGGCTTCTGTTTTCATTCTTTGAACATGGTCTATCACAGACATGTGTAACATTTTTAATGTTATAATATCCATATTATTAACTTTTGTGCGTGGATCAGCTCTTGGCATTGTATGTTAAATCTCATCACCAAACCCAAGGTCACGTAGATTTTCTTCTATGTTTTCTTCTAGAATTTTGATAGTTTTGCATTTTTAATTTGTCTACGGACTATTCTGAGTAAATTCTTGCATAAATTGTAAAATTTGTATCTATGTTCATTTCATTCCATATGGTTTCAAATGACTTGTTCCTTCAGCATTTTTGTTAAAGACCGGGATAGTGGGCTCCATTTTAGTTTGAATTTCCAAAATTACGGCACTGAATAATATGCACATTGAATTTTTTTTTTTTTTTAATTTGAGATGGAATCTCACTTTGTTGCCCAGGCTGGAGTGCAGTGGCACCATCTCGGCTCACTGCAACCTCCACCTGCTGGGTTCAAGCGATTCTCTTGCCTCAGCCTCCGGGGTAGCTGGGATTACAGGCGCGCACCACCACGGCCGGCTAATTTTGTATTTTTAGTAGAGACGGGATTGCACCATTTTGGCCAGGCTGGTCTCGAACTCCGTACCTCTGGTGATCCACCTGCCTCTGCCTCCCAAAGGGCTGGGATTACAGGCTGCACATTGAATTTAATTGATTCAGCAGGACAGCCAGGAGGGGGCGCACGGCTACCGCTACACAGTGAGCGCTGAGAATCTCGCACTGTCTCTGGTGGCCAGCAGGGGGCGCGCGAACCCGCCTTTTCTGACCCCATGAAGCGCCTTGTGTTCCGCTTATGGAGTTCAGCACCAAGCCCACTTCAAAGACAAGAGTTTCGTTTTCCTCAGCACAGACCTAAGGGGGCACCGTCTCACTTTAGGACAACTGGAGACAACGTCAATGGTGAATAAAAACCTTCCTGTTCGCAGCCGTGACTACTGAGGGGCAGTAAGTCTTCAGAGTACCCAGGAGAGGAAGGGCTTCAAGTGGAAAATTGGAAATAAAAAATCCTACTGTTTCCACCATACCTCAAGGTTCTTCTCCACAACCAAGGTGTAGTGGCCAGTAACATTATGTCCACACAGTGGCCTCTTAATACTAAAGTAACATTCAGACTCCTAGAAGAGCAATTGGTTTCACAGCTTTGGCTGATGTGGATTTGGGTCAGGCTTAGCCTCTATAACAAAGTTTGATATTGTTTCTGCTTTACTGAAATGATATTGACATGGTTGTTTTAAAAAAGTAGTTTACTTCCTAATAATTTCATACTTGTAGAAAACCTGCAATAGCAGTACAAAGTACTCTTTATCCTTTCTTTTAGATTCCCCAGTGGTTATTGCTGTATCAGATTCCCAATTTCACACAAAATACTCCAGTATATTTTACCCAAAGCAGGGACACTCTCCTAGGTAACCATCACATAATCCCCAAATCAGGAAGTACATGATTTCTACCTGACATTCCAATCTGCAGACCCATTTCACTTCACCACCTGCCTCAACTGGGAGAAAAAATGTCTTTTTCCATTCAGGTCCAGTTTTCTTTTTCTGGAACTGTTCCTGAGACTGTCCCTCAGTTTCACAACCTTGGTAGATCTAAAGAGCAGAGGTGACTCCAAACTAGATTTGCCCAGTGTTTCCTCCTGAGCAGACGCGGACCCTGCATTCCTGGCAGAAACACTCTGGCCTGATGCTATGGTCTCCTCAGTGCAGTCCACTGGGAGGAGCACAGATTCACCTGCCCACCATTGGTGAACTCAACTTGATAATGGCAAAATACTGATTCACAAACATACATCTCATTATGTCATTTTTTTTTTGATGGAGTTTCACTCTTGTTGCCCAGGCTGGAGTGCAATGGTGTGATCTTGGCTCACCGCAACCTCTGCCTCCTGGGTTCAAGTGAATCTCCTGCCTCAGCCTCCCGAGTAGCGGGGATTACAGACATGTGCCACCACACCTGGCTAATTTTTGTATTTTTAGTAGAGACGGGGTTTCTCCATGTTGGTCAGGCTGGTCTAGAACTCACGACCTCAGGTGGTCCACCTGCCTTGGCCTCCCAAAGTGCTGGAATTATAGGCATGAGCCACGGTGCCCAGCCCATGTCACTCTTCTGGTTTAACTTTGGCAATGGTTTCCCACTGGCCACAGGGCTTGAAAAATACATTCAGCTCTCCATATTAGCAGATTCCACATCCATAACCAAACAAGGATCAAAAACATAGTATTTGTGGGATGTGAAACCCACATATATGGAGGGCCAACTTTTTGTATCCACGGATTTCACAGGGCTCACTGCAGGACTTGAGTGCGTGTGGATTTTGGTATTGGTAGGAGTCCAGGAACCAATCCCCCATGGATACTGAGGGATGACTGTAGTTTCATATTACTATTATTTTGTTAAGGTTTACTACATCTATGTTTAGAAGGGATATTGTTCTGTAGTTTTCTGTCCTTGTGATGTCATCCCTTTGTTTGATATGTTTGTTTTGATCTGGGGTTGGGGTTGGATATAGTATTTAGGCTGTTTAGGATTAGAGGGTTAGGATTTAGATTTTAGGGGTTAAGGTATAAACAGGTTTGAGGTTTAGAGTTAGGGTTAGGTGTAGGGTTGAGGCTGGGGCTAGGGCTAGGGTCAGGGTTTAGGGGTTAAGGGGATAAGGCTAAAGGCCAGGTGCAGTGGCTCAGGTCTGTAATCCTGGCACTTTGGGAAGCTGAGATGGGTGGATTGCTTCAGTCCAGGAGTTCAAGACCAGCCTGGGCAACATGGCGAAACACTATCTGTACCAAAAAAAATTACTTTTAATGCAAAATCTGCAATTACTTCTGCACCGACCTAAATACAAAAAATTAGCTGGGGCCACGTGCAATGGCTCACACCTGTAATCCCAGCACTTTGGGAGACCAAGGAATTTGAGAATCTTGAGGCCAGGATTTTGAGACTAGCCTTGCCAACATGGTGAAACCCCGTGTCTACTAAAAATACAAAAATTAGCCAAGAGTGCTGGTGCACGCCTGTAACCCCAGTGACTTGGGAGGCTGAGGCATGAGAATTGCTTGAACCCAGGAGGCGAAGGTTGCAGGAGCCGAGATCGTGCCACTGCACTCCAGCCTGGGTGACAGAGTGAGACTCTGTCTCAAAATAAATAAAATAAAATAAAATAAAATAAAAATTAGCCATGCATGGTGGTGTGGACCTGTAGTCTCAGCTCCTTGGGGGGCTGAGGCAGGAGGATCACTTGAACCTGGGAGGTTGAGGCTGCAGTGAGCCAAGATCACGACACTGCACTCCAGCCTTGGTGACAAAGTGAGACCTTGTCTAAGGAGAAAAAAAAAAAAAAAGCTAGGTTTAGGGTTTTGGCTACAGCTACAGCTAGGGTTAGGATTGTTTCACTATTGCCTTCCCTTCTCTCACCGTTACCTTGTGGGTTAACTAGCATTCCCCCTAGGCTAACACCTTGCCTCTCTACTACATTTCCACCTGGTCCTATCCTTCTCTGGTCCTTCCACTCTTGTCTGGATTGTGGATCACCAAGTATTTACATGTATTTCAGAGGCTGCTCTGTGGAGCTGAAAGTCTCAGGGAGGAGAAAAGTGCACAAATTTGCACTCACCCCAGCTTACTCCTGTCATGCAGATATCTTTGCCTGTCTCCACTGTCACCTGCTCTGATAGTTGAGTCCACATCCACAGGGCCTATTTCTCCATCTGCAAGAGGAAGTGATCTCTAAGGCCTTTCTGGTGTAACCCCACCAGTGAGCTCTCCCAGGTGCACCCTCACCATTCTGCTCTCCTCCACCTACCCCCACAGTGTTGTACAGCCTCTGAGTCCCAGGACCTTGGCTGGGCAGGAAGCAGCAGGATCATGACCAGATACTGCCAGTCAAGGCCAGTCATGGCAGGTCAAATCTGGTAACAACAACAACAACAAAAAAAAGTGAAGACCCATCAAGGTCAGTCTAAGCCAGCCAAGGCCTGTCAAGACTGGTCAACGTCAGTCAAAAGTGGTCAAGACCAGTCAAAACTAGTCAAAGCTGGCCATGGCTGGTCTAATCTGGTAAAAGCCAGTCAACTCCAGTCAAGGCTAGTCATGACTAGTTAAGACCAGTTGAGGTTTGTGAAAGCTAGTCACAACTGGTTATTGTCAGTCACAGCTGGTGAAGTCTGATTATGGCTGGTCAAGGCCAGTCAAAGCTGGTCATGGCTGGTCAAGACAGGCCAAATCCAGCATGGTTGATCAAAGCCAGTCATGGCTGGCCAAGGCTGGTCATGGCTGGTCAAGATAGGCCAAAGCCAGTCACAGTTGGTCAAGGCCAGTCATAGCCAACCAAAGCTGGTCACAGGTAGCAAAGGCCAATCACAGTTGTTTAAGACCAGCCACGGCTGGTTAAAACTGGTCCAGGCCAGTCAAAGCCAGTCACAGCCAGTAAATACAGGACAAAGCTGGACACAGCTGGTCTAAGCCGATCAAAATCAGCCAATTCTGGCCAAAGCCAGTCATGACCAGTCAAAGCCAGTCACATGTGGTCAAGACCAGTCATGGCTGGTAAAAACTGGTCAATTCTAGTCAAAGCCAGTTATGGCTCATGAAGGCCAGTCACGACCAGTCAAAGCTGGTCATGGCCAGTGTAAGCCAGTCAAAATTGGTTAAGCTCTGTTATGACTGGTCACAGCTGGTCACAGCTGGTCTAAGCTGATCAAAACCAGTCAATTGTAATCAAAGCTGGTCACAGCCAGTCATGGCCAATCAAGACAAGCCATGGCTGGTTAAAAACTGTTCAGGCTGGTAAAAGCCAGTCACAGTAGTCACGACTGGCAGAGACCAGCCAAAGCTGGTCATGGCTGGTCTAAGCCAGTCAAAACTGGTTAAGGCCAGTTACAACTGGTTAAGGCTGGTCACAGCTGGTTAAAACTGGTCCAGGGCATCAAAGCCAGTCAAAGCCAGTGAAGACTGATCAAATCTAGCCACAGCTGGTCAAGACAAGCCAAAGCTAGTCATGGCTGGTCAAGGATGGTCACAGTAGGTCCAAGCCAGTTACAGCTGGTCAGGGCCAGTCAAGACCAGTTAAGGCCAGTCAGAGCTGGTCACAGTCAGTCTGCCAGTTGTGGATGATCAAGACCAGTCAAAGTCAGTCATGAATTGTCAAGATCAGTAATGGCCAGACATAGCCTGTCATGACTTATTACTGGTGGAGTTGGAGTCAGGGTTGTGATTAGAGTCTGGTTTAGGGTTTAGCATTAGGATTAGAGCTGGGGTTGGTGTTGGGGTTAGGCTTAGGGTTAAGAATAGGGTTAGGACTAGGGCTAGATCTAGGGCTAAGGTTAGGATTAGGGAGGGAAACCTTCTGTCTCATGGTATGATCTGGCATAGATTATATGGTATTAAAATAGACTGCTTCTTGGAAATGTACAAAAAAATCACCAATAAATAGTTTGATCCCAAATAAATAAAGGAAAAATGTATAAAGATAGCTTTTCTCTTTTCTTTCAGTTTGTTTTTCTACAAAATTGATGGATATATCATGGATTGCCCTAATTGTCCAAGAATATAGAGAAAATAAAAACCTAACAAACTAAACACAATGCCCATTGCATTATTTATTCATCAAACATTGATTGAATACCTGCAGTGGGTGAATTGATTTGCTGAGTGTTGGCGTTTGTATAACAGATAAAAACAAAAGGTTTTCTTTTCCTCTTATACTACACACACTAAACACATAACACTTCTGGCCACCAATTCTGAGGGTTTTCCCACATTGACAAATTTTCTGATTCTCTGCAGACACCAGCTGGATCCATTCCATCCCATCCCATCCCATCCCATCCCATTCCACATTCTGCATTCCTCATAGACCCCACAGGTTAAGGGCACAGTCTCGTAAGAATCCTCCTCTCTTCAGATGCCAATTACAAGTCCCAGGTTGTAACTTGTACTTCTGACTGACCAGCTTGAAATTGGGTTTCCTATGACCTCCGACTTGGGTTGGATAATTTGCTAGGAGAGCTCACAGAACTCACAGAAACACTTGCTTACATTTACTGGTTTATTATGTAACTAAGGATATAAAACAAGATACAGATGAATAGCCAATGAAGAAATATACAGGGTGAGGTCTGGAAGGGTCCTGAGTGTAGAGCTTCTGTCCTTGTGAATTTGTGATATGCTACCTCCTGGCATGTAGATGCCTCAAAGCTTTCTGAACTCTTCAGAAGCTTTGTGAACCTAGGAGCTTTCTGAATGCTATGGTTTAGGGACTTAAAAGCTTCATCACATAGGCATGAAGTTTTCTGAATGCCAACCTAGAAAGCTTTCCAAACACCATAGTTTAGGGACTTATATGGAAGCTTCATCACATAGGCATGATCTATTATTACCTCAGTTTCCAGCCCCTCTCTCCTTCCCAAAGGATAGGAAATAGAGCTGAAAGTTCCAAGCTTTTTATCACAGCTTGGTCTTTCTGGTGACCAGTCCCCATGCAGGAGCCCACCAAAAGTTGCCTCATCAAAACAAAAGACATTCTTATTACTCAGAAAATTCCAAGAATTAGGAGCTCTGTGTCAGAAGCCAGGGTCAAAAAACACATTTTTTTTTTTTTTTGAGATGGAGTCTCGCTCTGCCACCAGGCTGGAGTGCAGTGGCGCAATCCTGGCTCACTGCAACCTCTGCCTCCCGGGTTCAAGCGATTCTCCTGCCTCAGCCTCCTGAATAGCTGGGACTACAGGCACACACCACCACGCCCAGCTAGTTTTTGTATTTTTAGTAGAGACGGGGTTTCACCATGTTGGCCAGGATGGTCTCGATCTCTTGACCTCGTGATCTGCCTGCCTTGGTCTCCCAAAGAGCTGGGATTATAGGCGTGAGCCACTGCACCTGGCCACAAAATGTTCTTTGTTCCTAACACTCCTATTGCTCAGGGAATTAGAAGAATTTTAGGAGCTCTGTGCCAGCAACTGGGACAGGAGACAAAACATATATTCCTTATTATATCATCATATCACGAAGATATAAGGGTATATATCACCAAAAAGAAAGGTAGAAAATTATGAACCTGAAATTACTAATAATTGGTTAAAGGGGACAAAGGAGATAGTGTAGGAAGAAGCTGGTTCACAAAAACCCAATGTACAAGTTAATTATACATAAATTTAGTATGTATTTGTGTTAGTGTGTATATGCATAGAAGAAGAGATGTATTAAAGGATTGTCACTTTATTTCTGTCACTATATTGCTGCCATAACATATAACCATAAATGTAGCATCTTAAAACTCATTATCTCACAGTTTTCATGGTCAGAAGTCCAGGAATATCATGGCTTAACTGGGTTCTCTGCTCAGGGTCTCACAAAGATGAGATCAAAATGTAGTCTGGGATGCAATTCCTTTCTGCAGGCTCTGGGGAAGAATCTGCTTCCAAGCTCCCTCAGGTTGTTGGCAGAATTTAATTTCTTGGCCAGGTGCGGTGGCTCACGCCTGTAATCCCAGCACTTTGGGAGGCCGAGGCAGTCGGATCACCTGAGGTGGGGAGTTCGAGACCAGCCTAACCAACATGGAGAGACCAGCCTAACCAACATGGAGAAACCCCATCTCTACTAAAAATACAAAATTAGCCAGGCATGGTGGTGCATGCCTGTAATCCCAGCTATTCGGGAGGCTGAGGCAGAAGAATCACTTGAACCCGGGAGGCAGAGGTTGCGGTGAGCCGAGATCACGCCATCGCACTCCAGCCTGGGCAACAAGAGTGAAACTCCGTCTCAAAAAAAAAAAAAAAAAAGAATTTAATTTCTTGTTGTTGTAGGACTGAGGTTTCCATTTCTCACCAGCTGTCAGCTAGGGCATTTCTCCTAAGAACTTCAGACTGCATGTATTTCTTTTCACATGGCACCCACATCTTCAAACCAGCAATGACATGTCAAGTCCTCACACTTCAAATCTTGCTTTTTTTCCTTTAGCGATGAGGGTCTCGGTATATTGCCCAGGCTGGTCTCCTGGGCTCAAGTGATGCTCCTGCCTCGGCCTCCCAAAGTGCTGAGATTACTAGGCCTGAGCCACCACACTCACCCTAAATCTGAGTTTCTTTTCTGTTCCTATTCTCTGCTTTTAAGTGCTCATGTGATCACATCAGGTCCACATTTATAATCCAGAATAATTGTCTGTCTTAAGATCAACTGGTTAGTAACTTTAATCACATCTGCATAGTCCTTTTTGCCATGTAATGGAACATATTCATGGGAGTAACCCCAGCGAGTGAAGATCATGGGGGCCAAAATTCTTCCTACCATAGTCAGCAGAAAATTAATTGCAGTCACCTCAAGGTAAAAAAATTTCAAATGTTCTCTATTTTTATCCACATACATTCCTAAGTTGTTTGAATTTTAGAAATGATTTACATGCACTAATTATAATCAGGAAAATAGCTATTTATTCTATAGGGAAATAAAGCTCACTGGCATAACAGCCCTGGCTCTTCATTATTGATTAGTGTTGGTGGTGGGAGGGGAAGTTCTGCAGCCCCCCAGTGCCTTCACATCTAGAGGATATATTATCCTATCCTGTCACTTTTTTGCTTAAGACTATCCAACTGCTCCCCTTGCTTTCACAATCTGGGAACGATAAGATCCATTTTTGGGAACTGAATCCTAGGTGGGGATCTGTGTGTCACTCCATGCCAGTTGCCCAAGACGGTATGCTGAGCCTTTGCAGCAGGTTGCAGGACTTGAATTTTTCAAGCCGCTTCCAGGAGAAGATCGCTTCCAGTAGAGTCCTTTGGATACAAGCAGCCCCAGAAAAGCTCTGATTTTCCACAGTCATTTGGGAGACAGCAGGAGGACTAGCTCCCAGGTATCATGTGCCAGGTTAACAGGCTAGTAAACTTCATCTCTTGGCCACTCTCAGACCCAACTAGAGGAAGAGAAGAGCAAACCCACCAGTCTGCTGGCCTTTTCTGGGCTAAGGGTTACTGTTTCTGGGAATCCAGTCTTCTAGGTCAAAATGATTCCTGCTTTCCTTATAAGAGATCAGCACAAATCAGGTTTGTGAGGGATGAAATGAGTCCTTTATGTCCTTTTCAATGACTGGTAAGGTGACTGACTTGAATATTCTCTGTGAAGGAAGTGGTGAGTCTGTGTGCTATCAGGAGCTTCCTAGGGTTGATAGAGTAGATGGTCCCTTCAAGTTCAGAATGTGCATGGATGAGCAGAGCAGCCTGGGCTATGCCTGGCCAAAGCTGAGCAGAGGTCCCACAGAGCAGAGGCCTCTGTTTGGGGGCAGGAAGGGTCTGTTTGGGGCAGACTTAGCAGAGATACTATGAATGTTCCTAATATGGGAGCAACCTACTATGGGTGTTTTCTTAGGTGCAGGGTAGAATATAACTTCATATAAGGAAGATGAAAAAAAAATATGTTTCTATGTGTCTATACTTACACATCTAAATATCTATCTCTGAAGGGAGCATGGGCTGGAGTGTTCATGGCAGTCACCTCTTGCAGGGGTATGAATGGTCAGGAGAGTATGAGGGAAATACTCCTGATTTTTACCATCTGAAATTTTTAACAAGCGCTTGTATTATGGGAGAGAGTGACCATGACATTAATATCAAGGCCTAGCAGCCTGTCCCTCAGTTTTGTCTCTTCCCTGGTCTGTGGCCATGACCAAAGGCTTAGCAGTCTCCCAGTCTGTGGCAGTCCTCTCAGTCCTAGGCTCAGCAGCTTCCGTTGTTCTAAACATACAGTTTGCTCCATCCTATGGGAAACAGAAAAGGGCCTGAGGGGGTCATGAGGCTCTTTTCCACCTGACATTGAGCCTTAGCTGGATTCCACAGGTGTTTAGGGCCACTGGGCATTTGAGTTTACCTAGCAGTCTTCTCCAAAATCCCTGGCTTTTTTTCCTCATATAATCTGGGAATTATGAGAAATGAGTGTGATACAGCCAAGAAGGGAAAAAGTATTTAATACCGTGATTGTGAAATATGAGACCTGAGGTGAATGGGAATGTCAGTAGAACAGAGCATATGAAATTGAGGCTCTTGGTGGAAATGAGGAGGTTGCAATTGAGTGTATGTTTCCTAGAACCTCAGTCCCTCCCTCTCCACACTTTCCAGCTGCTAAAACACTGAGTATATTCCTTCTCTGTTCTTAAATTAACCCCATGGTTATAGTAGTCTCTTTCTTAGATCATTTTACATTCATTCCAGCCTTGTCAAGACAATGATCCAGACATAAGTACAGTTCTATTGCACAAATGATGCAGATTCATATGGAAAATTAGATTCACATCTCCTTCCACCCCCACATCCATAGTCCCTGCTCATTTCTGTATTAAACCACTCTAGTCAGAGCAACCCACTATGTAAATTCATTTTGCATTCAACTCAGCACCGCCCAGAAAGCTAATCAGAAGGAAAAAGTACAGCCCTAGGGCATAGGATCACAGAATAAGAGAAACAAGTATGTTCTTAAGCTCTTCCACCCACAACCTGTATACTGCCAGATCAGCCAGGCCACACCCACCCAGTCTCAAGCACACATCCTTCTTTAAAGGTGCAATAAAATATGTCGAGCCAAAATAACCAATTATTTAAGCATTTACTTCCAATATATAAAAAAGGAAACTGCAGAGCTGTTGATCAGCTAGGCACAGATGGCTTTATTCCCCTTAAAGTTTCTCTGTTTTACCACTGCCCCTGTCTCAAAATTTGAAGTTTTCGAGAGGGCTATATCCCAAAGAAAAGGGTGAGCTGGGCCCTAGGGAGTCTTGGGTGTGCTCCCAGCTTTAGCAAGAAGGAGAGGTAGGTTGACAGTGAGGCTGAGGATAATGCTCTCACCTCAAGTGCATGGTGAAATGTCAGTAAGCTCTGGAACAGTGGTCACTCAAGACACACAAGGATGAAACATGGGTAAAGGCTCACCTAACAGAACTCCCTGAAATGGTAAATTCTCCATGGAGCTCGCTACACCAACCAAGAGCTTAGGGTGATTAGGTGAGATTGCTTCATCCCACAAACAACAGAACATAAACTCCTTCTATTGATCCTTCATTGGGAGTGTCTAGGAAATTAGACTTACTACATGGGAAGCAGCAATGATATCACCAAGGTCATGTAGGTCATGTTTCCAGGAAAATGTAAAGAGAAGGTAGTTCCAGAAAGGAATCCCTGGCAACCACCAGTTGAGCTTCTTACTATGCAGGTTATAGAGTAGTGAGCAGACCAGGCTTTTCTTTTTTCTTTTTCTTTTTTGGGATGGAGTCTTGCTTTGTTGCCCAGGCTGGAGTGCAGTGGCGCAATCTTGGCTCACCTCCTGGGTTCAAGCGATTCTTCTGCCTTAGCCTAGTGAGTAGCTGGGATTACAGGAACAAGCCATCATGCCCGGCTAATTTGTGTATTTTTAGTAGAGACAGGGTTTCACCATGTTGGCCAGACTGGTCTCGAACTCCTGACATCAATTGATCTGCCTGCCTTGGCCTCCCAAAGTGCTGGGATTACAGGCATGAGCCACCACGCCCAGCCAAGGCTTTTCTATAATGTGCCTTTGCCACCCTTAGACTGCATAAAGGACCTTGATCAAAAGTTGATGCATTGCTGGTTTGTGGTCATGCCTGTGTTCCTGTTTCTCTGACCTCATCTCCATCTTTCTTTCTCTGGCTTTTCTTTTTGCTGGGCCTCCCAGCTTTGTCTGGAAGTTTCAGACTCAACATCATGTTTCCATTTGCTGAACAGAATAGGAACAACAACAAAACCCCAAAGTAAAGCAATGATATTGGGAATTCTTCCAATTCATTGTATCGGTGTAAAGCCTATATTGTTTTTCAAACATTTAGCAGCCTCTGATGGTTTGTAGAAGAAAATATATAAGAAACAAACATATTATAAGGATATTAACCAAAAACTGTGAAGAAATCAGTTGGATAGAAAAAGGTAAATAAGGTATGTTGGTTTGAAGCTCCTGTGCTTTGTCAACATATTAAAAGTGTTTCTGGATTTCATCGGTTACAACTATTTACTGAACTACCGAAAGGAACTAGCTTTGCATGGAACTTGACTTTCCCTGAAACAGCTCCTCCTGTTTTCTAGGCCCAGCCATTTGTGGATGACAGGTGAGTCTTCATCTTGGAGGGACCAGGCTTGGATGCTTGAAGCTATTCAGCCTGAAGGAAAGGCTTAGGCTAGAACTTATTGGGATCTGGAGAGTTAGAGACTACCAAAAATGTGGTACTGAGGGGTAGGGGCTGCTAGAAAACACCAAACTCCCCTGTGGATATGAGGAGTCTCTCAACTGGGATCAGGCAAGTTGAGGTGGAGGGTAAAGGCCACAGTTGGGAGGCACATACAGAACAAGTCCACCTCACTGAGGTGTGTGGGCAGGGGTTTATTTATTTATTTATTTTTTGAGATGGAGTTTCGCTCTTGTTGCCCAGGCTAGAGTGCAATGGTGTGATCTCGGCTCACCACAACCTCCACCTCCCAGGTTCAAGCGATTCTCCTGCCTCAGCTTCCTGAGTAGCTTGAATTACAGGCATGTGCCACCACGCCCGGCTAATTTATTTTTTGTATTTTTAGTAGAGATGGGGTTTCTCCTTGTTGGTCAGGCTGGTCTCGAACTCTCGACCTCAGGTGATCTGCCTGCCTCGGCCTCCCAAAGTGCTGGGATTTCAGGCGTGAGCCACCACGCCCAGCTGTGGGCAGGGGTTTAGACATGTTCTTCCCTTTTCTTTTCCCAGGAGCTCCCAGCTCCTAGCTTGGGAGCTCCTTTACCCTTTTGCATAATATTTGCTGCTCTTTGCCATTTCCTCTCTGTAGCCTGATGCAGGGCTGGAAGTCTGGAAGAGAGGAAGCCCTGGACTAGCTGTGTTGACCTCTTAGACATGCAAATCCTTTCTCACGAAAGCAGAGCCTCCCATGAGCTGCTCCTCACCCTCCCGTCCCCAAATAACCAGCCCAAAGAATTCTTCCTTTTGTGGCCTGTGGGCATCAAGCAAAGCCCTGGAAATTAGCCCTCAGTGATGATAATTTTATTGAATCATGAGAGAAGGACTGAGGGAGTGGAGCACACGCAAGCTTATTTTGGAGTTTTTCCTCCATGTTAAGGGGGAGAGGAACCTAGAAGACAATGACCCATACTCCCAGAGAAAGGCAGACTTTCTCTTCCACATGCCCTCCTTGGGGAAGTCCAGGGGGTGCACAAGGACTGTGGCTCGGCTTCTGCTGCCCTCCATGCCTCCATCTTGGGGCTGTAGTGCCACTCCCAAATAGTGCCTTCATTGGGGGATAGAGTGGACAAGGGAGGAGCAGGTGCTGACTCCAGGAGCAGCAAGCAGGCTTTCTGAAGTCAGGGAAAATGAGAGATTTGCTCACTTCCCTACTTTCTGTGAAGTGGGGTGGAAAGGGCCTTGCAGAAGCGTTCAAAACCCACATTCAGTTCCCCCCGGTCCTCAATTCCCCCAACTATAACCCGGCTTAAGAGCAGTTGCCTCCCACGGTTGGGGGGAGGGCCAATTGTGATGAGGGATATAGGAGCAACTGTGAACTGTAATTCGTCCACGCACAGGTGTTTGGAGATTTCTCAAGGCTTTGTTTTGTTTTGTTTTGTTTTGTTTTTTGCGGGGTCGAGGGGTGGTCTATGTCCAGATATGCTGCGGGGAAGGATGAAAGGAGTGTGGGAGGAGGTGGCAAATGCGGCAGGGAGCTGGAAGACCCCAGACTGACAGGAGGAAACTCTGCCTTTGCAAGGCCTTAAGGCAGAAGGATCTGCGAGGCTGCCCGCCTCCCAGGAGACTCCACCTTAAGGGACGGAGGGTGTATGTGAAAGTTGGGGGGAGAAGTGAAGGTAGTTGTCCTCTCCTTCACCCCCCACTAGGCAAGCGCAGAAGGAAGCAGGTCGGTGGAGACTAGGGTAGAGGAGTGTAGGAGAGGAGCAAACTGAGGAGGGCGGCTCTTCGAGTCAATCTGGTCCTTCTCACCACTCTTGAGGCTCCGTCCAGGCTTGGAGGAGGGTTCTCAAGCCTAGGAAATCCCGCGTGCTCCCCTGTGTGATCGGGAACTGTGAGATGGGGGAGTAGGCCTGAGCTGGGAGCTCCCACCAGCATGGTTGATTCCCCGGAGTTCTGAAAGAGTTTTTATGGAGACTGGGGGAAGGGGCGCTTGAAGGGTGGGCCAAGTCTTTGGCAGAAAGCAGCCCCACTGGGCTGACCCACTGTGTGGAGGAGGAGGCCCCGTAGGGCCCTCCCGGGTTGGAGGTTGCAGAGGAGGGCGGAGGAGGATTGCTGCCCCGGGCGGGAGCGCTTCCTGGCGGCCGAACCCGCCCTCAGTCTCCGCATCCTGGCGGGCCTCGAGTCTGGGCTCCTGTAGGTCTTTCGCTAGCAGCCGCCTGATCCCGCTCTTGGGACGCTAGGGACGAGGCCGGTCGGGAGAGAATAGGGGGCCGCCGATTGTAAAAGATCCTCGACAGGCCCAGCCCGGATCACCTCGAGGGCTCCGGACCGAGCGCTGGGGGTGGGGCGCCGTCGCCGCTACGGCCCCTGGTGTCGGTGGAGCGAGCAGGGAGGTAGAGGGCGGGGGATCGAGGAGGAGCTGAGCTCGGACACGCAGCAGCTGCTGTCTATCCGTCTGGCTTGCTGGCAGTTGGCAGGGCCCGAGGCTAGGTCTTCCCGCCCCCTTTCCCTAGGCGGGAAGGGCGGTTGTCATGGGTGGGCGGATTCCCGTCTGAATAGCAGGGGAAGATGCATTTCCGTGGCGCGGCTCCCGGGTTATTACCCCTCCCAAATGGGGAAATGGATGGAGACCCGCGGCGGGGGAGGAGCCAACCCCACTCTCCGCGTCCCCGCCCAAGGTGGCCGGAGGCCAGCGGCAGGACCAGGAGCGACCGCCAGGGCCAAATCCACCCCCAGGCAGTCCCAGAGTGTGGAGTGGGCATGGGGACCTGGCGGGAAATAGTGTCGATTAGCACCCCCAGGCCCGGATGCCAGGGCCCAGTCGTGGCGAGGTCAGTGAAGGGTGGGTGTGTGGTGGGAAAGGAGAGTAGAAGTGCAACCTTCTTTTCCCCTCCCCTGGCATTCCAGTGTATTAACATTTGGCAGGTGGGCTCGGCGCGGTCTCTGCGGTGACGAGAGTTGGGGAAAGATGCTCCCAAGTGTAGTCCCCGGTCTCCGCGGGGGGGCCACAGGCTCTGGCAGGAGTGAGGGAACGAGGAGGCCCACGACAGGTGCTGTCTGTCCGCTGCTCTGACAGGCCCGGGCGGGAATGCGGCCCGGCCCAGTACTGCTCTCCCCACCCACTCAGCTGGACGCGGACTCTGACACTTGTTAGTGTGAGCAATCGACTAATTTTATCCGGCTGGGGCTCAGCAGGAAACCAATGCCGAGGCGCGGGTAGTTCTTCCGGGCGACTCTCGCCCCCGGGAGGATAGTCGTGGGGAGAGGAAGAGGGGTTGGGGGTGGGATTCCTGCCGCCTCCATTTCACTGGGGGCGTGGTGGCTCCTGATCTGCCTCAGAGAGGACCGAATTTTGGCGCTAAGGTCGGTACTCTCTGGGTACTGGCGCCCAGAGAAGAAAAGGGTATCTTGGAAGTTAGGTAGTACAAACTCTTTGTGTTCTTCTGGTTTTTTTCTACTTATGTTCCTTTCATTCCTGAAGTTCCCGGATTCTAGCAGAGTGTCTGACACGCAGCAGGTCTCTAGAAAAGACTGCTTAAATGACTTGAAAACCAGGCATAGAACTTTGCGCTTGGTGACCGCTAGAGAGAGCTGAAAGGCAGGAATCAAAGGGGCTTTGAAGCATAGCCTCCTGAACCCCTGCAGGATTTGGGTATCTAATCCCTTTCCTTGTGCCTCTGCAGTCTCTGCTGCATTTCAGCTTATTAGAATTTCTGAACTTGCTTCAAGGGCTCTTATTCTACCCGTCACCCACACTATCTAGGCGCCAGCTATGAGACACTAGGGATTTGTAATCCTTGTCAGCTGGCCTGCACTGCTACTGTGGAGAAGTGGCAGGGAGCTGCTGGCCGCCTTTTCAGACGTGAAAAGACCCTAGAGGAGAGCATATGCTCGTAAAAATTATGGGATTCCACAGCTTTGAAATCTAATAATCCTGGGTGATCAAACACAGACTGGACCCTTGGGGCTGCTGGGGAAGGGGCTAGGGGAGCGGGGCAGACCTTAGGTGGGAGAGCCTGGGGCCCTGCAATGGGACAGAGTAATTAGCCTCAGTGGGAGGAGATGAGGAAGCCAGCCTGAGGGTGTCTACACTGAGTCTGAGGAGAAACAATAGCCAAGAGCTGGGTGGTAAACCACCTTCTTCCAACCGGAAACCAGTCACTTCTCTTTGCCCCTGCCCTGCCCAGTATGTGGCCATTTGGAGATGGATTTTTTTTGTACCTCTTGAGTTGCTGGGGGTGGAGGGACAGTAGGTGAAACCAGGTCTCCAAGCCAAGATTGCATGGTCTGGAGTGACTGGGAGACAGAATACCAAAAGTATGTGTCAGTTGCGGGTGAGAGTAATCATGAAGACATGGGGTATGCTAAAAGTTAAACTTTGCTAAACTTTCATTTTTGCTCAGAGCTGGTCCTGCTGACACACTTATGGAAATGGGTTTGGTACACAGTTGTTGAATGAAGTGGGCAAGTCATTTATCCCTCCTAGGGCCAGTTTCTTCATCTGTAAAACCAGGGGTGTAAACTGTACTGGAAGTCAATGACATGAGTTCAAGTCTCATCTTGCTCTGTCACTGATGAACTGTGTGAACCTACTGCAGTCTCTTCCTACCTCTAGGCCTCAGTCTCTCCACTTAAATTCAATGCACAGGATGGACAAGGGAGACTCTAAGGTTACTCTCAGCTTTGTCATTCTTATAGGTCTGTCTCCTGCATCATCCTTAATTCCAGGCTCTGTCACTGCCAGGCTGTGTCAGCCAGCCATATAAGTCCCTTTAGGTTCCCCATCAATAACATAAGGGAGAGGGAAGGAGAGCTGAATTGGATTATTATTAATGCCAGTTTTCAATATGGCACATTTGTAGCAAGGCTGTGGCCTTGGTGGGGCCTCCATTCCAACTCAGCAAGTAACCACATTCTCATTTTGTGAAGTAACCACTTTTCCACTTCAGAGCTTGTTTAAAAATCCAATCTCAAATAGTCAACCAACTCCAAACCCCTATATAGCTCTTTTTCTAATGTCTGCTCTCACAGAGAGCATAGAACCTGGCAGAAATTTGATTTGAAAGGAGACTTCAGCTCTGAAGTCAAACTTTCTGCTATTAATCAGGTTAAGACTATTTCTTCCTTGTAGGCAACATACATACCCAAACCAAATTTTTAGATCTGTTTATTTTGTTCCAAACTCCTTGAGGATTTAAATGTCCCATGTCTTGAGCTCTGAAATTTTGTTCGTTCTAGATTTAACTGTGGTGCATAAGAGGCTGCATCCTACTCTAAATATTAATACTGTGCTGCTTTTGCCAATCAACATTCTCTCCAAAAGCACACAAGCTCACATGTGCACAACCACATGTGTGGAAGAAGTAAATTGATATCCCACCATATTATGTGACATCTGAATGGGCAGATTTGGGACCTATGAATGTCTTCCCTTCATCTGGAGAGAAGTGGGCGACTGCCTGATTCTTAAGAGCCATCTGCATCTTAAGCAACAAAAGAGGTCCTACAGAACCACCCTCTGGTGACTTGGTGAGAGTGAGGTGGGGAGAAATGGAAGCAGGGGCATTGTTGCTCCAGTATTTTCAGTGGTCTCTCCTGGGAGTTACAGGGCTCCTAGGGCCCAGATTCTCCTGTTCCACTACTGTTAGAACTGACAGGATAGTAACTAGGCCCTTTCTAGGGCCCCTTCCTACCCACAGAGCTAAGAACCAGTGGGTTTTCCTTTGGGGAGTTGATAAGAGCTGGACTGGGACCAGCGGAGGGGGCTCAGGACTTTGGCCTTGAATGAAATCATTGGAGGCCAACCATGCCCCAGCTGCCTGTTTGTAACGGAAAATCATGAGTGGGAACTATTGTCTTCTTTGGAGCCCCTCAGGACAACCTCATCCTCCTGGCCCGGGGATGACCCTGCCTTAAGGTGGCAAGTTACTGTTGGCTCCAAGTGACAGCCAGGAATGCCTGGCAAAAAGATGATGAAAGGGTGGGTGACAGGAACACAATAGACAAAGGCTCAGAGAGGAGAAAAAGAGACACAAAGAGGCAGAGTGAGGAGAGAGGCTGAGCTCCTAATGAGGTGAGCTGTGCTAACTGAACACAGCCTGGCAGTGCCCTCTGCCCCTAGCCAGGGGCACTGGGAATGTTCTTCAGTAAGACTGTTGCCAGAGCCTGGGCATAAGGAGGCATCAGTCACCTACTTCAGAGGGATCAAAGTGGTTCAGAGTCTACCTTTCATGGCACCTTTAATGCCCTCTAAGCAAAGTGGCCTAGGATGCCCAGCATGGGAGACACATTGGGTGGTAAAGGCTGGGATGGCTTCCCCTTCCCAAAAGAAATTTTCCAACCCTATGTGCAACTGCTGCCTGTACCTTTTTGGGATCCAGGCTAGGAATTGATTTTTTTTTTCTTAAATAGTCTCTTTCCTGGCCTGGCCCAGGTAGAAATATAGACCTGTCATGAAAACTGAGAGATGGGGCTCACCATATCAATAACTACTGCCCCTCCTCCCGCCATGGCAGCTCGTGTCATCAGTCCTCCTCTACCTGCTGAGATGAAAGGAGTTTCTTCACATTTTGCCATGTGTATACAAGAATGGGGTGCTGGGAGGGCCTTGAGGTTAATGCCTTGGACTGTAAGATTTGTAAAAATCAGTGACTGGAACATGGAACACTGTGGTGTTTAAGGTTTCTTCCCTATATGATATTCTACTCTTCCAGTCTAGGATTATATAGCTTGAGCGAAAAAGTGAGATGTGGCTCAGCCTGAGATGAGTGGGACTGATGCTAGTGTTAGGAGTGGACTGGGACAAGGTGAGGCTGATTGGCCCAAGTTCCGGGTCCCTCCTTTCTTCAAGCACCCATGTGTCTATGACAGTCATACAAAGAAATAGAGGGGAAAGAGTATGGAGAGAAGTCAGTAGAGGAAAAAAAGAAGGAAGGGAAGAGGGGAGCAGACTGTTAACCAACCATACAATAAGGGCACTGCTTGTACCCAGTTCTTGGGAAGCCACAGTCATCAGCAACTCTAAGACTAACCAAGGCTACTTGTCTCATTTTGCCTCCCTGCCCCTCCACCCAGTGGCTCCCAAATATGGATGGCAATGACCTCCTCAGCAAACAGAGATTTGGGCCTACCCTATTAGGCTCCTGGGGACACAGTAGCACCTTTGGCAGTTGATTATAGTGGGTGACTAACAAGCTGGGTCCAGGAGGTCCCATCCTCCTCCTCCCCCAGAGCTTAGAAAGTATATGGAGAGGTTCCAAAGGCCAGGGGTGGTTCCCAAGCTTTCCCAGATCCTGGGAGGAGAAAGGCCCTGGAAAATTTAAAAGCATTCTGGGGAGAATTTAGTTAATGAGTTTGGAACACCTGGAGCTTTGACTCCAAGGAGATTGTCAGGTGGCTGAAATGCTGTGTGCGCAGGTCTGGGAACAAGTGTGCTGGTGGCAAAAATGTAAATGCTGAGCAGGGTGGGATGAAGGGGAAGAGCTGGGAAAGGGCACACAATGGCAAGAAAGGCATTAGATTGGTTCCTCAGGGTTGGGGGAGCCCGGCAGTAGCTCCCCATTGGGGTCTGGGTCAGGGGCCAACATCTTATCCTTGCTGGAATCTCTCTGCTCTTTCTTGAACATCCTTTGATGCATCAGAGGGACGAAGAAGAGGATTACAGCCCCGATGATGGGGGGCACACCGGCAAAGTAGAAGGCCACATGGTAGTCCCCAAAACAGTTGCGGAGTAGGCCTGAAACAGTCAAGAGAGACAAGTCAAGCTCAGCTTTGCCCTACTGTCCAAAGGTACTCTCAGCCCGTTCTAGGGGCCATCACAGTGCCTATCCAGATAATCTTGGCGTGTATTGCCTTAACTCAGGAGCTCCCTCAACTTCAAGGCATTGGGGCTGCAGGCCCTTGAGCGAATGCTCATTATGAAAGAAGCTAATGAAGCTTCTCTTAAAGTTTCTCCATTTATGACTTTCATCAATCTAAGATCTAGTCACACCTAGTTACGGAGTTAGGAGGAAACCTAGTTTAAAAGAAATCCACAGAAGATGGCCAAGTGTTGTCTTGGTCCACAGTGATATTTCCCAGCCTCCTACCCCCGCCCCCTGCCCCCACAAATGGTTCCTGTGGTACATTTCAGATGAGTTTTTATTTTCCTTTTCTCTGAAGTGACCCTTCTCTGAAGTTCCATTTGTCCTAGCAAGAGGCTATACGTGTTCCTTTCAGTTACATATATGGTTGTCCCCTCTGGGTTTCTCCAAGCTGCCAAACCAAGGATATGTTTGACATGGGATGCAAGGCCTTCCCTACTCACTTCCAGAAGCTAATATGTGGTACCTCGTAGTACCTCAGAGCCCAGAAACAGTATTCAGAAAAGGCAAAAAGGCCCTTGGCCTTTTGCTTACTCAGGAGTTAAGCAAATTGGAAAGAAATGTGGATTCTGGGGCACTGTTTGGATCAGGGGGTGAGTAGAGGCCCCCTTCCCCCAATGGGTAGTGTGGCTGTTGCCCAGAAGCCTGAGTGAAAGCTTTTGCCACTGTCACACAGTGCCCTCATATCACCTTGCACATAATTTGTGTTCGAAGAATATTTGTTGAATTAACTCATTTGACCAGCCTAGGAGAAGCTAATGCGTGAATCAATGTTTACAATAAATCCTACAGAAAAGAAATGGAGTTGCCGGGTGTGGTGGCTCACGCCTGTAATCCCAGCACTTTGGGAGGCTGAGGCAGGTGGATCACGAAGTCAGGAGATCGAGACCATCCTGACTAACACAGTGAAACCCCGTCTCTACTAAAAATACAAAAAATTAGCTGGGTGTGGTGGCACGCACCTGTACTCCCAGCTACTCGGGAGACTGAGGCAGGAGAATCGTTTGAACCCAGCAGGCAGAGGTTGCAATGAGCTGAGATAGCCAAGATTGCACCACTGCACTCCAGCCTGGTGACAGAGCAAGACTCTGTCTCAAAAAAAAAAAAAAAAAAAAGAGAAAAGAAAAGAAATTGGAGTTCTCTTGTCATTGGTTTTCTGTTCCTCGTTCCCTGGGATACCAACAGTGCCCTTCTGGGAAAATGGAGGGAGAAAACCAGGAGTGCTGAAAGATGGCAAGTCAACACTTTTCCTGCTGAAGGTGAGCCTCACTGGCTTAATTCTGGGGTATTACTTTAATCAAATATCTTCTACAGGCTCAGTTCAGAAGCCAGCAGAGGAGGAGGAGGATGTCCCTAGGTTTTAATAAAACCAGAGCCTGCTTTCTCTTCTCTTCCTACCCAACTACCTTGCAAATAATCACTTGCCTGTGGAGAGAGTGAGAGGATACTAGATCAGTGGAACTGTCAGAAAGCCAAACTCATTTTTCTCTCCACCCCGCTGGAAGGATCCCTGCTGTCTGAAATAAAATCCTATTGAAACAGATATACCACCATGGAAAATCCATCCCGCAGAATGGATCCATGCGTGTGTACTGTGTTTAATCTCTTCCACCAGTAGTGATAAGGGGTTTCACGCACTCTGACAAAGCTGCTTAAATAGACGATAAGAGGAAAAGGGGCCTCAAGGAGAGATGCTCAGGAGTGCCAGTACCCAGGGAAAAAAGGACTCCCTGATTCATGCCCTCCCTGGAATATCAGCCTCACCTGCAATGGGGGGCCCAGCAATCATTGGCAGGGCCATCATGCCCAGGAGGTAGCCAATGGCCTGTGAGGCCTGCATTGGGCCCACCAGCTCAAATGCAATGGGGGCCATGATGGTGATGAAGAAGCCATCGCAAAGGCCCAGGAAAAGACAGACGACGATAAGGCCCCCGAAGTCCCGGCACAGGGGAATCATCATGGACATCAGGCCCAGGAGCAGGAAGGAAAGGACCTGGAGAAACAAGGGCCTGAGGTCAGGTTGTGCTGGCCAGCCAAGACCACATAGCATCACATCTCCTTTCTCAAGTCTTCATTTCTACCATCTATAAAATGGGGTGGTGGGAGGGGGAAGGTGTCAACAGAGAGAGCAGTTGGGCTGAATGGTTAGGCCCTTTCAAAGTCTTGCACTGAGGGATTCAAAGTCCAAGAAAGCCCCTACTTAACTGTGATTCTGTTGGGATTAAAAAAAGAAAGTTGGGGGATACTTGGCCCCTGGCCTCAAGAAGTTTGTCTTGCACTAGACCCTAAGATAAAAGGAATTGTTGTTTCTGCTTTCTGAGCCTGTATTTGGCTTCCCCAGGGATCAGGGTCTGGGATCAGGCCATACCGGTGTTCTCAGATCCAAGTAAAATATGGAAAGAGGGAAGGGAGGACATGAGGATGGCTTGCATGATGATCAGATGGGGTTGTAAGTGGAAGGCACAGCTTCTTGAAATGGGGAAGGAGCCAGAGCCCATTTTTGTGGGGGCTGATTTTATAAAATACCTTGGCATAAAGGAAACCATTGGGACATTCACCCAGGTTCCTATGCTTTAGGACATGGACTGCACTGCCTATCTCAGACATCTCAGACACATGGCTCTGGGGGCCTCTGGGCTTGGCTGGACACCCTGAGAAGGCAACAGAGGAGCCTTCCAGGGGAACCAAGCCACTGGGAAGGTGTATGTCTAGGGAGAATGAAGCCAACCCAGGAACACTGACTAGCCACTGGGCTTTCTCTGGGCTAAGCAAAATGACTCCAAAATGAAGAAACTGCCTTTCCAGAGGTTGTTTTTTTTTTCCTTCTCCACAGAGAAAAGGGCTGCTGCAAACACAGCTGGTCTTCATTTGCAACCTGTGTTGGCCAGCTAGACTGAAGACCTGGGCTTCAGGCAGAGAAAGGAACCCTGCCCCCATCCCGCTGCTGCCAACCCCCTGCAGCCAGTAGAGCCAGGTCAGAGCCAGGTCATCCCAGGGTCAGGGCTAAGATCTGATCTCTCTATCAAGGCCTTAATAGGCCCAAGGATTTTCCAGTAGTTCACACAAGCAAGCCAACTTAGCCAAGAACACATGGAAGGAGTGGGGGTCAAGGTTATTTGGTGCCCTAAAGATTTTCTATGTTGTTGCTGGCAGTGAGTTTTTTAGGTTGATCAGTTGATTTTTGGAGAGGATAATGCCATCTGAGGACATCTTTTTGTTGGGAGACTTTGAACTTTGCCCAGGCAGTTTTGAGGTAGCTAGGCAGAAGCTAGGAATAAGAACCCCGGTACCTGAGCTTCTCCTCTAAGAGATTCACACACAACTATGGGATAAAACCAGACACACCTATCAACAAAGCCCATTATGGAAATTAAAAGTTAATACCATTATATAACACAAAGGACCCTATTAACTGATTTTAATCAGGTCTAAGTATTACCTATTGTATCTAGCTGTCTGTTAAACATCCTCCATGAGGCTTTGCCAAGGTTCAGAAATTTAAAATCTCTCTTGGACGTGAGAAACAGGCCTCAAGATTCAGAAATTTAAAATCCCTCTTGGACGTGAGAAACAGGCCTCAAGAATTGGCACAAAGTGAGGCTGTCCTGCAGCCTGTCGCTATTTCCTTTCCAGCAGACTGTCCAGGGGCTTGAAGCCAGAGATATGTGCTTGTCTTTACCAACATTAAGAGCCACAGAGTCTAGTGGATAGCTCTTCAGAACCTGAAGGTGTGTACACTCGTTTCCTCCCCTAGGCCTGTACTCCTGCATTACATGCAGGGAGAAAGGGGGGCAAATTCCTGTGATGGAGTATCTTAACAAACTCAAGAGAAAGAAGTTCATCCATTGTCTTGTGCTCTTGGCCCAAGACACTCAATTTGTAAAATGAGGAAGTTCAACTACTAGTTGATGAAGATATGTTTCAGCTATAATGTTCTAAGATTATTTTATATTATTCTAAGTAAAACTCGGTGAAGTAAGAGTAAGGAAAAGGGGCAGGAGCAGTGGGTGGGTGGTCAGCAGAGGCACTGGGTCCTAAGCCTATCTTGGCCTCTAACTGGCTAATGCCTCCCTGTCCCTTGGACTCCCACTGTATAACAGAAAGCAAAAGCTGCTCAGACTCTACCTTTCTCCTAGGGACTGTAGTAAGAATCACATGAGTTATACGACTAGGCAGGGGCTGCTGCCTCTTCTCAAGATAAAGCCCTGGCCCAATGCCAGATTACCCTGATTTCCAGAACTCTTTGGCATCTTGGAGCTGCTAATACTGGCAGGGAAGACTCACAGGGGTGTCATGTGGGTGAGGCTGGGAAAGCCACACATATTCCTATGCAAATAGCCACCCAGATAAAGCACTTGCTGATATTTGCACAGGAATTCAAAATCTCAATTGGTTTATCTCAATCACAAGATTATCTCTTGGTTTGACCTTGGTCAAGTCACTTATCATCTCTGAGACTTGGCTCTGCCATCACTTAGGGCAAGGTAGAATATGAGAAGTGTGTTGCATAGGAGTTCAGCTCTGCTACTACTGTCTGTGTGAGCCTTTCCCTCTGTTTCTCCACCACTGTAATGAGGTTGGATTGGATGGACCTTAAAAGCAACCCTGCCTCTGACAAAGCAGATTTACCAACTCTTGTAATCTAACACCAAAAAAGTTAAGGAAAAGTTAATCATATTTCCATCCAAGATATTTGAGGGTACTTAGGAGGGCACTTGGGGCTATCAGAGACAGAGAAATCACCACTGTAAGTGTAGCTAGGGCCCCTTGCATGTGCTTTTAGGGCTTTCCCAGGAGATAAATGAGTCAGAACTCAATCACCTTCCTGATGGATTACTTGTGACTACTTGATTTTGGGGGCTATCTTTGCCCCTTCACAGGGCTCTGCACTTGGGTACCACTTCATAAACCCACCTGCAGGATCATAAGTCAGGTAAGAAAGGCAATACTGCTGCCAGGTAGATAAAGACTGACAGCCTGAACAGTGGCCTGTATTCAGACCAGACCAGAGCCTAGTTCACACAGAAAATAGTCTTGGAGCATGGAGAGCCATTATTAATAAAATCTTCCTTTACACGTGTTCTAATAGGTTCCATATACACTGCTCTCACAGAATCCTCACTCAATCTTGGTAAAAGAGGCAGAACAAGGATGATTTTCTTTGTTTAAAAGCAGGTGAAATGGAGGCTCAGAGAATTTGATTGACTTTCCCATGCGACACAACAAGCTACCATTCTATCCCAAAGGCTGTGGATAACCTTGCATTTGTGGCAGGCTGTTTCTCCCCACAGTGGACAAGTGGTCACACTCACCTGCAAGTAGATCTTCTTAAGTCCAGGGATGGAGTCACTGATGTGGCCTGACACAAGACGCCCAAGGCCTGAGGTAGCCCCAATACACACCAAGAGCACCCAGGTCTCCTTGATTTCTGAGAACTCCTCCTCCACATACTTCATCTGAAAAGCATAGCACAAGGATCCCCAGAAACAGGAGGAGAAAGAGGAGCTGACTGGTTAACTGTAGGCATATCCAGAATCCCCTACTGCTTACTTTCCTGGAGCAGGACAGAAACCCCCTCTCCTGTAGCCCTACCTCCATGACAAGCTCTCTGGCTGCTTATCCCTTGGCTGTCTGGATTCTGGACTTCTGAGCAACAGCTAAGGAGGGTGGGTACCTCCACGCCCCTTCTAAGCCCCAGCAAGACAGAAAATAGCCTAAATGATTGAGAAAATCCAAGGGTTTCTCTACAATCTCCCCATTCCCTTACCCCAAACTGACAGCCTAGGGCAACATCAAATCACCAGGGGAGAAGAATCCAGCAACTTCCAGGCAACTCTTCCAAAGTGTGTTTTAGGAAACATGAAGCCTGTGGAGGATAACAGCTGGACTACAACCAACAGTTCTGTAGTTGCATAAGTTTGGTGGATGGTGAGTTAAACAAAGCTGAATGGGTTTCTTTCCTACAATTTTTTTTAGTCCCTTTAAGAGATTACTACACATTATAAAGCTAGAGAGATCCAGTATATGTTACTTCCTAAACAAAATCATTTGACCACAAAGACCAGCATTCCACAGAATCCTGTCTTGGGTCACCCGGGCCAGTCTCCTGCATCCTGGCAATGCGTATCTCTTCAAAATCTATCTAAATTTTTACTGTGGGAGAAGCCATGGTCCATGGGCTTCCCCCTGTGGAATTGCCCCCATTTTCCACTAAGGTCTTCCCTCAACCTCTCTCTTTTTCCCTCTCTGGATCTCTCCAACCAATATTTTGTTTCTTTTCCCAAAGGTCCCAGCTCTGCCCTTTCAATGTCTCCCACCCCCACCCTCTGGAATCTAGGCAGGTTGAGGGTAGCTTCTTGGGGCCAGGTGGGGTGGGCCCACTCTGGTATTCCTCACCAGGTGTACATAGGGAACAAAGTAGCCAAGGGCAGCAGCAGCAATTCCGAAGGCCCAGATGCGGTAAGTGCGTTGGCGGAACACTCGCATGTTGAAGTACTTCCTGAGCTGAGCCAGAAAGCGCTGGTGCAGGGTGCGGACACCTCTCTTGCTTGGGGTGTCCTGGGAGCTGGGCAGGAGGGGCCGGTAGGTGAGTGAAAGCAGCATAAGAACAAACATGAAGGTACTCAGCACCTGGAAGGTTTGGGCCAGCTTGATCTTATCCCCCAGCATTCTGATGAGGAAGGGGAAGGACATGGAGAAAATGCTACTCCCAGCAGACACCACACCATTGGCCAGACCCAGGCGGCGTTGAAAGTAGTGGCCCAGGATGACGAGGGATGGCTGAAAGGCGAAGGAACAGCCACAACCAAAGAGAATCCCGTAGGTGAAGTAGCGCAGGCTTAGGGAGCTGTGGGAGAAATACCAAGAGCTGTCCTCAGCAGCCTGACCAGCAATCTACCTGCCCTCCCCTGTCAGCTTCCTGAGACTTCCATTCCTCCGCCCTTAACCCACAGCCCCACTTGCCACTGACCCTCAGAACAGACAAAGAAGAGGGCCTTCTGATCCCTGTGTTGCAGATGGGGAAGCAGAGGCTCAGCGAGGTAAAATAATTAGCCCAAGGTAACATAACTGGGAATCAGCAAAACTTGGACTTGAATCCAGGTCTGTGTGACTCTAGCATGACTCATAGCACCCCATCAAAGAGGACTGTTCAAAGGAAAGCCAGAACTAGCCCATGTAAAAGCTGGATGAGGGGCTACAGGGAGTCATTGTCTTAGAGAGACTAGCCTCACCTTACTATTGGTGGTGGCAAAGCTTTTATCCCAGGTAGCAACAAAGGTCTGCAAGAAGTCAAAATCCTGGAAGATTGAAACCTTCCATGGGACTCTTCAGTGTCTTTCTCCATGCTAAGGCCATTAATATTTCAGAGAATGGCTGATGTTCTTCTGAGACATACGCCCTCCCAAACCCTGCCCAAGGTCCACATATCCCAAGTCCCTTTACACTAGGCCCTGGACGATCTCAGCGGGAATCATTAGGTAAGGAGTCTCTTTAACTTTTAGAGTCCTGCCTTTGTTTCTGGATATGGTATAGATTTGTTCCCTAGAGTAGCCTGGCTCCTTGACAGGAAGTGGAGCCTCAAAGAATTTGTGGGCCTGGCCAAGTAAGACAGGTCCTGGCTTAAAACTCATAGGCCCTGCTGTGGACATAAGCCTCTGTAACATAAAGGGTCAGAAGGGGAAAGGCAATAGGAAGGTCAGCTTGGCCAGCCATATGCCCCCAGATAATATTGGCACAACCTAGTAAAGAATTTTGTTTTCTTTTTGATGCCTCAATATATTTTGCAATAGTTCTTATCTGGCCACTAAATTACCTAATACTCTTCTTGGTCAGGCAGTTCTTCTCTGGAGATAGACCCAGTCCTCATACTAAAGAACTGGGCCTAAGCTGCAGAGAAGATATGGTGCATGATTCTAAGATAGCTGTCATCACTATTGCTTTCCATCTGCTGGTATTCACTGGACGTGAGCAAGGATTTGGTTTTGAAAGGGTTGTCTCTGCTTGGAACACATAGCTAAGCCAACGGTTCCTCTTCTGTCAGGTTCCTTTGGGCCTGTGCCCATTAGATTCTAGGTACCCTATGGGATCGGCCTGGCTTGGGGGCCTTATCCAAGGGGCCTTGTGTTAGACCTTCAGGGAAGGGGCCAGTGGGGGAAAAACATAGGATTTGGTTTAGATCCATGTGGTGGATCTACTTCTAGCTGGGCCCCAGGGATGGATGCCCATTGTTTGGGTTTTCCAAAGCCCCACCAGCCCTGCCTGCATCCTGCCCCATTCCATGTCATTCGGAGGAACTCAGGGCCCTGATTGAGACAACAGGAAGGATGATTTGGAGCTCTAGCCATGAGAAGAACCATTTTTCCACTGGATGTGAAGCCATCCAGAAAGTTTCTTGGCTCTGAAGATCCTCTTACAGAAAGAACAAAGCGGGTAGAGAAGAAGGTTAGGGGCTAGAGAACAGAACGCCTACTCCAATGTGCCTACAGTAGCGTGCCAGAAGAAAACACCACATCTGAGCTCCTTCCCCTCCTGTAATTGAGCCCATGTGGATTGGAAGGGAAATGGAATCCATATGTTGCTAATCCGTTTACACTTTGCTCTGCTCGGTC
Organism: Homo sapiens; assembly: GCF_000001405.40. Taxonomy (NCBI): domain Eukaryota; kingdom Metazoa; phylum Chordata; class Mammalia; order Primates; family Hominidae; genus Homo; species Homo sapiens. The sequence goes on along the minus strand of NC_000023.11, from coordinate 74,522,596 downwards.
TTAAAAAACAGACCTTTGCTGTATAGTGCTGAGACTGGAGCTGCTTTTGAAGCCTAGCTCCTCCCCACAAGGAGCCAGGCACCAGCTTGCTGGGGGTGAATGAGGCTGACCACCAGAGGGGTTCTGAAAAGGTTTGGAGCTGCTGCCCTGGGAGTGCTGAGTAGTTTCCAGGCAGGACACGGTTTTTCCCTTCTCTGTCCCAGTTGGACAGGACGAAGCCAAGAAATGACTGCAGGCCAAATCCAAGCTCTGCTGTAGGGTAGGCTGGGCAGCTGGAAATGCTCAAGTCATAAAGAAAGCTGGCTTACCTCACAGGGCCCAGTTAAGGCAAAACACAATTATCATTCTCTACTGTGAGTGGAACCTTAGGCCTAGAGAGCCATGACGCTTTTCTGGGTAACTAAGCTCAGAAAGCAAGTCTCTGACAAATTAGCTCTGACCTCATCCCAGACATGTCACCACGGCCATTTCTCATTTCTGTGTTTCCAGGCTGGCATTCCCCTACATCGGCCCAAGCAGATTGGAAGTAGGAGGTACCATAACTTCCAAAGTGTCTTTGGCAGAAAGTCAACAGAGTTCTTTAGGAATTCCATATTCCTCAGGCTGTGGTTAGGGTATTTATTCTCCCTTACCCTACACACATTCTTCTGCAGGGCTGGCAGAAAAGAAAGCAGAAAATGAACCTAGAGCCTGCTTCTCACCTGATACTGCCAAGTTCTGCCAGTGGAACCAGTGGGACTAGGGTTTCAGTTTAGCCCAGGCCTAGCTGGGTAGCTGGGTTCTGGGTTTGTATCTCAGTAAGGGATATTGCTAATCATCCTTCTGATGCCCATGATGTAAATCATTATCTGTCCCAAATCATCCATATGTCAGCAGCCTGAGCTATCTGGAAAAGAGTCAGAAATGCTAAACATCCTTGGGCTCAGTTGACCTCTTTTTTCAGCATAAGATTCCTTTGGGAATCCTGTGCTAGGTGTTCACATGGGCTCACTCGAGAAGCTCAATCTTGGGATGGAAAGTGAGGTTGTGAGATGTGTGGCACACTGAAGGGGAATCAAATAGCAGAGTTGAAAGAGATGTAAAAAGACCATATGGTCAAATCCCCTCATGTTACAGATATAGAAATTGAGGCACAGAGAGAACAATGGTACTCATCAATTGTTCCATTGCCATTCAGTGGCCAAAACCGGACTTGGGCCCAGCTCTACGAACTACCAGGCTTAGAGTACTCCTACCACTTTGGAACTCTTAGGTCCTCTCTGGGGATATTCCCTACCAATGTGTCCTGGGGACCCTACCCAGATGAATTCACTGGATTCTGAATCCAGGGTGCAGGATCTTTGAGGGCCCTACAGGGCCATGGCCACAGGGGATTCTGCAGTGAGAAAAGTAACCCTAGCTAAAGCCCAGAAAAAAACCAACCCTCAGCCTTGGGGAAATAACCACCAACTCTTAGCCTTACCTGGTGAAGGAGCTGGTATGGAGGCCAATGAAAGCAACGGCAGCCCCCGCGGTTGCTGTGATTCGGCAGCCCAAACGGTCAGTGAATATACTCACAATGGGAGAACAGAAGAAGATCATACCCATCGCGAGGGCTCCGACCCATGCTGCAGAGAAAACAAGTGCAAAGACACTTTAGCTTAGTGTAGTGCCTGGTGGTACTGCTGGTATCTCAGCTCTTCTTCTCTGGCCTTTCACAGGGGGCATTGCATTGGTCTGCATTGCCAGCTTGCTAGTCCCTGATGTTCAGAGAGTTTTGCAAGAAGAGACTAGATATAAAACAGGGGATTCTATCACTGCGGTAAGATTTGGACTAGTCAATATTTCAGGCCTTTCCAGGGATGCTAAGCCAGATCTATAGCCTTAGGTTCTAAGCCACTGGCTTCAGGGGCAAAAAACATTGGGGTTAAGCTTTCAGGAGCTAAGGTCAGGCTTGTCTCCAGCATTAGAAGAACCCTGTGAAGACGATAAGACTAAGGAGTAGAGAAGGCCACAGACAAAAGCCCCCTGGAATTGTACTAGGATACAAGGCAAGTTCATAGGCCACCTAAAGATTTCTAAGGACACTGTGCAAGAGTCATGTAACCCTCATGCTGAAATCCGTCATCAGAGCCCATGTTTGGCAAATTCCTGACTTCAAACTCAAGCAGATATTATCCTGTTTCTAAAGGCTCTTAAGTGTCTATAACAATCCTCACTAAGGAGGAAGGAACTTGCCCTTTTATTTAGATTCTTCCAGACTGTTTCCCTTTGCTCAGCCCTCAGAAGGAAAGTTCAAGCTTTTTTTTTTATTTCGTCTGAAGGCTGTTATCAAGTTTCATCTTGAGCCTCTCTTTTCTCCGCCAAATAATCTTCGTTTCCTTAACTTTTCCTCTTAGCTTTAATTTCTAACTCTGAAATTAATTTCAGAACTCTCCTTTGAACACTTCCAGCTCTTCATCATCATCATCAAAGAGTGACACATGAGCTAGGCACTGGGCCAACTTCTGGCTCTCTCCAATTGTGGAGCCCCAATGGGCCAAAGGAGCTCAGTCTGGGGCTAGTCAACTGGCTGTGTCTCTTACCTCAGTGCCAAATAGGTTGCTCAGCTCCCCATTGGGAATCTTTACTTTGTTGGAGCCTTACCCTGAGCCCTCTCTGCCTGGCTTCAAAAGTACTAGCCTGGGACAGCAGGAGACCTTAACTTTTTATCACAATTTCACCTCTTACCTTGCCATTTCATCTCCTATCAGCTGTGAGATCTTGAGAAGTCACACAGCATTTCTCTAATCCTCAGTTTTCTCATCTGTGAAATGGAGATTAAAATTTCTGCTTGTGCCTGCCTCAAACATTTCTTTTTCTTTTTCTTTCTTTCGTTTTTTTTTTGTTTTTTTTTTTTTTTGAGACACAGTCTTGCTTTGTCACCCAGGCTGGAATGCAATGGCCCGATCTTGCCTCACTGCAAGCTCCGCCTCCTGGGTTCACACCATTCTCCTGCCTCAGCCTCCTGAGTAGCTGGGACTACAGGTGCCTGCCACCACGCCCGGCTAATTTTTTTGTGTGTTTTTAGTAGAGACGGGGTTTCACTGTGTTAGCCAGGATGGTCTCGATCTCCTGACCTTGTGATCCGCTGATGATCAGGGCCAGGCGTGGTGGCTCACGCCTGTAATCCCAGCACTTTGGGAGGCCAGGGCAGGCAGATCACGAGGTCAGGAGATAGAGACCATCCTGGCTAACACAGTGAAACCCCGTCTCTACTCAAAATACAAAAAATTAGCTGGGTGTGGGGGCGGGCGCCTGTAGTTCCAGCTACTAGCGAGGCTGAGGCAGGAGAATCGCTTGAACCCAAGAGGCGGAGCTTGCAGTGAGCCGAGATCTCACCACTGCGCTCCAGGCTGGGTGACAGAGTGAGACTCCATCTAAAGAAAAAAAAAAAATCAGATAAAATTATATGTATAAGAAGAGAACTTTGTAAATATCAATAATCACATCATGTTTAAAAATCAATGCAAAATGGATCATAGACTTAATGTAAAACTTAAAACTATAAAACTTCTAGAAGAACATATAGGAGACAAATCTTCCTGGCCTTTGGTTAGGCAAAGATTTTGCAGATATTCACAAATCGTATGATCCATAAAAGAAAAGATTTGATATATTAGACTTGATCAAACTTGAAAACTTCTGCTTTTCAAAAATAGTTATGAAAATGAAAAGGCAAGCCATAGACAGAAAAATTTTGCAGCACACAAAATCTGACAATAGACCGGTATCCACCATACAAGAGTGAGTTGACTCTCATAACTCAATAATAAAGCAAACAATCTAACTTAAAATATGGGCAAAAGAATTGAACAGAGATTACACAATTACACATGTGCACATACATTTATGATATGAATAGTAATTAAGCATATAAAAAGATGCTCAACATCACTAATAAGTTGAGAAACGCATATTAAAACCACAATGAGATAGCCCTTACCAAGAAAGCCTTTTTTCTTTTCTTTTTCTTTTTTTTTTTTCTTGAGACAGAGTTTCATTCTGTCTCCAGGCTGAAGTGCAGAGGCGCAATCTTGGTTCACTGCCACCTCTGCCTCCCGGGTTCAAGCAACTCTTGTGCCTCAGCCTCCCGGGTAGCTGGGATTACAGGCGCACGCCACCATGCCTAATTTTTTGTATTTCTAGTAGAGATGGGGTTTCACCACGATGGCCAGGCTGGTCTCAAACTCCCGGCCTCAAATGATCCACCTGCCTCAGTCTCCCAAAGTGCTGGGATTATAGGCGTGAGCAATGGTGCCCAGCAAAGAAAGGTTTTTACAAAATGATAATACCTAATACTGGGAGGATATGGAGGAACTGGAAATGTAATACGCTGCTGGTGGCAATGCAAAACAGTACTCACTTTGGAAAACAGTTTGGCAGCCTCCTGTGAAGTTAGTCATACATTTACCATGATCCCGAAAACCCACTGCTAGATATTAACTCAAGATGAATGAAAACTTATGTTCACACAAAAACCTGAACCTAGATGATTACACTAGCTTTTTTTTTCATAATTGTGCAAATCTGGAAACAACCCAAATGTACTTCAACTGGTGAATGGATAAACAAATGAATACACATTAATACAATGGAATACAACACAGCAATAGACAGGAATGAACTACTGAAACTTGAACAATCTCAAAGGCGTTATGCTAAGTAAACGAAGCCAGACTCAAATTATTCCTTCCACTTACAGGAAATTCGAGAAAAGACAAAACTATGGGGACAGGAAAACAAATCAGTAGGTGGCAGGAGGAGGGATGAGGGAGACAATTGACTACAGAGGGACATGAAGAAACTTTTTGGGGGTAATGAAAATGTTATCAAGTTTCATCTTGAGTCTCTCTTTTCTAAGCTTTATATGTTACATATCTTGATGATGGTGGTATTCTTTTGTCAAAATTCATAGAACTGAGCATGTAAAAAAGGGTGAATATTACCATATGTAATTATATCTCAATAAATCTGATGTTATTTTTAAAGGTGGGGAGAAGGCGGGAAAGCAGAAAGTGCCAGTTCAAGATCTCATTTATGATATATGTATCTTTATTCTGGCCAGAGTAAAAAAGTAGCTCAGTTGTATTGTCAAAGAGAAAAAAAATAATTAAATTTAGCAAATCATCTTACTGACATTTTATAACTAGAACTGACCATTATTTGACCCTTCTGAATGTCTATGATATAATGAAAACTGATGATTATTCTTATAAGGAATTTTTTGTACAGTCAAAGAAACTTTAAATTATGTTTGATATAGCTTTTAAAAATTAATCTATTTCATTTAAAAAAAAATTTTTAATTGTGAAATAACTATAGATTCACAGGAAATAGCCAAGATAGTCCAGAGAGGTCCCATGAACTCTTCACCAAGTTTCCCCTTATGTAACTATAACATGATATCAAAACCAGAAAATTAGGAGTGGCACAATATGTGCATATAGTTCTGTATCATTTTATCATGGGTAGATTCCTGAAACCACCATTGTGATCAAGATACAGAACTATTCCATCACCACAAAGATCTCCTTTGTGTTACAGTCACACTCAGCCCACTCCCCCACGACCCATAACTCCTAGCAATCACAAATTTGAAGAAAGTTATATAAATGGAGTCATACAGTATGTGGCCTTTTGAAATTGACTTTTTTTTACCCAGCATAATTCCCTGGAAATACATATTTGAAGTGAGTTTCTTATAGACAGCATATAGCTGGGTCATGATTTTTTTTTCTATCCACTCTGCCAATCTCTGTCTTTGAACTGATATATTTAGATCGTTTACATTTGATGTAATCATTGATACATTAGGGCAATTTTATTTTTGTTTCCTGTTTGTTTTCTGTTTTTAGTTTCTCTGTATTCTTTTATCCTGCCTGCCTATGGGTTACTTTAAAAGTTTTTAGAATTCCACTTTATTTATTGTGCTTTAAAGTGTGTTCCTTTGTATACCTTTTTTAGTGGCCACTGAAAAATGTACTCAAAGAAATCACATTATATATATATAATGGTATCACATCATATGTATACAACATCATTGGTGTCGACATGTTACTAGTTGGAGAGGAGTGTAGAAACCTAACCTCCCTTATATCTCCTCACCCTCCCTCATTTATAATAAAATTATCTTAAATATTTCCTCTACATCTATTAATAACCACATTAGGCATTATTATAATTTTTCTTCAACTGTTAAACCTAATTTACAAAACACAAAAGGGACCAGGCACTATGGCTCATGCCTGTAATCTCAGCACTTTGGGAGGCCAACGTGGGCAGATCACTTGAGTCTAGGAGTTTGAGACCAGCATGTGTAATGTGGCAAAACTCCATCTCTACAAAAAATCAGCTGGGCATGGTGGTGCACACCCATAGTCCCAGCTACTCAGGAGGCTGAGGTGGGAGGATCACCTGAGCCCAGGAGGTTGAGGCTGCTGCAGTGAGCCATGATTGTGCCACTGCACTCCAGCCTGGGTGACACAGTGAGAGCCTCTCTCCAAAAAAAAGAAAGAAAAAAAAACACAAAAGGAGAAGAAATCTAAATCAATTATATTATAATATCTGTCACATTTATGTATAATTTTACTTTTTCCACTGTTCTTTCTTTCTGATGTTCCAAGATTCCTTCTTCTATTGTTTCTTTTCTGGTTAAATAATTTCCTTTAGCTATTCTTTTAGGGTAGGTCTGTTGGGGACAAATTCTCTTAGTTTTCCTTCGTTTGAGAATGTATTGATTTCCTCATTCATTCCTGAAGGATATTTTCACTGGATATACAATTCTGAGCTAAGAGAGCTTTTATTTCAGCACTTTGCCCTCCATGGTTTCTGATGAGAAATCTTCTGTCATTTTAATTGTTTTTCCCCTAGAGTTAACGTGTCATTTCTCTCTTACTGTTTTCAAGATGTGTGTGTGTGTGTGTGTGTGCATGCACGTGCATGTCTGTGTGTTTAGCTTTTGAAAGTTTGACTATGATGTGTCTTGGCATAGAGTTCTTTGAGTTTATTCTCTTTGGGATTTGCTCAGTTTCTTAAATCTACAGACTTATGTTTTTACCAGAGTTGGGAAGTTTTCAGCAATTATTGCTTCAAGTATCTCTTCAGCCCTGCCTTTTTCCTCTTCTGGGACTCCTCTGATGACAGAAATGTTAAATATTTTGTTATAACCTCACAGGCATCTGAGGCTCTTTCCATTTTTTTCAATCTATTTTCTCTCTGTGGTCCAGATTGGATAATTATTATTGTTCTGCCTTCAAGTTCACTGATTCCTTCTTCTGTCTTCTCTCATCTGCTGTGGGGCCCATCCAGTGGGCTTATTTTATTTTGGTTATATATTTTTCAGCTCCAAAATTTTCCATTTATTTCATCTTTATATCTTCTAATTATCTACTGAGACTTAGTATTTTTTTCATTTGTTCCAAGTGTGATTGCAATGATTTGTTAAAGCATTTTTTGTTGGCTGCTTTAAAATCCTTGCCAAATAATTCAATTTCTGTGTTATCTTCATGTTAGTGTCAGTTGATAGTCTTTTCTTGTTGAAGTCAAGATTTCCCTGGTCCTTGGTGTGATTCGTGATTTTCTATGGTATTCTGGAAATTTTAGATATGAGACTCTGGATCTTATTTAAATCTTGTGTTTTAGAAGGCCTCTTCTGATACTGTGCCATTGAGGGACAACTTCATTACTACCAAATGGGGGTGGAAATCCAGGTTCCCTGCTTAGCTTCTATTGACACTCTAAGAAGGAAGGGTACCTTGTTATTGCTGAGCAGGGGTGGGTATTCAAGATCCCTACTAGGCTTCTTTTTATATCTTCCTGGTTGGGAGGAGTAGGGGTTCCTTGTTACTGTTTCCCATGTGGTCTTACCTCAGTAAGTGATGGTGAAAGTCCCAGTTTCCTACTTGGCTTTCACTGACACCACCTTGGCACCTTGCCAGGAGTAGGAGAGGTGGTTGGAGGTTATACCCGGGCAAGAGTGAAAGTCCAGGCTCCCTATGTGGTCTCTACTGACACCATGGGGGAGGGGTAGGCCTTGTTACTGCTGAGAGGGGAAGAAATTCCTGGCTTCCTACTGTTTTCTCTGACACCACCTCAGCATGGGAGGCGGGGAGGTTGGAGCACCTTGTTACAGCTGGGTGAGTGTAGAAGTCTTGGCTCCCCAGTAGGCCTTTGTTGGCAAAGGTCAAGTGGGGTGCATTTTTTCCCATGGTGTTAGGCTGGAGTAGAGGGATTATTGTTTAAAGCTTTTTTGTTTTGCTAGGCTGCCCCTTTTCCCGTCTTTTGGCTAGACAAATCAAGCTTTTTTTTTTTTTTGGTCTGCTTCCATTGGCATTTCTTGGTTGCTGGCTTCTTCAGCTCCAGGTCTAAGATATGTGAAGCAAAAAGAAAACTCAGGTTTTCTGTTACGTTTTTTCTTAGATCCCAACTTTCCTAGCCCATGTGCCTTCTTCTCTCCACTTTTCAATCTTGCTACATTTGTTTTAGATATAATGTCCAGCATTTTTAGCTGTACTGCATTGGAAGTATAGAGAAAAGTGCCTTAATATAGTTTTTAATACTAAATGTATATTTTTAAAAATGAAGTAATTCACATGTTATATTAATTTATTCAACAATTATTTAACATTCTCTCTGGCCCAGACACATGTCTATCCCATAGGCATTCAAGATGTTAAATGAGTGACATATGGTATTTGACTTCAAGGATCTCACAGTGGAGTAGGGAACACATTGTTTTTTTAAGTAGGGCAATAAAATTTATGAACCTCATGGTTCAAGGCCAGAATAAAATTTTCTATTTAAAGATTTTCAGAGAAGTCAGAAACTCCAAGTGAGAGAAAATTTTCTATAAAGGGAGAGAAAGGTAATCTAATAGCTAGATTGTGACTGAAGAAGAATAGCGTTATATAAGAGAAGTGACTTAAGGGACTGTTAGTGGGATAGGTTATCAAAAAATTTTAGTAAGAGAAAAATAATCAAGCAATGACTGTATTAAAAAAGAAGAAATAATAGTCATGATAACAATTATGGTGACAATTATAACCTTATTGATAATAGATAGGTGTTATTGGGTGTTACTGGTTATCCTTTACCTTTCTTATATTCAGTTTCCCATTTTGGAAAATGCAAAGAGTAGGTAGAGGTTTTCTAGAATTCTAACAATTCTTGGACTCAAAGCTAGGAGTTTCTTTCATTCCCCATAATTACCCCTGCTCTTATATGGGGAAGACAAAGAAAGAGATTTCAGTGAAGCAGCTGAGATTCGTGGGAGAGTTGGGTGGATTTTAACAGGCAATGTACAGACCTATCTTTCTAAACAGACTTGGAAAAATCAGAGGTGGAACCTTGTAACATTCCATCAGGGAGAAAGCATTATTTTCAATCCACAGTGCATAAGTGCTGAGCAAGTATCTGATTCCTGACTAATAAATTTTGTGTTCAACAGATCCTTGGATTTTGAGGATGAACTATTATAATTCATATAATTCAATGGTATAATTATTATACCATTCACACTTTTCCTCAGTGGTTCCCAGAGTTATTTTCAACCTTAACCTTCCCCTCTCAGCGGTAACAAGGCCTACCCCTCTCCTATGGTATCATGGAGTGAGACTTGGCCCCAAAAGGCCTGTACCTAAGTGAACATATGTCTGTATTCAGCAGGCACCCCTACTTTCCTCCTCAAAGCACCCATATCTAACTAGATTTCTGTTGGACCTGGGCAGCACAACACCAGAACTCTGGCTTTTCCAGCACCATCCTGGATCTGTTGGCCCTCAAGCTTCCTCATCCTCAAAGTCTTTTTACTCAAATACTCAATTAGTGCCTTGGCTCCTTACCCAGGCACTCAGGCTAATGTCTTTGAAGTACAGGAGACTGCTCAGAAAATAATTCAAGTGTGAGACCAGATTCCTCACTCCTTGGCTGCTGAAAGCCAACCTCTCTGAGTTGAAAGAGAGAGAGGGGGTACTCCAAGAGCCAAACTCTCCAAATACATCACAAGCTTTCATAAATTCCTTTTATTGTGGGGAACTAACAAAAGCTCAAATGAGGGAATGACGGTGCAAAGTCAAATAAAGGTCAAAGATAGGTCAAGGGTAGATAGGAAGAGAGATAAGGTGGCTGACACAGGGGCAGAGATGGCTCTATTCAAGAGCCCCTACTTCCTGACAAGATGCACAGTACAGTGAGAGAATAGCAAATAGGATTAAGAGGACAGGTTCTAAGGCTAAGCTATCCAACTGCTATACCCAGTGCTAAGTGGAGAGAATGGCACCATGAATTGGATTCTGTGTTGCCGGAAATATTCACTTGCTTCTGCCCCATCACCACACCTCTTCAGAGTTCCCAGAACATGGTGATGTGTCTACATCTAGTTTGAATAAATGGGATAGTTGGAATGGTATTGGTTTGGCATGGGGACAGTGTGTGGTAGGTAGCAGGCAGCTTAGGACTGTGATGACTTATGCCGGCACATCCAGCCAGGTGGTGGGCACGCATTAGTGAGATGACTGAAAGAATTGGTGAAACATATTTAAAAGGAGGATGTAGGTGAAGGCACTTCAGGGGTCAGCTGGGGAGCTCCAGAGGGAAGAAATGCAAGACTCTGTTCTTCTTTGGGGACTGAGATAACAGGAGCCCTTATCTCTGCGGCTCACCAGAAGAGTGACCTCCAGCTGAGCGTCATTTATTAATTATTTCCCTGGCCTTGTGCAGGGCCCAGAGTTAAGTGCTACATAACTGTCTGTCCAGTGAATAGATGAAACACTCTTGCTCAGAGAAGCTTCTTTCAAACCTTTTTCCATTTTCTGACAAACACTGTGTTGAAAAGCTCTTTCTTCCAGCACTCAGACACTCTAAGCCCATTTACTTTGGTAGCTACTCACCATCCATCCATTGTGTCTAGAATTCTACTTCATATTTCTAGCAAATCTTTATTTTAAAAGTCCAAAAGTACTTTCATATTTGTCCTGGCATTGGGTCCTCTCAGTATCTTACTTTTTTCTTCATTATAATGTGATGGTGTTTTTCTGGGGGTGGCACAGCAATACTAGGAAACATTACTTTCCAAGCATTCCATATCTAAACAAATCGCGGCCGGGTGCGGTGGCTCACGCCTGTAATCCCAGCACTTTGGGAGGCCGAGGCGTGAGGATCACGAAGTCAGGAGATAGAGACCATCATAGCTAACACGGTGAAATCCCGTCTCTTCTAAAAATACAAAAAATTAGCCGGGCACGGTGGCGGGTGCCTATAGTCCCAGCTACTCAGGAGGCTGAGGCAGGAGAATGGCGCGAACCTGGGAGGCGGAGCTTTCAGTGAGCCGAGATCGGGCCACTGCACTCCAGCCTGGGCGACAGAGCGAGACTCCGTCTCAAAAAAAAATAAAATAAATAAAATAAAAAAAACCACGAATCTCATTTTTATCTCTCCACATTTTGTCTCAAGACATGCCAATTTTCGTGGGCTACCTAATTTGAATTTCAAAACTTTGTTTTCTTTTTAGAGACAGGGTCTTGCTCTGTCACCCAGGCTGGAGTGCAGTGGCACAATCATGGCTCACTGCAGCCTCAAGCTCCCATGCTTAAGCTATCATCCCACCTCAGTCTCCTGAGGGTAGCTAGTACTACAGGCACGCACCAATGCACCACCACACCCGGCTATTTTTTTTTTTTTTTTAAGTTTTTGAAGCGATGGGATCTTGCTATGTTGCCTAGGCTGGTCTCAAACTCCTGGTGTCAAGCCGTCCTCCCTCCTTAGCCTCCCAAAGCTCTGAGATTACAGGTATGAGCCACTATGCCCAGCCCAAGTTTCAAAGGTTTTAAAGTCAAATATTCACTGAAAATATAAGTTGTCTTATTACCTCCATATTAGGTTATTTGGCCTGCTTCCCTCTGCAGCTATTGTTTATTTACTTTCAGTTTTGGAGTTAGAAGATTTAGGGGTTCAGTTACTAATTTTACAGAGAGTCAAACTGAGACAGAGTCAAACAGAGAGACCTACACTTAAGAGTGCCCATGCCAAGTCTGAAAATGAGACATTTTAACTCTTGTCCCAGTCCTTCAAGGGTAACTGGGCTCTACTTAATGGCCTATGGCCACTGATTTGAACCCACTGGTTTTGGACAATGGTCAGTTATCTACTTTAGTAGCTAAGGCAGATTACAGGTGTTTTGTTTTGTTTTTTTTTTTTACTAAAACACACCAGTGTTGGGAGAAACTATGACTTGAAACAGTTTCCTCATCTTTCTCTGAGAAGGCTGGCCCAGCACCTACAGACTCAGATTGTCAGACATTCACCTAATGGAAAGTATGGGAAACAGGCCAAAGGCAAAGACAGACAAGAAATAAGGAGACAGAGAAGAGACACACATATCTAACATAAAAAGATTGATGACAGGGTCTTATTAGAACTGCAAGATGTTAAAAATGAAAGGGCCCATATGAATCATAGAGGGGCTGACCAAGTTGGCTTCAATTGTGAATTCCAAACATTTAAGGAAGAGATAATACCAGTTCTACACAAACTCTTCCAAAAAATTGGAGGAAACACTTCTCAGCTCATTCTATAAGGCCAGTATTACCCTGACACCAAAACCAGATAAAAAACATCACAAGAAAAGAAAATGACAGATGAAGATCCATCCTGAACACAGTTTCAAACTCTTAACATTTTAGCAAATTGAATCCCACAATATCTAAAAAGGATAGGCTGGGAGCGGTGGCCCACGCCTGTAATCCCAGCACTTTGGGTGGTCGAGGTGGGTGGATCACTTGAGGTCAGGAGTTCAAGCCAGCGTGGCCAACATGGTGAAATTCTGTCTCTACTAAAAAAATACAAAAAAATTAGCCGGGCGTGGTGGCACGTGCCTGTAGTCCCAGCTACTCGGGAGGCTGAGGAAGGAGAATCGCTTGAACCCAGGAGGTGGAGGTTGCAGTGAGCCGAGATTGCGCCGCTGCACTCCAGCCTGGGCAACAGAGTGAGACTCCATCTCAAAAAAAAGGGGAAAAAACATCATGATCAAGTGTGATTTATCCTGGAAATGCAAGGTTAGTTCAACATTCAAAAATCGATCAATGCAATATGCAGTTATACCAGACTTAAAATTAAAAATGTATATATAATCATCTCAACCAATGCAGAAAAAGCATTTGACAAAATCCAGTATCCATTCAAAATTTTAAAAAAACTCTTAGCAAACCAGAAATACAAGGGAACTTTCACAACCTGATAGAGGGCAACCATGAAAAGCCTATAGCTAACATCATCTTGTGAAAGACTGAATGGTTCCACACTACGGTTAGGAATAGGGTGCCAGGTGCAGTGGGTCACACCTCTAATCCCAGCAATTTGGGAGGCCGAGGCGGGTGGACCACTTGAGTCCAGGAGTTCAAGACCAGCCTGGGCAACATAGTGAGACCCCACTCTCTACAAAAAATACAAAAATTAGCTAGGCCTGGTGGCACGCACCTGGAGTTCCAGCTACTCAAGAGGCTGAGTCAGTAGGATCACCTGAGCCTGGGGAGGTGGAGGCTACAGTGAGTGTGATCGCACCACTGCACTCCAGCCTGGGCAACAGAGTGAGACCCTGTCTCAAACAAACAAACAAACAAACAAAAAGGATACAAAAAGGATGTCTGCTCTCACTAATTCTATTTAACATTCCATTGGAGGTTCTAGCTAATGCAATAAGACAGTAAGAAGACGTGGGAGGGTGGGAAGAGGGAGAGTAGCAGAAAAGATATTTACTGGGTACTGGGCTTAATACCTGGGTGATAAAATAATATGTACAACAAACCCCCGTGACACATGTTTACCTATGTAACATATCTTCACATGTACCCCCAAACCTAAAATAAAAGTTAAAAACGAACAAACAAGACAGCAAAAAGAAATAGAAGACACACAGGTAGGAAATGAAGAAGTAAAACCGTCTTTATTTACAGACAACATTATAATTTACCTAGAAAAATCAAAGGACTCTACAAAAAAAGCTACTAGAACTAACAAATAAGCTAAGCAAGATCTCAGAATATACAAAGTCAATATACAAAAACAAATTGTATTTATATATACTAGCAATGGATAATTAAACATCGAATAAAAATACCATTTGCAATGTCATCAAAAATTTGTAATACTTATGGATAAATTTGATTTAAAACATGTCAGACCTCTATATTGAAAATTACAAAAAGTTGCTAAGAGAAATTAAAGAAGACAAATAAATGGAGGGATATATATTGTTCATGGGTCAGATGTCAATTCTCTCCAATTGTTCTGTAGATACAATGCAACCCTAATTAACATCCCAGCGAGGTTTTTTTGATAGAATTTTGCAAGTTGATTCTCAAATTTAAGTGTAAAGGAAAAGAACATAGAATTGAGAAAATAATTTTGACAAGGAATAAAGTTAGAATACTTATATTATCTCGTTTCAAGACTTACTATAAAATTACACTGTTGGTAGGAATGTAAATTAGTACAGCCATTATGGAAAACAGTGTGGTGATTTCTCAAAAAACTAAAAATAGAACTACTATATGACCCAGCAATCCCACTGCTAGATATTTATCCAAAGGAAAGAAAATCAGTATGTCAAAGAATTAAGTGTACTGCCATGTTTATTGCAGTACTATTCACAACGGCCAAGATATTGAATCAACCTAAGTGTTCATCAACAGATAAATGGATAAAGAAAATGTAGTATATATACACAAGGGAATACCATTTGGCCATCAAAAAGAATGAAATCCTGTCATTTGGTATTTGACTTTCTGTGCTAACTTATTTCACTGAAGATAATGGCCTCCAGTTCTATCCATGTTGCTGCAAAAGACATGATTTCATTCTTTTTTATGCTTGAGTAGTATTCTGTGGTATAAATATGCCACATTTCCTTTATCCAATCATCTACTGATGGACACCTAGGTTGATTCCATGACTTTGCTATTGTGAATATTGTAAACTTTGCTATTGTGAATATTGCTGTAATAAACATATGAGTGCAGGTATCATTTTTGTATAATGATTTATTTTCCTTTGAGTAGATACTCAGTAGCAGGGTTGCTGGATTGAATGGTAGTTCTGTCTTACATTCTTTGAGAAATCTGCAAACTGCTTTCCACAGTGACTGAACTAATTTACATTTCCACCAACAGTGTATAAGTGTTCCCTTTTCTCCACATTCTTGGTTTCCTGCATATCTACATATGTAAAAATGCGTCAAATTATACACTTGAAATATATGCGGTTTACTATTTGTAAATTATTCCTCAATAAAGCTTTGAAAAAACAAAAATAAAAAAAATCACAGATGAGGCTGGGCGCGGTTGCTCATGCCTGTAATCCTAACACTTTTGGAGGCTGAGACAGGCAGATGGCTTGAGCTCAGGAGTTCAAGACCAGCCTGGGCAACATGGCAAAACCCCGTCTCTACAAAAAAATAAAATAAAATAAAAATTAGCCAGGTGTGGTGGCACGGGCCTGTAGTCCCAGTTACTTGTGGTTGGGGGGGGAGCGGGTGTTGAGGTAGGAGGATCGCTTGAGCAGGAGATCGAGGCTGCAGTGAGCTGAGATTGCACCACTGCACTCCAGCCTGGGTGACAAAGCGAGACCCTGCCTCAAAAAAAAAAAAATAAATAAATAAATAAATAAATAAATAAATAATAAATATCACAGATGAGAACACTGAAGCTCAGAGAGGACATAAACTACTCAAGGACATACAGCAAGTCAATTGCTAACTAAGCCAGGATAAAAACCCCGATCTTTGGAGTCCTAATCCTGTGCTCCTTCTACTGCACTGTGATACCTGATAAGCCTCTGATAAGACTGTTCTGTCATATCTTCCCTTCTATTGCCCTCATCTTTCTGAGTCTCTCCCCTGGGGCTCCATGGGAAAGTCCCTGAGATCTCCCTTCTGCCCTAGACCTGCTTTTCTCTCTCTGCCCACTGAACCATTTACTTTGACCTCTCTCTCTCTTTAGACATTAAGTAAATCCCAACTTACCTCTCAGCCAAACTCACCTGCCTCCAGGGGTGCTTTTCTAGTATTCAATTAGGCAATGACATTATGGACTTGGCCTTCCTGAACTCTAGGGCAGTGCCTCCCAGCCTAGATTTACCTCGAGGTTTTTACAGTCCCCTTCCCAGGCTCCCTGCCCCATATCACTAGGCATGGAGAGGTATTAAGCAAAGACCGATCAATGATCTTTCTGTTGTTTACAGATGAAGACATGAGGCCTACAGACTTGGTTTATAGCAGGGTAGGGACAAGGTCTCAGGTCTCCTCCATCACCATGCCGTATCTACTTCCCTGTCTGGCTCTCTGTCATTTTAGCATCTCGGCCTTGCAACCTTTAAATGGTGGGTTGGAGGCCTTATGGTTACCAGAACCCTGTGAGGTTAGGAAAAGGAACCCTGAGCCCATGGGTCAGAAGGAGTGAGTGTGAAATTAGAACTGGGCAATGATGTCTAGAGCTCACCAGCTGCTTCTTATTAGGTTAGCAAATCTCTATACCCTCCTTGGAAACATGGCTGCTCCATTGATCTGTCCCACCACCAGAGAAGAAGCAGCAGGAGTCAGACGAACAATTTTCTAAGCTCAGCTTTCAGGAAGCATCAGTGCCTTTGTAAAGCCAAAACAAGAAACAAGTACCAAAATGATGAGCCTCTTCCTACCCTTGAGACTGAATAGGGCCCTGCTTATAGCTTTAAGGCCACTTTTGAGCTAAAGAGGCAGCCAGTTTGGGCAGCTGCTTCCAGCAGGCACCCCAATGGGACAGGTTATCACTCTGTTACCAGAAGCAACTCTCCCTACACTGTAGTTTAACATTAGGAAGGAAACCTGGGATGGTTGGTCTGGGGCAGATGACAAGGTAATCAATCCAGGGAAGGCTGGCTGCCAGGATTAATATGGCTTTGATCCTCAGAGCTGAGCCAAGCACTAATGTTGGCTCCACCGTCAGGGGGCCTGCTGCTACGACTTCATGAAGCATGAAAGCCTGCAGGAAATCTCAAGAGACCACTTAGGCCATGTTCCTGCCTCTGAGCAGGAATAGGCTGACAATCCCTAGCACCCTTGAATTACTTGTCTGAAGGAAGGGAGGTAGGGGAAAAGAAGGCAGAGGAACTGCAAAAGTATGGACAGAGCTCATTTTTCAATCTAAAATGCCTTTTCCAGGATACTGCCCCTTTTTGTTAAGTGTTTTCTGAGAGAGATGGGGAAAATGAGGAAACAGCAGAGGAAGGAAATCAAAAGCCCCTTCAGGACAGAGGATATTACATCGGTTGGCTAGTTAACAACCTGCTTCCCAGCTGGGAAATTTCCTTAAGCCTCACCTTAGCCTCTCTGAAATAAGGCTGGGACCTCTGTCACTACAGGAAGGTTCTAGGATAGATGAATTTTCCTCCTTTAGAATTTTTTTTTCCTAGCCACTAAACTATCAGGGATGGGCTGAATTAATCTTTCTATAATGTTTGTATAATGCTAAATGTGCAGGCTCTGAGTCAGACAGACATGGATTTAAGAACAAGGTGTATGTACCTGCTATTTGTGTTTTTTGTGTGTTTGTTTGTTTGTTTGAGACAGGATCTTGCTCTGTCACCCGGGTTGGAGTGCAGTGGCATGATTACAGTTCACTGCAGCCTCAACCTCCAAAGCTCAAGTGATCTTCTCACCTCAGCCTCCCGTGTGGCTGGGTCTACAGATGCGCCATTACACTCCGCTAATTTTTGTATTTTTTGTAGAGTTGGGGTTTCTGCCATTTTGCCCAGGCTGGTCTCGAACTCCTGAGCTCAAGTCATCTGCCCACCTTGGCCTCCCAAAATGCTGGGACTGCAGGCGTGAGCCATTGCTCTACATCCTCACTTTCTATTTGACCTTGAGCAACTTATTTCACATCTCTAAGCCTCAGTTTTCTCATCCGGAAAATGGATCTTATAAAAGTACCAACTAAATGATTGTTCTGTGAGGATTAGGTGAGCTAATGTAAGAGACCTGGCTTGTATGACTTAAATATAGTCCTGGGGAAGGCAGATGTGGACAGACACTTCTCCAGGCTGCTAATGAAGAGAGCACATGTCCCAGGCCCTCAGTAGGGCAAATGCAAAGTGAACTCTGGGTCTGGGTTGGGTACTGGCTACTTATGTGACAGGTGCCTCTGTAGTAGGGGTGGGAGTGGTAGAGTAGCAGAAGGTTGGAGGTCAAAGTTTCTAACCCCTTCCTCTAATTCAATATGCCAGGAGGCAAGATGGGTGGGTGGGAAGGGAAGGCAATAGCCACTCATGCCAGCACTGATCAAGCCAGAGTCGATGGACTCAAGAGCGACCTGGCAGTAAGGGGGAAGGTCCCAACACCTTTGTAATTTAATGTCAATCTCACCTCACCTCTGTAGAGTTCTTTTATCTCCCAAAACCCTTTTTCAGCACTTATCTCATTAGATCTTCACAGCAACTGTGTAAGATAAATAGGGCAGCAAATGTCCTTCCTCACATATTTCTTTTCTTCATAGTAGAAGTAGAAGTAGTAGTACTACTAGTAGTAACAATAGTTAACACTTACTTAGCACTTACTATGTGACAGACACCGTGTCAAATTCTTTACATATATTAGCTATGCTATTTCATTTAATTTTCACACCAACTGCATAAAGTAAATAATATTAGTGTTCCATTTACTTGCCCTCAAGTAAATAAACATACCAAGAAAGACTTGGTAAGTAGACTAGGTCACACAGCTAGTAAGTGGTAGAGTTGGCATCCAATCCAGGTCTGTCTGACAATAAGGTCTTTGCTCTTAGCTATTATGCTATATGTACCCTATTTTGCAAAGAAAGAAATTGAGGCTGAAGAGTTTGAATGTCTTCTCCAAGGATACGAAGCAAGTTAGTACCAGAAGACCAGAAGTAGGCCTAACTTTGGGTCTTCTGACCCTCCATCTAACGTTATTTCCCTTATTCCCAGCTGCATTATCTATGGCATGCCCTCACACACTTGGTACTATGCTCCAGGCTCCTGTGGTCACTATGAGATTGGAACATCAGGGATCAGGTAAACATGCCATCTTCCAGCAAGGTCAAGGGTTAATCTTCATTCCTTGATGCCTGATCTGTAACGAAGGTGCAAAGAAGGCAAACAGCTTGCTCCAGACTCCCCACTGTACCAAGAGTGGAGAAATTCCACTCCTGAAGTTCTTAACTTTGAAGTCTGGGCTTGTTTCACTTGAATACCTATGTATGTGCCCACAAGACAGCAAAGAAAGCAGTATGGGTCAAAAGAAAATCAGAAAAAAGAAACCTAGTCTACTCCCCATCTCCTTTTAATTGGGTCTGTGTGAGGTGGCTGAAGAGAAGGTCAGGGTCCTTTAGAACAAGAGGGATTTGAAAAAATCATATAATTTGGGTAGAGGTAGAAGGAAGGTAATGTCAGGGTCTTAAAGGCTTGGAGTGTCTTCTTGTAGAGGCTCTGTGATGGTCCTGAAGAGGGTGGGGAGAGAACAGGAGTACAGGAAAGGTTGCAAACACATTTCCACCCTGGTCCTCAGCTCTGAAATCAACACTAAGAACCTGCCAGGATTTTGGCCTAGTGCTAGGGGTTGTAGTAGCTATGGAGTAATGCAATCCAAAGATCTGGCCAGTCCAAGCAGAAGGCTAACACACATGTAAAGGGAGCTTGTTTGGTGATCCCAAATGCCAGCCCGTGGACCATGCTTGACTAGCTGCATCTGCACCATGTGGGTAATATGAGGGCACTGCCAGGTTTGAGAGGCAATGGATTGGATCAACTACTATTGTCAATTGTCAGGGTCCGTTGTGGGGAACAGGAAGAGCAGGAGAAGGAGGTTAGAGGGACCATCTGGCTGGAGTTCTCATTCACAAAAGATCTCTAGTGTACACTTTATCTATCCTGTAATTATCTTGTGAATGCCATCTATTTCATTATATTTGCTTGATATGTGTTACAATGTTTAGCTGTTAAAAGTAAGTATTTCAAAAGTACCACAATTTTTGAGACTGTATTTTGGCATTTCTTCATTTACAAATATCCAGAGAGCCTCACAAAATAAATGTGTTGTAAGCCTTCCACCAACTCCTGAGTGTAGAGATCTTTGAATGACAGGGTCAAGAAATGCACTTGAACCTTTAGGAACTGGAGAGCCCACACAAGTCCTAGTGGAATGTTAAAAACTATGACTGTGGTTATTATATCCGCAAGGGTATGGAGGCAGGACTGAAGCTGCCACTGATGAGGCTGGTATCTGAATTTTTTAGGGAGGGTAGGAAGGAGCCTGGTCTGGGGACCTACTGAATGGTAGCAGAGATAAGACTGAATCACATACGCAAGAGTTTGGAATAACAACACAGTGATCATCTAGACTAACCTCCTCATTTTACATGTGGAGAAACTGAGGCCCAGGAAGATTAAATGATATCACCCAAAGTCACAAATCTGTTAGTACCAGAGCCTAAAGTAACACACTGTATTTTTCTACTACACAAAGATTTAAGATATCAAAAGAGACAAGAGTCTGTCTGCAGAGGGGAGAGGAGATAGCTGAGAAGGACTACAAGGTTTTTTTTATGTTCAAATTAATATATTCTTTTTTATTATTATTATACTTTAAGTACTAGGGTACATGTGCACAATGTGCAGGTTTGTTAATATGTATACATGTGCCATGTTGGTGTGCTGCACCCATTAATTCATCATTTACATTAGGTATATCTCCTAATGCTTAAGCCTATACCTATATCCCAGATAGTGCTTGAACACAGGACTCCAAAAATGTTTTCTGTACCCTCCCGTCCCTGTGGAGGGTAGACAGGATTTTGGGGAACACTTTGAAGAGAGTCGCTGAGGCCATACCCTTAGGCCTGAGGCATGGAATACCCCAGACGCACTTTCCATGCGGTGGGCCAGCAGCTGGTCTGGGCTTTGGCTAATGGTGTCCATGTGGTAACTTTTGCTGGAGCAGAGGGGGGGCCCACCAGAGACAGCAGTAGCAGCACTGGGTCCTTGTTCCATGCTCTACCTGCTCCAGGGTTATAGTTGCACCTTCTACAACCTCCCCATGAAACTGGCTAGTGCTTTTGTCATCAGCTGCCTCTGAAAAGTCTTTTCATCAACAGGCCTGAGGATTGTAAGCCCTCTGCCCTCCTCCTACCCTAGGCTCTTTGTTCTCTGTACTGTCTGCCAATCCCAGGTAAATAGCATGTCCATTGGGGCACAAGTAGAGGCCAAACTGTTCTGGGCATACTACAGGTCTCTCTGGGGAGAGTTTGGTCGACACTAAAGAATAATATGGCAATTGACTGCCCAGTTCTAGCACCACAAAACCTGAATCAGAAGCCTGGCTTCACCATTTACCATTTATATTACCATTTATATTTCTTCAGGCAGGTAACTAAAACCTTTCAAACTTAATCTCCTACTCTGTAAAATGAGAGAAATTGTCACATTGTAGGGTTATTGTAAAGACTATATGAAACAATATAGGTTGGTGCAAAAGTAATTGCAGTTTTGCCATTACTCTCAATGGCGAAAACTGCAATTACTTTTGCACCAGCCTAATATATGAAGAAAAATTAATGGCACATAAATGGGGGGAAACATATTTTATTATATGTACCATGCTAATTTTGAGAAGGACTTTTAATTTTAATAATTAGAATGGGACAATATTTATAAACTGGAACATCCGGTCATTCTATTTATAAAGGATACCTATTATTAAAAGAACCTTACTTTGAGTTCTGCAATCGATTGCTGTAGAATTTTGTGCAAATGACCTTTGTTCTCTAGAACTCATTTTGTCCAATTGTGAAACAAAGTAAACAGGGTGCAAGGGGGAAGCTCAGAATTACATTGAGGTTGATAATTGCCTCTGAGAGATTCATCAAAAATTGTACATCTGGAAAACTAAATGTTGTATGTTCTCACTGATATGTGGGAGCTAAGCGATAAGGATACAAAGGCATGAGAATGATACAATGGACTTCGGGGACTTCCAGAGAAGAGTGTGGCGGGGCGAGGAATAAAAGACTATAAATATGGTGCAGTGTATACTGCTTGGGTGATGGGTGCACCAAAATCTCACAAATCACCACTAAAGAACTTAGGTAACCAAATACCACCTGTACCCCAATAACATATGGAAAATTTTTTTAAAATATACATTCTATTCCAGAATATAGCTCTGCAATAAGCACTGTTTTAAATTACTAGCAACTGAGTAATACAGGAGTTTCCAGCTTTCTGGTTCCTGGAAGAGGGTCAAATGCCCTGTGTTCCCTGGACCTCAATTACCAGCTCTGAGAAATAAGGGACAGGATGTCACCATACCCGTGTTTCCTCCTTCATCCAAAGTCTGATGGGGGTGGGGCAGACCTTACGCCAGTTTTAGCCAGTTTATAGAGAATGTGCACAAACTGTCTTGTGTCCCAAGACAGTTTTGACATAAAAAGCCAAATTATACCTCATTTTAATGCCAAAACCTCACCCCAAAGTGAACTTGGGATGTATGTTACAACATGTTTAGCCAATGTGCATGCACTTGGCTCTTCTCATAAATATGTATAGCTTTCCCCTCAAACCTACTGAATATGTAAGATACCAGTCCTGTGAGGCATAAGACCCAATCTGTCCTTCCCTTCTTTGAAGAGAGTACCTTTGGTCACTCTCTTTGCTGGAGACTTTCTCTTCCCAGCTTGCAGACCAATATTGCTAATAAAGTTCTCCTTTCTACTATTTAGCCATCCTAGTGGTTTTTTGGATAATACCAGTAAAAAAAATATTTTATTCAGAAACTATTACAAGAGATGATGGGGCGTGGTGGCTCACACCTGTAATCCCAGCACTTTGGGAGGCCAAGGTGGGCAGATCACTTGAGGCCCAGAGGTTGAGACTAGCCCGGCCAACATGGCAAAACCCCATCTCTACTAAAAGTACAAAAATGAGCCAGATGTGGTGGCGCATGCTTGCAATCCCAGCTACTTGGGTGGCTGAGGCACAATAATTGCTTTAACCTGGGAGGTGGAGGTTGCAGTGAGCTGAGACTGGGCCACTGAACTCCAGCCTGGGTGACAGAGTGAAACTCTATCTGGAAAAAAAAAAAAAAAGAAAGAAAGAAAGAAAAGAAAAAAGAAATTATTGCAAGAGAGGAAAACCTCAGTATGGAACTGGTCCCAATTCTGAATATTGAGGAGGAGATGAATACTGAATTCTGTGGGGCTGGGAATGCTTAGTCAAGGAGAAGAGTAGTGGTGGGTGCAGCCAGGGGGTGCAACTGATAAGAGACATCAAGGATAGAGAGGATTCTTGTTAGATTGACCAAACAGGATTCTTTCTGAGAGCAGACTAATCAGATATTAAGAATGAGGGGATTCTCTTTAAACTGACTTTGCCAGATTACTGCAAATTGGGGCTATGCAGGTGTAGCAATGATGAGGGCAAGGTCCAGATACAGCCAAGAAGAGGACTTAGAAGAGCCTGACTAAAATTTGATTCCAAAGAGATTCATTGCCAATGCCACCATGCCTGTGCCTTCTCCTTCATCCAAAGTCTGACTGGGGTCTGGCCTAGGAGAGAGAAGGGAGGTGGAACCCTGAGCCCCAAAGGACTGGAGACCCACTGTATTCCATAGGCACAGGCCCCTTACCTGGGCCAGTAGCCAAAAGCAAAAACCCCCAGGTGGATGAAGAGTCAGTGGAGGAGGGGGTCATGTCGGGGATCAGAGGGCCCATCTGCTCTTTTGAGAAAACAGACAGCTCCTCAATAGCTCAGGATTTACAAACCAGCCTTGAGAAGAGGAAGACCCAGAAACCCGAACAATGGGACTGACCAGGCAGCTAAAATAAAGCATTTCCTTAGTATTTCCTTGAAAGTGTACTCAACCAATGGGTTCTTCCTGCCCATTGCACAGACAAAACCAATTCACTGAGACCATGCTATTGCAGTAGAGAAATAAGCTTTATTAACACAAGGTCAGCCATGCAGAAGACAGAGTTATTACTCAAATCAGTCTCCCCAAAGGCTCAGAGGTTAGAGTTTTTCAAGGATAGTTTGGTGGACAGGGGACTAGAGAATGCATGCTGCTGACTGATTTGGGATCCAATCATAGAGGTGTGGAAAACTATGGTCATGTGCTGAGACTGCCTCTGGGTTGAGGGGGGTTAACAGGATCAGTTGGGTCATGAGTCTTGAGTCCACTTCTGGGTGGGGTCAGTTGATTGTCAGAATGTAAAAGTCTGAAAAATATCTCAGAAGACCAATCTTAGGTTCTATAATAGTGATGTTATCCACAGGAGTAATTGAAGAAGTTACAAATCTTGTGACCTCCAGAACAATGGCTGGTTATTGTCTAACTATACCCTACATCTTAGCAGAATTCAGGCTCCTCATAATCCTAATCTTGTGGCCTTTCATTAGTTTTACAAAGGCTGCTTAGTTTTGGGAAAGACTATTATCATCCTTCCTTTAAGGTTAAACCATAAACTAAATTCCTCCCAAAGTTAGCTTGGCCTATACCCAGGAGTGACCAAGGACTGCTTGGAGGTTAGAAGCAAGATGGACTCAACTATGTCAGATTTCCCTTACTGTCATCATTTTGCAAAGGTGGTTACAAAAATCCCACTTAAACGTCTCTGCATGTCACTGAACACATTAAATATAGAATCCACAGGACATTTTCTCATTCGTTCCCCCTTCCTTCCAGTGTCATCCCCCCCACCCCCATACATAGGAGAAGAGCAGCAAGGATGTACAAAAGGGGCAGCCTTGCTCAGGGACCTTTATGTTCATTATCAATGTCAATGAAAGCTAAATCACGGGCACTGGTTTGAAGAAGGAAACATTTTGGCCCTCTGCATCAGCAGGGAAGAGAAGAAAAGATTTTACAGAACAATTGATAGAAATTGTGCTATTATCTGAGGCCCTACAGCCCACACTTCACATCCCCACAGCCAGCAAAAGAAAGGGCACCCAGTTTCAATATGCAATTTCTGCTTGGAAAAACCACTGAAGCTTTAACCATGAGCTTTGGGGTACCGACCCCAAAACTTTGAGAACCAAAAACAAAAAACTTTGAGAACCTCTAGTATAAAGAAGGGTAGCCTCAGCTCTCCTCCAAGCCCCAGAAGCTGCCCAATTCTCGCTGAGATGACAAAAAGTGCTGGAAGGTCATGCACATCCTCAAACTTCTTTGTCTGTCCTGAAGAGGGGAGACCAATTGCTCCCTAAGGCTACCATCTCCAAGCAACCAGAACTGACTCCCCCAGAAATGGGCACAGCCAGTGATATGGAAGTGCTAGGAAGGAAAGAGCATGGTCCCTTTAAATGATACAAGGGGTTAAGGTCCTGGCCCCTGGCTGGGGCTTCACCCCGGACCTGTGCCTATGGACCTAAGTGAGGACAGGCATTTTTGTTTATCTGCCCAAATGTTGCATTTCCCAAGACCTCCCCTGGCCTGCCACACCCCCATCCTGTGCCTATAAGAACCCCTAGACCCTAGCAGGCACACACACAAGCTGCTGGACGTCCAGAGGAGCAGATCAGCAGAAAAAGACACAGGCAGCTAAACACAGAGAGGAGCGCATCAGTGGAGGAACACAGGGGCAGCTGGACGTCCAGAAGAATGCACCAACAGGCACTAGCACACCTGCAGGCCTCGAACAGCCCCGACCAGCAGAACAACGTGGAGTTTGACTGGGACACTCGGAGGAGAGCCCAGGCCACTGAGCGACCCGACTCCAGGGGAAAACCCTCCCATTCTAGCTCCTTCTGGCTTCCCCCAACTGCTGAGAGCCACCTCCACTCAATAAAACCTTGCACTCATTCTCCAAGCCCAGATGTGATCTGATTCTTCTGGTACACCAAGGCAAGAACCCAGGATACAGATAATCCTCTGTCCTTGTGACAAGGTAGAGGGTCTAATTGATCTTCACCAGGACACAGCCTGCAGCACAGGATGGTTCTTGAGCACCTGAGATGGGTTGTTCTGGGTTCCCACAGTTCCCTGGCTTACTTCAGCCTGGGGTAGCTCCCTGGATCAGAATCCTCTCTTGAGCATCTGCCCCTGCTGAGCTAGGCTGCAAGTTCCTGAGAGAGAGGGCTGAGGCCATGTCCCCCTTGTTTACTGTTTGATGCCCAGTAACTCAGTCACTATTTGTTGAATACATGAAGCTGCTGGGAGACTCGTGGCCCCTGGGTGGGATGGTCAAGTTAGAGTCCCATCTCAGTTACCTGATAGTCAGATATGCTTGTAATCTCTTCTCCTGTGGGGTGTGTGTGTGTGTGTGTGCGTGTGTGTGTGTGTGTGTGTGTGTTTTCTGTCTTCCCCAAGGAGGACCCAGGAGCTCCCTGAGGATTTGTTTCATAAACTGCTTTTAGTTAATGCCCTAACTCTGCTCCTTAGGCTCTCCTCTTCACCATCCCCACCCCTGACCAGGAAAGATCCCTTCTGAGGGGTCCCCAGCTGTTCCCTTCTCCAGCTCTGTGTTTCCTGGGGAAAGTTCCTGCTTCCTTATCTGGAAGACCGGGCAGTTGGGCTCCTTGAAGAGCAAGGAGCCAGTTGGTTCCATGATCTCTCATCTGCCTGTGGCCTGAACACTGCCCCCTCCTGAACACCTTGGGGATCGGGAGCAGGGACTTGGCTGGGTCTAGACCCCACTCTCCCACCATGGTGGCTTGAGTTGTGGTGATGAAAATGCCTGTTGCCTGCCCAGGCACTTCTGGGACAATAAACATGCTTATCTAGACAAGGGCCTCGGCCAGAGGAAACAAGGCTCAGAGACAGAAGCAAAAAGGCAGGAAGACCTTCCTGACAGTAAAGGTAATTAAGACCAGAAACCATTTACCAAGGAATGTATGGGTCTCCTTTTCCTGGAGATTATAGAAACCTGGAAGCTAATGGGCCCCCAGAGAGCAGCTGGTCCAGCCCCTTCATTGTATAGATAAGAAAACTGAGTCCCACAAAAGAAGGTCCCTGCCCAGGGTCACAGAGCTGCATAATGTAAGAGCAGAGACCAAGACCTGATGCTGGGACTCTCTGGCCAGATCAGTTTCCATTACTCCAAGCTGAGAGGCCTCCTTCAACCACAGGACAGCCTGGCTGATTTTCTCGAGTATCTTTGCTGTACAGATGAGAACTTCTTGTCCCCAGAGGGTAAAAGGCCTGTGGGAGGGAGAGGTGAGGCCAAAGCCCCTGTCCTCAGGATGCTCAGGCCCAGGATGTTGCCTGGACACTCCCTTTCCCCTGCTGAGGACAAGAGGGACACTGTCACTCTGGCATTGCTGATGGCTGGCTCCCTGGCTGGTATCTGTGATCTCTCCCCGGAGACTTCCCTGTACTTGCAGTGCACCCTCCCCTGCCACACACACACACACAGAAAGCCCCTCACTCGGGCAGTCAGCACTCCTTTGGGGAGCTGCTTCCAAAAGGCTCACCTGGGGTGTGGGGCACAGATATTTAGGAATCAAGGTTTCTTCTGGGTGAGGGGGAGACTGAGGCACATGCACCCAAGGGCAGTCACCTGGGAGGAGAGAAATGGGCCAGGGAGATCACAGAAGGTGGGCTTGCACTGGTTTTGACAGATCCTGGGTAGGACCTGGACTAGTATGAGGGTGGGGGCAGGAGTGGTGGAGGCCTTTACTGCCCCCTTCCTAAAGGCTTCCCTCACCTTTCTGGAGGTAGAGCAGGTAGGGGTGTCAGAGTGTGGTCATTATAGCACATACAGGAGTTTGGACTCCTGATATGAGTTAACAACCTGACCCAGTCCCTCAGTAGCTGGGTGACACTGAGCTCTTCATTCTTGAATCTCAGTCTCATCTCAAAATTTGGGAACTAACAATACCTTCTGTAAATCAAAGTGGAGCTCACAGGGGTCTCAGGAAGAGCCTGCAGGTCCATGGTTTCCAGGACAATCCTAGTTCCTTGTAATTTCAGGATATTCATAAGGAGGAACTCATAGATTAATTTATTTACATCCTGACTACAAAAAGTGGAAAAAACACCATAACATGAACCCTCCATAACATTGATGAGACATGAGACATTTAAAGTTTGGACATTCCCTGGGTATTTGACGATATTATGGAATGATTACTAATTACTTTAGGTGTTATAACGACACTGTAGTTATGCTGAAAGGGGTTCTTGTCTTTCAGAGCTCCATATTGAAATACTTACGGATCCAATGACGTGTGACTGGCCAGGCGCTGATAATTGTTGAAGCTGGATGCTGTGTACAGGAGGGGTCACTACGCCCTTCCACTTGTGTATAGGCTTGAAATTTTCCATAACGACATGCTTTAAATATGAAATAGAGAAGCGTGGAGCAGTTTACCCAATTGTGGCATATCTGTCCTTTGGAAGACTTTTCAAATACACATAACACTGGCAAATGTAAGAAAAGCCTTGTATCCAAAGTGTGAGCACCAGCAGTATTGCCGATGGGTGCTTGTGACTGGAGACAGCAACTGCACCCCCTCATTTCAGCCCCTCATTGAGAAGCATCTGTGTTGCTCCTCTCAGCCTGTGGCAGCTGGTTTGGTTGCCAGGCAATGGAAGGCAGAGACCAGAAGCTCTTTTCTTGGGAGGAAGAAAGGGGAGAGGGAGGGGAGAAGCAAGAAAGAAGCTCACAGCTGGAAGGCTTGTTCCCGCCTGAGAGTCTGGCCCAGGGCTGGGGGGATGGGAATGGGGGTAAGGTCCTCACAACCCCCACTTTCCGTGGTTTACTCCTGGTGGACAGCCCTACTTTCAGAGCTTGAAGCCCCAGAGAGACAGAGAGGGAATGCACGCACCTGCACCTCCTGTGAAGGTCAGAGAAATCTGTGACTAAGGAAGATGCCAATTAGCACCAGTCCACAGAGTTAGAGCTCTGGACAGACCTCTCCTGGGTACTTCTAAACTCTTGTTATTTCAACAATTCTAGGAAAGCAGCTCGTCAAATGAAAAAATCTGCATTGGCGATCACCCTGAGCTCGGGCCATCCCAGAAGGCAAGAGGGCAGGGTTCTTCTTAGGTGGTGGAGAAGTGTGTTCTTGCTGTCCTTCGGGGACGGGAAGCAGAAGCCTCTGGCACTGCACAGTGGCCTGGCAGTCTCATGGGTGCTGACTGTGTTGGGGAGCCCCACGTTCTGGCATTCCTTCAGACCTGGCTGTCACCAAAGGGCTGTGTGGGCCCAAGCCTGTCCTGACTGTCAGTTTCCTGATCTCTAGGAGGGAATTATCTTATATGGTCTCTTGCCTCTCTTCACGCTCAAATGGACTGGATTACAACACGCTCCCCAACCTCCACCCCGAGCAGGAATTGCTCTCACCCAGGGTTATAGGAGCCTGTGTGGCACACCCTACTCCCACCCACCAGGCTAGACTGAAGTAACCAACACAGCTGGTTACTTACCTCTGTCCCTCTTCAGTGAGGGCACTTCCCAGAGCCACACTATTGTGAACATGACTGCCTCCTGGTGGCCTGGGAGGTGGGATTCAGAGGGGCTCCAGGCAGGCAGGTTGGGGGTTGAGGTCAGAAGCTGCCCCAGAGATCAGCTTTTCAAGAACAGACATCTGAGACAGAGTGTCTGTGCTGGATGAGAAAAACATCGGGGAGGCCAGCTGTCTATAGCTGAGCAAGAGCAGGGCCCAGACAGCCCCCTCTTTCTGCAGCATCTTTGTGGCTCCTGGTTGCTAGGAGCAGGTGCTTCTGTTACTAAGCAACAGGAGCTTGGTGGATTAAAACCAATTTCCTGAGCTCTCTAAAAGGGGGAGGGAAAGAAGGTGGAATGCAGATGGTCTAGGGAATCTCGTGTTTGCCCCCAGGCTTAGCTGGACGTTGGGGGTGGAGAGTGAACATGCACCAGGTACTCAGTATAAAGACTGAGAGTAAGACTGGCAATTAAGATGCTGATTAGAGCAGTAATGAATGAGTAATGAATGCTAATTCTGCTCCTTTGCAAAACCCCAGGAAAGGCCCGTGGTCCCTGGGGTGTTTCTGAACTCTTATTATGTCAAAAATCCTAGGAATCACCTGACTTGGCTAGACAAAACTGGGCAGAGTTCCTTCTCCAAACACAGAGGATCAATGAATTTTAGGGTCAATGGTCTCCCAAGGGTCCTGGGATTCTAACTCTAAATGAATGATAGAGGGTCCTGGACATGTGGCCCTCTACCTTTTACTTAGATAACCTCGGTGATGACAGGGAGCTCACTTCTTCCTGAAGCAGCTCTTTATGTACTTTACCCTTAGAATGTACTTTTTCTTGTGAAACCCAAGTCAGCCTCCCTGAGGCTCCTTCCCTAGGGGGCCAATGGAGCTACTCTAATCTGCTTTGCTATAGAGAGCTATAGCCTCTCTCTTCTATGAGTCCCCCTCCCACCACCAATATTCAACTCTTAGGGGCAAGACTCAGGGTAGGGAGTATGGGGGAGTGGCCTCACTTGCTCCCTTCTGATCCCCTATGTCCCACCTTGTGTTTAGCCTTTTTAAATGGCAAGTCGCTAGGATAGGCACATTTATCAAGAATGTCTAGACCCAATTTGGGCCTTAAATTCCAGGCTTCTCCCACTGTCCTGCTTACATAGGGACATCCTGTCCCAGGGCAGTGTTTTTGGGTTAGACAGATTGAAGAAATCTGTGTTGGGGGAAAGGAAGTGTTTACAGACTTAACAGAGAGGCTTCCAGTTCCAGAATGGGAGTATGAGGAGCCCTGTGGACCCAAAAGGAAAAACTGCAACTGGCGAAATTCATTTAAATATCAATTATTCAAAGTCTCTGGAAATTGTCCTAATTTTCTACAGCAAATGAAGGAACATTTATTCAAGAAACTCTAATACATCTTGGTAAGAATAGCAAGAGTCTCTGGTATTTAAGCCATAACCTGCTCCCATCTGTAAACCAAAAATAAAATTCTAAGGCTCGCCAACCATCTGAATGGACTTCCTCCTCAGCCAGGGCTCTTTTAGAACTTAATCTGAGAGACTGTTTCAGGCCATGATGGGAAGTGGGAGTCGAACATGCCTCATTATACCTCTCTGGTATTAACATCAACACAGACTTTAAGTCTGATAAGAAACATTTACAATGTATTCTCTCTGAAGCCTGCTAGCTAAAAGCTTCCTCTGCACAATTAAACTTTGGTCTCCACAATCCTTTATCTTAGCCCAAACATTTCCTTTCTATTGATCACAAGTCCTTAAGCAAACTCAACCAATTGCCAACCAGGAAATTTAAAAATTTACCTATGGCCTGGAAGCCCCAGCTTCAAGTTGTTTCACCTTTCTGAACCAAACCAATGTATATCTTAAATGTATTTGATTGATGTTTCATGCCCCTCTAAAATGTACAAAACCAAACTGCACCCAGACCATCTTGGACAAATGTTCTCAAGACCTTCTGAGGGCTGTGTCACGGGCCCTGGTCACTTATATTTGGTTCAGAATAAGTCTCTTCAAATATTTTACAGAGTTTGACTCTTTTCATTGACAATAATTTTGCACCCAACGTGGGACCTCAGAGAAGACTCAGGACCATGAAGGAAGTTGCCCAAACTCAGAGCTAAGGAGCAGAGGCCCATTGAAGCCTTCCTGACTTCGAGCTTCTCCTCTGGTGGAACTGGTAAGTCCTCCCGAGCCTTGGCCCTCCCGTTGGTTAATGGTCCTTGATTTATTCTGAGCTATTTTATTTTTCTCCTAGGAAGTTGTTTAAAGATCCTACTTCTAGTTCAGACGTGCATTTTAAAGAATCCTCTCCATTGCATTTTCTCCCAAAATTAATCTCAGTTTGGCTTGTCTGTGTGCATTTGCATGATAAATTATACTGTTGTTTTTATAGGTAAATGAGAAACTGTGTTTCCTTAGCTCTGAAGAGAAAACACATTTGCTTCTCCCAGGCAAAACGTGCCCCTGCGTGACCAAGGGCCTCATGGGAGTGTCTGGTGGAGGTTAACCCCCCATGATGTGCAGTGGCCCTACAGGGAACCCCCAAAAAAATTAGTTTTAAAAAAGGCTTATTCAGGAAACACATATAGGAGCTGGTCACTCCACGATTTGAGCCCTCCTGGAGGGGCTTAGACCTCCAGAGAGGAAAACTGAGATAAGTAAGAGGGCACAATGACTCAGTGGTGACACACTGTGAAGTCCTGCCTGCAAGCAACCCACTTCAACCCACTCCACAAAAGCCCCAGGCCACAGCTCAGTTCCTCCTTTTTTTTTTTTTTAAGTGTGGGAAACAAATAATCTAAGAATGAGGAGAAAACAAGGAGAATTACCCCCTTTGGGGCACTCCATTGGTTTTATGGCACCTCTACTTGCTAAAGTTTATGTAAAATGAAAATAGTATGGTCATTTTTCACATTTACGTTAAGGAAAAAGAACCCCAAGGTCAACCTGCAAACTCTAAAGTTCCTAAGTTCTCTTTTTCTCTATTTTCTTTTCTGCCTGCTTTAAATCTGCTGTTACCTTTCTACTGAGATAACAACCACTACTTGGATCTAACTATTTTTTTTTTTGCAAGCCAGTGAATTTGTATTTATCTCATGGCTAAAGTTCTGAAGTAAAAGCCATAGGATCTTTGCGTGTGTGTGTGTGTGTGTGTGTGTGTGTGTGTGTGTGTATGTGTGTGACCTTTATAATAGACTTCTATAATTTCATGTTTAATTGGCAAATTAAATCTGTTTTAATTTCCCTCTAGCACACCAGACTTTCTCTCTTGGTACCTTGAGATGTAAATTTTGCTGATTTTTCACCTAAGAGTTGTTTCCTTTAATAGGCAAATGTAGGGCTATTTAGCTGACAACTGTCTAGGTTGATGAAACAGGTTATCAAGAATTTAAAAGTCTAAGTTAGGAAACAATGAGGTCTTATGAATCTATAAGATGTACTTCTATCGGCATGCCTAATACATCTATGTATTTATGTGTTGTGTACACAATGTTTCACTACTAAAAATATATAAAAGAGCTCTAATTAATTGGCTTAAAGAAAAACAAGTGCTTAAATAAAATATTTTATCAAAAAAAGACTAGTCAAATGCTTTTTGAAGTTCACATCACTTGAGTAAAATCTTTAATAAATAAGCTGGCTTTAAAATTATTGGTAAAATAATATTAGAAATGTTTTAAGAATTATTAGCATTTTTGTTTGTGTTTATTGATCAAGTGCTTTCATGCTTATTCCTCCAGAATACAAGATTAGTCATAAGGGTTATAAAACTATAAAACCCAGCCAAAGGCAGAATGATCTTTGCTTGTATAATTTTTGATAAGTAAGATGGAATATTGCTGGTTTAATGAAAACAGCTAAATCCTGAGTTCTTGGTAAAAAATACCCTTATATTTAACCCTAAGTTTGTTACTTAAGGAAACACCTGAAATTCAAAGCCATCAAAATGGTTAACAGGGAAGTAACTTAAAGAATGACTAACACCTGAAATTCACGGCTATCAAAATGGTTAACCGGGAAGTAACTTAAGGAATGACTATCACAGTTTTTGTATATAATCTAGGTAAACAATTAAATCAATCAATCAGGTAAATATAATGAAAGAAATGCTTGTAAACAAACTTGTCATATAATTTAGGATCTAAGGTTATTAATAAATATTAAGTATCTGGGTAATTTCCAATTTTAAAACTATAGTAAAACTTTTTTTAAAGTGTTCTTATTAAAAGGTAAATATCTTCATCTAATTCTAAGTTTATTTAAGGGTTATGTATAAAACAAGGTAAAAGGAACCAGAAAATAACAGATGGAAAGAAAGTTAATGATATAAAGAGGTATTTTTCAGTAAAGAAGGTAAAAATGAAAGTAATTTTATATAAGAAAGAATCTTGTGTGGTGAATTTTTGTCCTAAAATAAAATGACTGGGTTGTTCAAGAAAGAGAGATATTTAGGACAAAACAGAAAATCCAAACATGTTGTGAATAGTCTATGCAAGTCGTAATAATGTTAGTAAAAAGGAATTTTGTTTAAAAAAAAGGGTTGTATAATTTAGTTGACTATGATTAAGAAAAAATTATAATAGTCTTTCTAGAGATGAGTCTTTGTTATTAAAAATATATACACTAATACAAAACTAAATAATTGGTTAAAACAAGATTTTGTTTAAAATATTGACTTATTCTTAATGCAATAAATTTTTATATAATCTGTCTGTTAAAAATTCTTCAGATAAACATCTCAAAGGTTCAATTCTTTCTCTTTTAAAAAGGCCTTGGATAATAGCTCTCTCCTTCACCTTTTCTTGACTCCTATAACTTTTATTAATTACCTAAAGTAAGGGAGATAATTTTTTAAAAAACAGGTAAAAATATATTTTGGACCTGCTTTTTTATTCTGCATGCCTGTTATATCTCTATCTTTATATGTGTCATATGGAAGTGACATTTCACTACCAAACTACATGGAGGAGCTCTAATCAAGTAATTTTTTTGAAAGTACATATTTATTAGACTGGTAGAGGCTAGCTCAGATACCTTTTAATTCACATGACTTTGGTAATCTTTGGTAAAATTAATTTGGTAAATTTAATCTCAACTCTCTCCAGTAATTTAAAATCTTAAAGTAATGTTATGTTAAAACATAACTGAGAATTTTTACTGGGAATTTTGGTTACTACAAGCTAAAATAGTAAATGCATAAAATATGTTTTTGGTGAAGTTTATAAAACACAAGGATGTTGATTTTTCTTAAAAAATTGTGTTTATTTCTAAACTATTTAAGAGTTGCTTTAAAATGAAGGAAAAAGTATACAGATAAAACTAAATGGAAAAAAAAACCAACAATTATGCCAGGGCAACAAAAGTTAACTCTGAGACCTGTGGCTACCAACAAGTTGATGTGGAGGAAGGGCAAAACCAAGTAACTTTTAAAACCGGAGAGTATAATGTAAAGGGATTGTTCCATTTTGTAAATTGGTATCATCCACTTCTTTAAAAAAATCTTTAGTGGATTGTAAAAATAAACACTTTAAGGACAAAATCCTTAATTTTAAATGCTGCAGAAATTAAGAGCTTGTTTGGGTTAATGCAGGACCCACAACTCACTATTAAACAATCACTGATAAGTATATGTGATCCAAATGCACAGGGGGTTATTTCTGAGAGAATGATCAGCGTAGTGGGCCAGATAAATGCCACTGTAAGTCTGTTTGCCCTGTAAAGGGGACTACCCAGCTCTCCCTATAAAACACCAAGTAGAGCACCCCAGATGAAGCAGTTAATATGTTTCATATGGGAGCCATGTGGAACTAGCTTTATAATGACTGGGATATCCCCCAACGAATAGGCCTATTACCCAGGTCATGTTAAATTTGAGGGTTAAGGGACCCCTTTTTACATGGGTGCCCCTCCCACAGAATCATAGAACTGTTTGAGAAGCCTTATAGAATTTGTTGTCCCTCAATGGGTCTCACGAATGCAACTCTCTGCTGGGAACCCAAATCCTTTTTCACCAAAAAAGGTAAAATGATCTAAGGGTAAAAAATAAATAAATAAATAAAGTTCCTGCGACCAGAACATAAAAACCTACAGGTTAATAGAATTATAAAATTTAAGATGTTTAAACAAGCTTTATGTAACGTAGTAGCATGATTTATAATCCTTTCGATAGTTTGCTCAGAATGATGGTTTCCAGCTTCATCCATGTCCCTACAAAGGACATGAACTCATCCTTTTTTACGGCTGCGTAGTATTCCATGGTGTATATGTGCCACGTTTTCTTAATCCAGTCTATCATTAATGGACATTTGGGTTGGTTCCAAGTCTTTGCTATTGTGAATAGTGCTGCAATAAACATACATGTGCATGTGTCTTTATAGCAGCATGATTTGTAATCTTTTGGGTATATACCCAGTAATGGGGTGGCTGGGTCAAATGGTATTTCTAGTTCTAGATCCTTGAGGAATCGCCACACTGTCTTCCACAATGGTTGAACTAGTTTACAGTCCCACCAACAGTGTAAAAGTGTTCCTATTTCTCCACATCCTCTCCAAAGTCACCTGTTGTTTCCTGACATTTTAATGATCGCCATTCTAACTGGTGTGAGATGGTATCTCATTGTGGCTTTGATTTGCATTTCTCTGATGGCCAGTGATGATGAGCACATGAAATTTTAAGGGCCAGTTTTGAGGGACAAAATTAGGTCAAGGTCAGATTGTCCAAATCAAGAGGATACAAGGATGCCTAAACAGCTGATAAAACAAGTCTTCTAAACTATTATGTGTCACTTTTGCATCCATCCCAACCATAAATAATTTTCTGCTTCCTATAGAATTAAAGAAAAATATTTACTGACAGTGAGAGACAGGACTAGCTGGATTTCCTAGGCTCACTAAGAATTCCTAAGCCTAGCTGGGGAAGGTGACCGCACCCACCTTTAAACAAGGGGCTTGGAACGCAGTTCACACCTGACCAATCAGGTAGTAAAGAGGGCTCACTAAAATACCAATTAGGCTAAAAGCAGGAGGTAAAGAAATAGTCAAATAATCTATCATCTGAGAGCACAGGGGGAGGGACAATGATTGGGATATAAACCCCAGGCATTCGAGCTGGGAGTGGGCAACCCCCTTTGGGTCCCCTCCCATTGCATGGGAGCTCTGTTTTCACTCTATTAAATCTTGCAACTGCACACGCTTCTGGTCCGTGTTTGTTACGGCTCGAGCTGAGCTTTCACTCGCTGTCCACCACTGCTGTTTGCCACCATCCCAGACCCACTTCTGACTTCCACCCCTCCGGATCCGGCAGGGTGTCCACTGTGCTCCTGATCCAGCCAGGCACCCATTGCTGCTCCCGATCAGGCTAGAGGCTCGCCATTGTTCCTGCATGGCTAAGTGCTCGGGTTCATCCTAATCAAGCTGAACACTAGTCGCTGGGTTCCACGGTTCTCTTCTGTGACCCATGGCTTCTAATAGAGCTATAACACTCACCGCATGGCCCAAGGTTCCATTCCTTGGAATCCATGAGGCCAAGAACCCCAGGTCAGAGAACAAAAGGCTTGCTGCCATCTTGGGAGTGGCCGCGCCATTTGGGAGTGGCCGCCCCATCTTGGGAGCAGCCTTCCACCATCTTGGGAGCTCTAAGAGCAAAGATCCCCTGGTAACATTAGAATAAAGATACCTTGTGACAAGGCCTTCTGAGTATAATACTCCCAGTTATAAGTTGCAAAGATATATATATATATAAAGATATCTATATATATTTAAGTTTTTCTAGAAAAATGCTTATGTTTTCTTTAGCGAATGGCTAAAAGTCTGTAACTAAAACCAAGCTTACTGTAGCTCAACACATAGAAGTTAAAAATAAGTCAGTTTTGTAACTTTGCCTTTTTTTGTTTGTTGGCTTTTTCCTTAATTTTTTTTTTTTTTTTTTGAGATGGCATTTTGCTCTTGTTGCTCAGGCTGGAGTGCAATGGTGCGATCTCAACTCACTGCAACCTCCGCCTCCCAGGTTCAAGTGATTCTCCTGCCTAAGCCCCCCGAGTAGCTGGGATTACAGGCATGAGCCCCCACGCCCGGATAGTTTTGTATTTTTAGTAGAGACGAGGTTTCTCCATGTTGGTCAGGCTGGTCTCGAACTCCCGACCTCAGGTGATCTGCTCTCCTCGGCCTCCCAAAGTGCTGGGATTATAGGCGTGAGCCACTGCACCCGGCCAAAATAAGAATTTTAAGAGGTAATAAATGCCTGTCCACATCCATTCCTATCTGGCCTAGAGCAATTAATCAGCTGTTAAGTCTTTTGACTCTTAAGGCCCTGGGCCATAAAGAGCCCCACCAAGGGACAGAATGGACCTGGTGCAGGCAGCCTTGCCACCCTGACAACGCTATGGGACAAAATAAAGATTTGCTGGCTTTTAATGTTTCCTGTGCCAAATCTTGGCCAAAAAGGGGAAAATGTAAACCAAAAGTAAAATTATAAGGCTCCCCAACCATCTGAATGGACTTCCTCCTCAGCCAGGACTCTTAAAATTTAACCTGAGAGACTGTTTCAGGCCATGATGGGAAATGGGAGTTGAATATGCCTCATTATACCTCTCTGTTATTAACATCAACACAGACTTCAAGTCCGATAAGAAACATTTTACAACCTATTCTCTCTGAAGCCTGCTAGCTAAAAGCTTCCTCCGCACAATAAAACTTTGGTCTCCACAATCCTTTATCTTAACCCAAACATTTCCTTTCTATTGATCCCAGGTTCTTAAACAAACTCAACCAATTGTCAACCAGGAAATTAAAAAATTTACCTATAGCCTGGAAGCCCCAACTTCAAGTTGTTTTGCCTTTCTGAACCAAACCAATGTATATCCTAAATGTATTTGATTGATAGCTCATGCCCCTCTAAAATGAATGAAACTAAACTGCACTTTCACCATCTTGGGCACATGTTCTCAAGACCTTCTGAGGGCTGTGTCATGGGCCGTGGTCACTCATATTTGGCTCAGAATAAATATCTTCAAATATTTTACAGAGTTTGACTCTTTTCATCAACACATCCCTACCTCCCAGTTTAGTATGATGGAAATTCTATTCTAGTTGGGTGTAGTCAATAACATGGAGCTCTCTCTTCCTCCAGCTCCTAGTACAGGGCAACAGTTTGACTCTAGGAGGGTAGTCTACTGGAATCTCTCATCCTCTAATCCCAAGCTCCATGTTGCAGAAGTTTTATTCCACTTAAGTGAGGCCAAGAGGACTGGGAAGCCCTTCCCCTAGTCAGCTCCCATTGGTAAAATGGAATCTCTACCTCAAGCATGGTGGGCCAATAATACTGTATCTCTGATCACTCTGCCCCAGCTCACTCATAGGGTGCATGTTCAATGCTAGAAAAAAACAAGTTGAGAAAATCCATAGCTACCATTCCTGCCCAGCACCCTGCTCATAGAGCAGGGGTGTCATTCTGGAAGAAAGAAGCTTCTCTCCCTACCTCTAATGTCTAGTGTAGTAGAGCAGAGATTCTGTCCATGAGGTGAGATGAGTTTTAAGAATGGAGAGCTCCTTGGCTCTCCCCAAGGAGTCTATCTTTATTTGGAAAAGAGAGTGAAGAAGTTTTTGTCTATAGTATTGTCAGGAACAACGACAATCTTGGTGGTAAGCAATCAAGAGGGCACCAGAAGCACTATGATTCTAGTAGCAGCTGCAGAATGGTTCACCAGCTAGAAGTTTAACAGAGAGAACCAGAGAAAAAGCTAAGAAGAACCCTTTTAGGGTCTGGGCAAGCCTTGAAGACTTGAGAAGACCCAATTTTAATGTGGAAAAATTTATTTCCCAGGGCATTGTTTAAAAACACTAATGGAATTAAGAAGTGGAGGCTAATAGCTGGTAGTGATATTATTAGAGATAGATCATCCAGAAGCTCAAAGAGGATCTTAGGTAAGGAGACAGACAGCCCAGTTAAAATCACAGTATCACTGGTGGTAGATACTGTGTACATGCCCAAGACTGTGACCTCTGAGGAGTGACACAGAGGCTGTATGCTGCAGGGAAATAGGCTTCATTGAACTAGGCCAGATGTTGAACTTAGAGGACAAAGCAGCTACTATAAATATGTTCAAAGACCTAAAGGAAGCTATGCTTAAAGAACTAAAAGAGTCAGTCAGGGTGGCTCATGTCTGTAATCCCAGCACTTTTCAGAGGCCAAAGCAAGAGGATCACTTGAGTCCAGGAGTTTAAGACCAGCCTGGGCAACACAGTGCCCATCTCTACAAAAAATAAACAAAATTAGCTGAAAATAGCTGTTTGTGGTGGCAGATGGCTGTGGTCCCAGCTACTTGGGAGGCTGAGATGGGAGAATCAGTTGAGCCCAGGAAGTCAAGGCTGCAGCAAGCCAAGACTGTACAACTGCACTCCACCCTGGGTGACCTAGAGAGACCCTGTCTAAGAAAAAAAAAACAACTAAAAGAATTTGTGAGAAATTCTTTCCATCAAATAGAAAATCAATAAAGAGATCTAAACTAAGAATGTCTAGTGTTGAAAAATACAATAACTGGAACAAAAAAATTCATAGAAGAGATCAACAGTAGACTTCAGGTGGCAGGAAATAAAGTTAGCAAACTTGAAGATAGATCAATACATATTGTGCAAATTGAAGAAGATTGAGGACACAGAATGATGAATAATGAACAGAGACTCAGAGAAATGTGGGGCATTATTAAGCACACCAATATACATGCAATGGGATTCCCAAAGAGAAGAGAGCGAGAAATAAACAGAAGAAAATATTCAAAAATAAGAAAAACTTTCAAAATTTGAAGAAAGATATATTAATCTACACCTCTAAGAAGCTCTACAAATAACAAATAGGATAAACACAAGGAGAGACACTTCAGACACACCACATCAAAATGTCAGAAGCCAAAAACCAAGGGAAACTTTAAAAGTAGCAAGAGAAAATTAGTTATCACATATAAGAGGAATTCCAATAAGATTTATGGCTGACTTCTACCAGAAAGAATAGAAGCTAAAAGACATAGAGGAATGACATATTCAAAATGATGAAAGGAAAAAACTGTCAACCAAAAATCTTGTATATGAAATATCCAGAATAGGAAAATTCAGAGATACAGAGAGTAGATTATTGGTCATTAGGAGCTAGGGCCTAGGGCACTAAGGGAGAAACTGCTATTGGTTACAGGGTTTATTTTGGTGGTTTTGAAATGTTGTGGAATTAGATCATGGTAATGGTTGCAAGACATTGAAAATACATTTAAAACACTGAATTGTACACTTTTAAAGGGTGAATTTTATGGTCTATGAATTTTATCTCAATAAAAAAATTTAAAAACATCTCAAATCAATAACCTAATATTCCAACTAAAGAAACTAGAAAAAGAATAGCAGACTAAACCCAAAGCAAGCAGAAGGAAGGCAATAATAAAAACTTAACAGGAACAAATAAAATAGAGTAAAAAACAAAGGAGAAAATCACATGAAATCATAAGTTGGTTTTGTGAAAAGATCCACAGAACTGGCAAACGTTTAATTAGACTTCATGAGAAAAATAAAGAGAAGATGCAAATCAGTAAAATTAAGAATAAAGAGGAGACATCAGTATTAATCTTACAGAAATACAAGGAACATAAAGAAATACTATGAACAGTTGTATGCTATTAAATTAAATTACTTAAATGAAAGGGAAAAATTTCTATAAAGACAGAAACGACCAAAATCTATGCAAGAAACAGAAAATCTGAATTTAACTGTAACAAGTAAAAAGATAGAATTAGTAATTAAAATGCTCTGCTCCCCCTAAATATACCCCCAACTCAAATGTCTTCACTGGTGAATTTTACCGAATATTTAGAAAATAATTAATACCAATCCTTCACAAAATCTTCTAGAACAGGAGGAAATATTTCCCAACTCATTCTGTGAAGTCAGCCAAAGATATCACAAGAAAAGAATACTACAGACCAATATCTTTTAAGAGAATTGATGCAAAAATAAAATCATTGACAAAATCTAGCAAATTAACTCCAGTTACATATAGAAAAAATTATAAATCATGACCAAATGGGGTTTATCCCAGGAATGTAAAATTGAGTTAACATTTGATAATCAACCAATGTAATACGCTATCTCAATAGAATAAAAGACAAAGAAGATCACATGATTATTTCGAGAGATGCAGAGAAAGCATTTGATAAAATATAACATTCTTTCACAATAAAAACATTCAACAAACTAGGAATAAAAGGGAATTTTTTCAACATGATAATGGTCATCTATGAAAATCCCAAGGCTAATATACTTATTGCTGAAAGACTGCTTCCCCTGTAAGATAAACAACAAGACAAGAATGTTTGCTGTCATATCTATTATTCAGCATTGTACTTGAGGTTTCAGCCAGGACATTTAGACAAGAAAAGGAAATAAAAGGCATCCAGATTGGAAAAGGAAAAAATAAAACTACCTCTATTTGTAGATGACATGATCTTTTATATAGAAAATACTGACTTTTTCTTGAGGGTGGAGCCAAGATGGATGAATAGGAACAACTCCAGTCTACAGCTCCCAGTGTGAGTGATGTAGAAGATTAATGATTTCTGCATTTCCAACTGAGGTACTGGGTGCATCTCACTGGGGATTGTCAGACAGTGGGTGCAGGACAGTGGGTGCAGTGCACTGAGCCTGAGCCAAAGCCGGGCGAGGCTTTGCCTCATGCAAGAAGTGCAAGGGGTCAGGGAATTTCCTTTCCCAGCCAAGGAAAGGGGTAACGGATGGCACCTGGAAAATCGGGTCACTAACACCCTAATACTGCACTTTTCCAATGGCCTTAGCAAACAGCACACCAGGAGATTATATCCCGTGCATGGCTGGGAGGGTCCTAGGCCCATGGAGCCTCATTCATTGCTAGCACAGCAGTCTGAGATTGAACTGCAAGGCAGCAGTGAGGCTGTGGGAGGGACGCCCAACATTGCTGAGGCTTGAGTAGGTAAACAAAGCGGCCAGGAAGCTCAAACTGGGTGGAGCCCACTGCAGCTCAAGGAGGCCTGCCTGCCTCTGTAGACTCCACCTCTGGGGGCAGGGCATAGCCAAACAAAAGGCAGCAGAAATCCTGCAGACTTAAATGTCCCTATCTGACAGCTTTGAAGAGAGTAGTGGTTCTCCCAGCATGCAGCTTGAGATCTGAGAATGGACAGACTGCATCCTCAGGGGGGTCCCTGATGCCCAAGTAGCCTAACTAGGAGGCAACCCCCAGTAGGGGTAGACTGACAACTCACACGGCTGGGTACTCTTCTGAGACAAAACTTCCAGAGGAACGATCAGGCAGCAACATTTGCTGTTCACCAATATCCATTGTTCTGCAGCCTCTGCTGCTGATACCCAGGCAAACAGGGTCTGGAGTGGACCTCCGGCAAACTCCAACCCACCTGCAGCTGAGGGTCCTGACTGTTAGAAGGAAAACTAACAAACAGAAAGGACATCCACACCAAAACCCCATCTGTACATCACCATCATCAAAGACCAAAGGTAGATAAAACCACAAACATGGGGAAAAAACAGAGCAGAAAAACTGAAAATTCTAAAAATCAGAGCGCCTCTCTTCCTCCGAAGGAATGCACCTCCTCACCAGCAATGGAACAAAGCTGGAGGGAGAA
This sequence comes from Homo sapiens, assembly GCF_000001405.40. Classification (NCBI taxonomy): domain Eukaryota; kingdom Metazoa; phylum Chordata; class Mammalia; order Primates; family Hominidae; genus Homo; species Homo sapiens. Next base: position 74,479,494 of record NC_000023.11, on the reverse strand, counting down.
TGACTTTGACGAGTTGAGAGAAGAAGCCTTCAGAAGATCAAACTACTCCGAGCTAAAGGAGGAAGTTCAAACCCATGGCAAAGAAGTTAAAAACCTTGAAAAAAGATTAGATGAAAGGCTAACTAGAATAACCAATGCTGAGAAGTCCTTAAAGGACCTGATGGAGCTGAAAACCATGGCATGAGAACTACATGATGAATGCACAAGCCTCAGTAGCCAATTCGATCAACTGGAAGAAAGGGTATCAGTGATGGAAGATCAAATGAATGAAATGAAGCGAGAAGAAAAGTTTAGAGAAAAAAGAATAAAAAGAAATGAACAAAGCCTCCAAGAAATATGGGACTATGTGAAAAGACCAAATCTACATCTGATTGGTGTACCTGAAAGTGACGGGGAGAATGGAACCAAGTTGGAAAACACTCTGCCGGATATTATCCAGGAGAACTTCCTGAATCTAGCAAGGCAGGCCAACATTCACATTCAGGAAATACAGAGAACGCCACAAAGATACTCCTCGAGAAGAGCAACTCCAAGACACATAATTGTCAGATTCACCAAAGTTGAAATGAAGGAAAAAATGTTAAGGGCAGCCAGAGAGAAAGGTCGGGTTACCCACAAAGAGAAGCCCATCAGACTAACAGCAGATCTATCGGCAGAAACTCTACAAGCCAGAGGAGAGTTGGGGACCAATATTCAACATTCTTAAAGAAAAGAATTTTCAACCCAGAATTTCATATCCAGCCAAACTAAGCTTCATAAGTGAAGGAGAAATAAAATCCTTTACAGACAAGCAAATGCTGAGAGATTTTGTCACCACCAGGCCTGCCCTAAAAGAGCTCCTGAAGGAAGCACTCAACATGGAAAGGAACGACCGGTACCAGCCACTGCAAAAACATGCCAAATTGTAAAGACCATCGAGGCTAGGAAGAAACTGCATCAACTAACAAGCAAAATAACCAGCTAACATCATAATGACAGGATCAGATTTACACATAACAATATTAACTTTAAATGCAAATGGGCTAAATGCTCCCAATTAAAAGGCATAGACTGGCAAATTGGATAAAGAGTCATCAGTGTGCTGTATTCAGGAAACCCATCTCATGTGCAGAGACACACATAGACTCAAAATAAAGGGATGGAGGAAGATCTACCAAGCAAATGGAAAACAAAAAAAAGGCAGGGGTTGCAATCCTGGTCTCTGATAAAACAGACTTTAAACCAACAAAGATCAAAAGAGACAAAGAAGGCCATTACATAATGGTAAAGGCATCAATTCAACAAGAAGAGCTAACTATCCTAAATATATATGCACCCAATACAGGAGCACCCAGATTCATAAAGCAAGTCCTTAGAGACCTACAAAGAGACTTAGACTCCCACACAATAACAAGGGGAGACTTTAACACCCCACTGTCAACCTTAGATAGATCAATGAGACAGAAAGTTAATGAGGATATCCAGGAACTGATCTCAGCTCTGCACCAAGCAGACCTAATAGACATCTACAGAACTCTCCAACCCAAATCAACAGAATATGCGTTCTTTTCAGCACCACACCACACCTATTCCAAAATTGACCACATACTTTGAAGTAAAGCACTCCTCAGCAAATGTAAAAGAACAGAAATTGTAACTATAACAAACTGCCTCTCAGACCACAGTGCAATCAAACTAGAACTCAGGACTGAGAAACTCACTCAAAACCACTCAACTACATGGAAACTGAACAACCTGCTCCTGAATGACTACTGGGTACATAACGAAATGAAGGCAGAAATAAAGATGTTCTTGGAAACCAATGAGAACAAAGATACAACATACCAGAATCTCTGGGAAACATTTAAAGCAGTGTGTAGAGGGAAATTTATAGCACTAACTGCCCACAAGAGAAAGCAGGAAAGATCTCAAATTGACACCCTAAAATCACAATTAAAAGAACTAGAGAAGCAAGAGCAAACACATTCAAAAGCTAGCAGAAGGCAAGATATAACTAAGATCAGAGCAGAACTGAAGGAGATAGAGACACAAAAACCCCTTAAAAAAATCAATGAATCCAGGAGCTGGTTTTTTGAAAAGATCAACAAAATGGATAGACCGCTAGCTAGACTAATAAAGAAGAAAAGAGAGAAGAATCAAATAGATGCAATAAAAAAATGATAAAGGGGATATCACCACCGATCCCACAGAAATACAAACTACCATCAGAGAATACTATAAACACCTCTACACAGATAAACTAGAAAATCTAGAAGAAATGGGTAAATTCTTTGACACATACACCCTCCCAAGACTAAACCAGGAAGAACTGGAATATCTGAATAGACCAATAACAGGCTCTGAAAATGAGGCAATAATTAATAGCTTACCAACCAAAAAAAAGTCCAAGACCAGATGGATTCACAGCCGAATTCTACCAGAGGTACAAGGAGGAGCTGGTACCATTCCTTCTGAAACTATTCCAATCAATAGAAAAAGAGGGAATCCTCCCGAACTCATTTTATGAGGCCAGCATCATTCTGATACCAAAGCCTGGCAGAGACACAACAAAAAAAGAGAATTTTAGACCAATATCCTTGATGAACATCGATGCAAAAATCCTCAATAAAATACTGGCAAACCAAATCCAGCAGCACATCAAAAAGCTTATCCATCATGATCAAGTGGGCTTCATCCCTGGGATGCAAGGCTGGTTCAACATACAAAAATCAATAAACGTAATCCAGCATATAAACAGAACCAATGACAAAAACCACATGATTATCTCATTAGATGCAGAAAAGGCCTTTGACAAAATTCAACAGCCCTTCATGCTAAAAACTCTCAAGAAATTAGGTATTGATGGGATGTATCTCAAAATAATAAGAGCTATTTATGACAAACCCACAGCCAATATCATACTGAATGGACAAAAACTGGAAGCATTCCCTTTGAAAACTGGCACAAGACAGGGATGCCCTCTCTCACCACTGCTATTCAACATAGTGTTGGAAGTTCTGGCCAGGGCTATCAGGCAGGAGAAAAAAATAAAGGGTATTCAGTTAGGAAAAGAGGAAGTCAAACTGTCCCTGTTTGCAGATGACATGATTGTGTATCTAGAAAATCCCATTGTCTCAGACCAAAATCTCCTTAAGCTCATAAGCAACTTCAGCAAAGTCTCAGGATACAAAATCAATGTACAAAAATCACAAGCATTCTTATACACCAATAACAGACAGAAAGCCAAATCAGGAGTGAACTCCCATTCACAATTGCTTCAAAGAGAATAAAATACCTAGGAATCCAACTTACAAGGGATGTGAAGGACCTCTTCAAGGAGAACTACAAACCACTGCTTGATGAAATGAAAGAGGATACAAACAAATGGAAGAACATTCCATGCTCATGGGTAGGAAGAATCAATATTGTGAAAATGGCCATACTGCCCAAGGTAATTTATAGATTCAATGCCATCCCCATCAAGCTACCAATGACTTTCTTCACAGAATTGGAAAAAACTACTTTAAAGTTCATATGGAACCAAAAAAGAGCCCACATTGCCAAGTCAATCCTAAGCCAAAAGAGCAAAGCTGGAGGCATCACGCTACCTGACTTCAAACTATACTACAGGGCTACAGTAACCAAAACAGCATGGTACTGGTACCAAAACAGAGATATAGACCAATGGTACAGAGCAGAGGCCTCAGAAATAATGCCACATATCTACAACTACCTGATCTTTGACAAACCTGAGAAAAACAAGCAATGGGGAAAGGATTCCCTATTTAATAAATGGTGCTGGGAAAACTGCCTAGCCATATGTGGAAAGCTGAAACTGGATCCCTTCCTTACACCTTATACTAAAATTAATTCAAGATGGATTAAAGATTTAAATGTTAGACCTAAAACCATAAAAATCCTAGAAGAAAACCTAGGCAATACCATTCAGGACACAGGCATGGGCAAGGACTTCATGTCTAAAACACCAAAAGCAATGGCAACAAAAGCCAAAATTGACAAATGGGATCTAATTAAACTAAAGAGCTTCTGCACAGCAAAAGAAACTACCATCAGAGTGAACAGGCAACCTACAAAATGGGAGAAAATTTTTGCAACCTACTCATCTGACAAAGGGCTAATATCCAGAATCTACAATGAACTCAAACAAATTTACAAGAAAAAAACAAACAACTCCATCAACAAGCGGGCGAAGGATATGAACAGACACTTCTCAAAAGAAGACATTTATGCAGCCAAAAGACACATGAAAAAATGCTCATCATCACTGGCCATCAGAGAAATGCAAATCAAAACCACAATGAGATACCATCTCACACCAGTTAGAATGGCGATCATTAAAAAGTCAGGAAACAACAGGTGCTGGAGAGGATGTGGAGAAATAGGAACACTTTTACACTGTTGGTGGGACTGTAAACTAGTTCAACTATTGTGGAAGTCAGTGTGGCGATTCCTCAGGGATCTAGAACCAGAAATACCATTTGACCCAGCCATCCCATTACTGGGTATATACCCAAAGGATTATAAATCATGCTGCTATAAAGACACATGCACACGTATGGTTATTGCGGCACTATTCACAATAGCAAAGACTTGGAACCAACCCAAATGTCCAACAATGATAGACTGGATTAAGAAAATGTGGCACATATACACCATGGAATACTATGCAGCCATAAAAAATGATGAGTTCATGTCCTTTGTAGGGACATGGATGAAGCTGAAAACCATCATTCTCAGCAAACTATCGCAAGGACAAAAAACCAAACACGGCATGTTCTCACTCGTAGGTGGGAATTGAACAATGAGAACACATGGACACAGGAAGGGGAACATCACACACCAGGGCCTGTTGTGGGGTGGGAGGAGGGGGGAAGGATAGCATTAGGAGATATACCTAATGTTAAATGACGAGTTAATGGGTGCAGCACACCAACATGGCACACATATATATATGTAACAAACCTGCACGTTGTGCACATGTACCCTAAAACTTAAAGTATAATAAAAAAAAAAAAACACTAAGGAATCTGCAAAAAAACCTGCTAGAACTAATAACTTAGTTTAGCAATGTTACAAGATAGAAAATCAATATACAAAGATGAATTACATTTCTATATACTAGCAATAAACAATCTTCAAATAAAATTAAAACAATTCCATTTACAAAAGCATCAAAAAGTATATACTACTTAGGAATAAATTTAACAAAAGGAGTATAAAACTTATACTCTGAAAGCTACAAAATATTGTCGGAGGAAATTAAAAATATCTAAATAATTGGAAACATTCCATTTTCATGGATCAGAACACTTAATATTATTAAGATGGCAATCTCTGTAAATTTACCTACAGATTCAACAATATCCCTATAAAAACCCTGGCTGCATTTTCTTTGCAGAAATTGACAAACTGATCCTAAGATGTGTATGAAAATGCAAGAGAACTAGAATAGCAAAAAGAATCTTGAAAAATGAACAACAGCTTTCTGCCCATGGACACTGCTGAGGAAGCGTCATTAAAGTCTGTCTTCACTCTGCCATCGTGTCTAAGTCAGCATCTCCTAAAGGGCCCGAACAGCTGAGGAAGCTCTTCATTGAAGGGTTGAGCTTTGAAACAACCTGAAAATGGCTCAAAATGGTTGAGTCATTTTAAACAATGGGGAATGCTCACAGACTGTGTGGTAATGAGTGATCCAAACACCAAGCCCTCCAGGGGCTTTGGATTTGTCACATATGACACCGTGGGGGAGATGGATGCAGCCATGAATGCAAGGCCACACAAGGTGGATGGAAGAGTTGTGGAACCAAAGAGAGCTGTCTCAAGAGAAGATTCTCAAAGACCAGGTGCCCACTTAACTTTGAAAAAGATATTTGTTGGTGGCATTAAAGAAGACACTGAAGAACATCAACTAAGAGATTATTTTGAATAGTATGGAAAAATTGAAGTAATTGAAATCATGACCGACTGAGGCAGTGGTAAGAAAAGGGATTTTGCCTTTGTAACCTTTGACAACCATGACTCCATGGATAAGACTGTCATTCAGAAATACCATAGTGTGAATGACCACAACTGTGAAGTTAGGAAAGCCCTGTCAAAGCAAGAGTTGGCCATTGCCTCATCCAGCCAGAGGTGGAAGTGGTTCTGGAAACTTTGATCATGGTCATGGAGGTGGTGGTCGTGGAGGAAGCTTCAGTTGTCATGGTGGCTTTGGTGGCAGTCATGGTGGTGGTGGTTATGGTGGCGGTGGGGATGGCTATAATGGATTTGGTAATGATGGAAGCAATTTTGGAGGTGGTGGAAGCTACAATGATTTTGGCAGTTACAACAATCAGTCTTCAAATTATGGACCCATGAAACTTTGGAGTCAGAAGCTCTGGCCCCTATGGTGGTGGAGGCCAATTCTTTGCCAAACCACAAAACCAAGGTGGCTATGATGGTTCCAGTAGTAGCAGTAGCTGTGGCAGTGGCAGAAGATTTTAATTAGGAAACAAACCTTAGCAGGAGCGGAGAGCCAGAGAAGTGGCAGGGAAGCTACAGGTTACAACAGATTTGTGAATTTAGCAAAGCACAGTGGTGGCAGGGCCTAGCTGCTACAAAGCAGACATGTTTTAGACAAATACTCATATGTATGGGAAAAAAACTCGAGGACTGTATTTGTGACTAATTGTATAACGGATTATTTTAGCTTCTGTTCTGTGGAAAGTGTAAAGCATTCCAACGAAGGGTTTTAATGTAGGTTGTTTTTTTTTTTTGCACCCATGCTGTTGATTGCTAAATGTAATAGTCTGATTATGATGCTGAATAAATGTCTTTTTAAAAAAAAAGAAGAAAGAAGAAAAATGAACAACAAAGTTGGGAGATTCACACTTCCTAATTTCACATCTACTACAAAGGTACAGTAATAAAAACCGTGTGGTACTTGCATAAGAATGAACGTACAGATTAATGAAACAAAATTGAGAGTCCATTTAAAAACCCCTTTATATTTCCTGTGAATTGATTAATAGCAAGGTTGCCAAGATAATTCAATATAGATAAAATAGTCTTTTCAGCAAATGGTGATGAGTCAACTAGATATTCACATACAAAAGAATGAAGCTGAATTCCTACATGACACCATATATAGAAATTAGCTCAAAATGAAGTACATACCTACATATAAGAATTAAAAATATAGAAGTCTTAGAAGAAAGCATAGAAGTAAATAGAATAGGCAATAGTTTTTAGAAATAATTTTAAAAGCACAAGCAACAAAAAAACACTAGATAAATTGGAGTTCATAAAAATTAAAAACATATTTCTGGGTATATACCCAAAATAATTGAAATCAGGGACTCAAACAGATATTTGTCCCCTAAAGTTCAGAGAAGCATCATTCACAATAGCCAAAAGGTGGGAACAACCCAAATGTCCATTGATGGATGATTGGATAAACAAAATGTATATGTATATGCATGTATGTATGTATGTGTGTATATACAATGAAATATTATTCACCCTTAAAAAGGAAGGAAATTCTGACACATGCTACAACATAGGTGAACCTGGAAGACATTATGCTAAGTGAAATAAGCCAGTTACAAAAAGACAAGTAAATACTGTGTGATTCCATTTACTTGATGTACCTAGAGTCATCAAATCCTTAGGGACAGAAAGTAGAATGGTGGTTGCCAAGGACTGAGAAGAAGAGAAAATGTTTAATAGACACAGAGTTTCAGTTTGGGAAGATGAAAAAGTACTGGAGATGGATGGTGGTGATAGTTGCACAAGAACATAAATGTACTTAGTGCCACTGAAATGTACACTTAAAATGGTTAAAATTATAAATTTTATGTTCTGTATATTTCACCACAATAAAACAATGAAAAACTTGTGCTTCAAGGGGCACCAGTAAGATAGTGAAAAGATAACACACAGAATGAGAGAAAATATTTTCAAATCATTTATCTGATAAGGGTTGAGTATCCAGAATATATATTTAAAACTTTAATAATTCAACAATAAAAAGACAAATAACATTGACAAATGGGCAAAGGTTTTCCAGTCTGGCATGTAAAGAGCTTGGAAGTTATCACTCTGTCCTAACAACAAATAAAAAGCTAAACAAACTGAAAAATAAACCACTGTTCTTAGAGCCATCAGAGAAATGAGGTCCCAGGATTATAATAACTGTCTTTCATTCCTAATCCTAAAATAACAGTAACAACACAGAGCTTACACCCTTCACAAAAATTCACACAAAACTAATCATAGACCTAAATGTAAAATGCAAAACTCTAAAATTCCTAGAAGATAATATAAAAGCAAATTTCAATGACCTTGGGTGGTAATTGTTTATGTATAACAACAAAGGCACAATCCATAAAAGATATAATTTGTAAACTGGACTTAATTAAAATTAAGAATCTCTGCTCTGTGAAAGACACTATCAAGTGAATGAGAAGATTGGGAGAAAATACTTGCAAATGACATATCTGATAAAGAATTGTTAATAATATATACAAAGAACTCTTAAAATTCAACAAAAAGAAAATAAATAACTTGATTTTTTTTTTTTGAGACGGAGTCTCGCTCTGTAGCCCAGGCTGGAGTGCAGTGGCGCCATCTTGGCTCACTGCAAGCTCCGCCTCCTGGGTTCACGCCATTCTCCTACCTCAGCCTCCCTAGTAGCTGGGACTACAGGTAGCCGCCACCACACCCGGCTAATTTTTTGTATTTTTAGTAGAGACGGGGTTTCACTGTGTTAGCCAGGATGATCTCGATCTCCTGATCTGCCCGCCTCGGCCTCCCAAAGTGCTGGGATTACAGGTGTTAGCCACCGCGCCTGGCATAACTTGATATTTTTAAAGGCAAATCTAAATGAACACCTCACCAGAAAATATATATGTATGGTGAATGTGCATATGAAAAGATGCTCAATATCATATGTCATGAGGGAATTGCAGATGGAAACAATGAGATACCACTACACACCTATTAGAATAACCAAAATCCAAAACACTGACAACACCAAATGCTGGTGATGATGTGAAGCAACAGGAACTCTCATTTAGTGCTGGTGGGAATGCAAAATGGTACACCCACTTTGGAGGACAGTCTGGCAGTTTCTTATAAAACTAAACATGCTCTTATGGTACAATCCAGCAATTGTGCTCCTTGGTATTTACCCAAGTGGGTCAAAAACCTATGTCCACACACAAAAAAACCCTGCACATTATTGTTTATAGCAGTTTTATTCATAATTGCCAAAACTTGGAAGCAACCAAGATTTCCTTCGGTAGGTGAATGGATAAGCTCTGGTACATCTGGACAGTGGAGTATTGTTCAGCACTCAAAAGAAATTGGCTATCAGGCCATGAAAACACATGGAGGAATCTTAAGTGCATATTATTAAGTGAAAGACACCAATCTGAAAAGGCTCCATACTGTGTGATTCCAATCAGATGATATTCTGGAAAAAGCAAAACTATGGAGACAGTAAAAGGATCAGTGGTTGCCAGGGGGATGGTGAGATGAATAGGTAAAGCACAGGGAATTTTTAGAGCAGTGGAACTATTCTGTATGATACTATAATGGTAGACACATGTTATTATGTATTTGACAAAACTTATAGAATGTACACCAAGAGTGAACCTAATGTAAATTATGAACTTTGGGTAATAATGATGTGTCAATGTAGGTTCATCAATTATAATAAAAGTACTATTCTGGTGAAGGAGTTAATAGTGGAGGTGCTGTGCATGCTGGGGGGTAGGGGGTATATGGGAAATGTCTGCACTTTCTGCTCAACTTTGCTACAAATCTAAAACTGCCCTAAAATCGTCTTTAAAAACAAAAAGCAGGCCAAGAGTTTCAATAGACATTTCTTTAAAGAAGATATACAAATGGCCAATGAACACATGAAAAGATACCTAATATCTTTAGTCGTCAAGGAACTGCAAATAAAAACCAAAAGGAGATACCACTTCACAACCACTAGAATAGCTATAAAAAAAATACAAAAAATAAGTGTTGGTGAGGATGTACAGAAATTGAAATCTTCATGTGTTGTTTGTAGGAATGTAAAATGGGTTAGCTGTTTTGGAAAACATTTTGGCAGTTCCTTAAAATATTAAACATCAAGTTACCACCATATGATCCAGCATTCCCACTGCTGGGTATATATCCAAAAGAAGAAAACTCAGTATATCCAAGAGATATCTGCACTCCCATGTTTGTTGCAGCACTATATGCAATAGCTAAGACATGGAATCAACCTAAGTACCCATCAACAGGTGAATGGATAAAGGAAATGTGATAACATATACTCAATGGAATATTATTCAGGCATAAAAAAGAATGAAATCCTGTCACTTGCAACAACGTGAGTAGAACTGAAAGTCATTATATTAAGTGTAATAAGCCAAGCACAGAAATGTTGCATGTTCTTATTCATATATAGGAGCTAAAAAGGTTGATTGGTCTCATGAAGGTAAAGGGTAGAATGATGGTTACCAGAGGCTGGGAAGGGTAATGGGGAGTGGGGGATAAAGAAGGGTTGGCTAATGGTTACAAAAATATAGTTAGATAGAAGGAATAAGATCTAGTTTTTGGTAGCACAATAGGGTGCCTATAGTTACAAAAAATTGTGTATTTCCAAATAACTAGAAGAATGGAAATAGAATGTTCTTAACATAAAGAAATGATAAATGTTTAAGGTGATGGATATCCCAGTTACCTTGATTTGATCATTATAAGATTGTATGCTTATGTCAAAATATCACATGTACCCCATAAATAGTGCAACTATTATGTACACATAAAAATTAAATTAAATATTTTTTTAAAATTGTACCATATCATCCAACAATTCTGCTGTTAGGTATATAACCAAGACAAATAAAAATGTACATCTAATTTAAAAACTTGTACTGGACTTCTCATAGCAGCATTACTCATAATAGCCAAAAAGTAGAAACAACTGAAATGTCCATGAATTTGTAAGTGCATAAACAAAATGTGGTACAGTTTATCCATACAATGGCTATTATTCAGCCATAAAAAGAAATTTGTTGCTAATACATGCTATGATATAGAAGAACCTTGAAAACATTATGCTAAGTGAAGAAAAGCCAGTCAAAAGACCATATATTATATAATTCCACTAATATGAAATGTCTAGAGCATACACATTTATAGAAACAGAAAGTGGATTAGTATTTGCCAAGGTCTGCGAGGGGGTGATGGGGAGATTTTGGTGGTAGGGATGCCTAAAGCGTACATGTTTCTTTCCAGGTGATGACAATGTTCTAAAATTGATCGTGGTAATGGTTACACAATTCTGTGAATTTACTAAAAACCATTGAATTGTGTACTTTAGTTGGGTTAATTGTGTGGCAAATAAATTTTGTCTCAATAAAGCTATTTTTTTAAAAGTTTAACAGAATAGAGGGTGATCTTTGAGTTGAGCCCTGAAGGATAATCTAATAATCAAAAAGTAGAGAAAGGTATCTCAAGCTGATGGAACAGCATGAACAGTGGTTTGGAGGCTTGAAATGTGAATGATATGGTGTGAATGAAGAAGGTATGTGTGGGTGGTTTAGGTAAGAGTTGGGTGGGAAAAGATGATCCTGGGAAAGTTGCCCAGGAACTTGAATGGCATGGCCAGGAGTTTGGATCTAATCTCACCAGGACTATGTGATTCATGAGTGGTTTCTGGGAGGGGGACTGACAAAGTCAGATTTCTATGTCATGGAGCATGCCTGACAACAATCAGTCTGTGGAATATATGGAAGGAGGCAAGAATATCTTTTTTAAACTGGTAGAATTTTTTGTACTATGTAGTTACAAAGGCTCTCTGGGGTTTTCTTAATTGTCTTTTCTGAGCTGCCTCCCTCAGGGCTTTGTTCCTACAAGGCTTTGCCTATACTAGGATTTTATTTTTGGAAAATTAAATGTGCACAGCCTTCAAGCTCCAAAAGAATTACCCAGAGGTGCCATTTCTGTTTCTGAGACATACTTTGGGCGGGAGTGCTAGGGGCCTACAAGGTAACCTTCAAACCAATCCTAGATGTGGCCACAAAGTCTAGGTTATTGGTCTTGACCGGCTTTTCACATGTTCCCACATCCACCCCAATGCACATACTAACCTGGGATATTCTCTTTGTTTTAGAAGCCCCCCCTTAGCCTTAGACCCCAACTCCAAACCCTACTGCTAATCTGCTGTGTAGCCTAGGTCAAGTTTCTTACTCTTCTGGGTCTTGCTTTCTCTGTCTATATCATGAGGGGTTCTGAAAAGATTATATCTAAGGCCCCTTACCACTTTCCAGCTTAGCTTTCTCTAGATGGAGCTGAGCCTGTATGGGCAGAAGAAGTGCAGCAAGGTAGAAAAAGGCAGGAAGATGGAGGGGAGGGGCGGGCCCTTAAAGGGCTTTATACCTCTCTCTCTGGCAGAGAGCTATCTGGGCATATGGTGACATGGTGCTCAAGAAAGGTTTGTTGAATTGAACAAAACTCACCAATTGTGCCAGGAAAGCATCTAGCTCCATTTGGTTCTGTGGCCATAAAATGATCTGGGTTGGCAGAATCAGACCAAAAATATCAGAACCTTGACTGAAAGTCTAAAACCTCTCTAGGGCCACATCACTAAATATTGAGTATTGTGACAAAGACATGGGCTTCTAGACCAAGGTTGGTAAATTAATTCAGGGAAGGACAACGTTGTTTTTACCATACACAAAAGGGCAACTTTTTGGTGAGGAAAGTAACAGAGACTGAGAGCCCTGGAAGAAGCATGGGTTTGCAGCAGACCCTACACAGAATCTTTTGCCTCCTTATCAGTGGGTTCTGCATCAGTGGGTTCAACCAACAGCAGATCGAAAATGTTTGAAAAAAAATGGATGACTGTGTCTGTGCTAAACATGTACAGACTTTTTTTGTCATTACTCCTTAAACAATATAGTATAACAACTATTTGCATAGCATTTACATTGTATTAGGTATCATAAGTAATCTAGAGTGACCTAAAGTTTATGAGAGGATGTATATAGGTTATATGCAAATACTACACTAATTTTTGTAAAGGACATGAGACATGAGCATCTGTGGATTTTGGTGTCTGCAAGGGGTCCTGGAACTAATCTCCCACATATACTGAGGGATGGCTGTTCTCCCACAGTAAAGTAGGTGCTCAAGAAAGGTCAGAGGAATGGTAAGTAGGGAGTCAGGAAAGGGGGTGGAGAATGCTGTAGCCTGAAAAGCTGTTTGGCTTTCATAGCTTTTTAGAAGCCAGGTTTAGAAAAAGCTCATAAAGACAATAAAAGTAAAAAATTAACACCAGCCACAAGCACCAGGGCTTTGAAGCACTGGTGGGAGAGTATGGAGTCTGAATCCACCGCCCATCCGGACTCCTGAAACCCTGTGGGCCTGGGATGGAGCCTGCCTGCTTCTTTCTAGGCTTTCCCCAAGAATGATGCTTCCTGCTGGGCTTGCAGTTCTCTTGGGTCCTTTCTCTTCTCTCCTTGGAGGTGGTATTGACCAGCCCTCTCCCACCAGATAAGGACATCTTGTTCTTTCTGATCTAGGAGAGCAAAACAGTTCTCATTCCCTGGGGGCTGGGAGGGTCACGGAGGGGAAGTTCTGATGTTTGTAAGCAGATCAGTCAGCCCCAGGGGCTTCTGGTCCCCATATCCTCCACCACCTCCCCCTTCTGTCCCCTCCCTCACAGGGCCAATTTACTACTTTGTTCATGGCCCAGAGGCTAGCAGCAAGTAGAGAACAATGCATCCCATTTCCCTGGAATTGTCACCCCAATATGGGGGTTGGTTGTGAAAGAAAATTGCAGCATGCTTCTTACTGGGAATCTCTCCAACCCTCTCCAGCTCTTTCCTGCCTTCTAGTGGGGACTGCCCTGGTGCACAAACAGTCTCCAACCCCCACAAAATGGGCTGAGCACCACTCCCAACTCCCCAGGCAGCCTAGAAGAGTGAAATATTGTTCAAGCTGGCTTTGAGGCTCAGGGAAAGAGTCTGAAGGGTGGGCAAGAGCAGCAAGAACCTGATCGGCTCATCAGGTTGTAGCAGCTGATGAGTCAATGCTCTCTGAAGGGTTCTGCCCCTGCCTTTCTCTGCCATAGTTCATTCTCAAGGACACCTGCAGGAACTCCCAGGACAAAGTTTTTGTGCTTGGTTCCCCATTCCAGGCTTCTCCTTTCCATACTGCGGCAAAATCTCATGCCACACTCTCCTCATGGCCTGAAGAGTCATCCTTCGTTTCCATATAGCCTCATGAAACCTTTTAAAATTTTATTAAGGAAATGTAAAATAAAATAAGAGTGAAATACAAGTATGGCCATTTCCTTGGGGAGTACTGGAAGGAAGACATGAGATGGATCTCATATCCTGTTTCATTAACAGTTTTTCACACCATGCAATTTCTCTCTGAACCCCTTTCCTGAAACAACAGCTGTTTGCTGGCCATAGGCTGGCCTAGTACTGGAGATGGGAGTCCTCTGTGTTGCCATGTTCCCTGGCTCCATGGAGGAGCAATAGGTCTGTTTGTTGTTGTTGTTGTTGTTGTTGCTGTTATTGAGATGGGATCTTGCTATGTTGCCCAGGCTGGTCTCAAACTCCTGGCCTCAAGTTTTTTGTTGTTGTTGTTTTGTAGAGATGAGATCTTGCTATGTTGCCCACACTGGTCTCAAATTCCTGGCCTCAAGTGATCCTCCCCGCTCAGCCTCCTCCCAAAGTGCTGGGATTACAGGCATGAGCCACTGCACCTAGCCTAGGTCTGAAACTGAATATTTTAGGGTTGTGTCTCTTGCCCACTTATGGACTTCCAGTCTCCCCTAGCTGGGTGAAGACTCTAGCCTTTGTCTAGGCCAGTGGGTTTAAAAGGAAATTAATACCATCTTTATTTGGTATTATATTTAGTGGTTTGTTTTAGTAAATATAAAATATTTACAAGGGCTTTTGCCTCTCAGTCCCCCTCAAGAAAACTCCTTATACAAGTCTTAAATTATTCAACTGAAATTCTTCCTACAAAGGCTTTCAGAAACCTATTCACAATGCTTGGGGAGGTGCAACTGTAGGATCAACAATGTGTAATAACATCAAAGGATATAAAATATCAACAACAACAAAAACTGCCAAAAAATAGCTTGAGTACAAAGAGACACACAAATGCAACATTTCCCAAGTCAGTTTCTGCTGGAAACATTTTGAAAATGGAAGTCATTAGTTAAATTTTAAAAGTACTTGTAAACAACTTGTACATAAATGTTCAGAACAGCTTTATTTGACAGCCCCAAACTGTAAACAACCCAACTGCCCATCAACAGGTAATTAGATATGACAAACTGTGTTATCAACACAATGTAATACTATTTAGCAATACAAAGGAATAAAATATTGATACACACCTTATTCTGAATCTCAAAATAATTATGCTAAGTGAAAAATCTCTAGACAAAAAGAGTAAATACTGTATAATTCCACATATAAATAATTCTAAAAATGCCAATTAATCTATAGTTACAGAAAGCAGAGCAGTAGTTGCCAGACGATGGTGGTGGAGGGAGGGATGAACTAAAACAGGGCATGAAGAAACTTTTGAGGATGATGTACATGCTCATTATCTAGATTACTGCAATGATTTCATGAATGTACACATTTGTCAAAATTGACCAAATAGGCCGGGCACGGTGGCTCACGCCTGTAATCCCAGCACTCTGGGACACAGAGGCGGGTGGATCACGAGGTCAGGAGATCAACACCATCCTGGCTAATACGGTGAAACCCTGTCTCTACTAAAAATACAAAAAAATTAGCCGGGTATGGTGGCAGGCGCCTGTAGTCCCAGCTACTCGGGAGGCTGAGGCAGGAGAATGGCATGAACCCGGGAGGAGGAGTTTGCAGTGAGCCGAGATCGTGCCACTGCACTCCAGCCTGGGTGACAAAGTGAGACTCCATCTCAAAAAAAAAAAATTGACCAAATAATGTACTTTAAATATGTGCAGTTTATTGTACATCAGTTATGCATTAATAAGCTCTAAAAAGTAATCAAATTTAGAGCAAAAAATATTAATCATAGTGGATGCTGTTGAACTAACTCAATATTCTTATTTTCAACCCTCTTCTCTGTTTCTACCATCATTACAAAAGCTATAAAAACTACATTCTTACTTTTTCAGACTCACTTGCAGCTAGAAGTTAGAAAGTTAAAACCTTCCTAAATCCATGGAACCCCCTTTCCTTTCCAATTGCAATTTTACACTGAAGTACATTGCATAAATAATATAAAAGCAGGAATGCTCTGATGTGATGGAGGCACTTGTCAGCCTACTGGAAACTCCACCGATTTTTTTTTTCTCATTTCTTTTGTCCCCATCCATCCTCTCCCTCTGCAGTAGTCCCTGGAAAAATCTGAAGAATCTCTAGAGTTGTGTATATCTCTTCTTTCCCAGGCTAGCTACTTTTTCACTATCCTAAAAGATAGAGTCCAGGTCCCTCATTTTATAAGTGGGTAAATTGAGCCACAAAGAGATGAAGAGACCTGCATGTGGTCTCACAAGAAAGAAGCAGAAGTTGGTGGCCCAAGTGTTTTGGGCTTCTCAGGCCAGATCCCTTTGTTGAGTCTGTGGGCAGTGTTTCTGAAGGCCTTCTATTTTTATGGGATTTTGCTTCAGTTTTTTCACAGATGTCTTGAGCCCCCTAATGAATTTCTGCTAAACTAGTCCTAAGCACAATTACTCCTCTGTCCCATTCAGTCATGTTTCCCTTTGGTCATGGTCTCCCAGGGCTGTGAAAGTTCCCCCTACCTTCTGGAGAAGCCCATTTTTCAAAGATCCATAGAAGGCTCAGTACAGAAGTTGTGAGATGCTGGGTTAAGAACACCAAACCTGCCGGGTGCAGTGGCTCACGCCTGTAATCCCAGCACTTTGGGAGGCTGAGATGGGCGGATCACGAGGTCAGGAGTTTAAGACCAGCCCGGCCAACATGTTGAAACCCCGTCTCTACTGAAAATACAAAAATTAGCTGGGCATGGTGGCAGGTGCCTGTAATCCCAGCTACTCGGGAGGCTGAGGCAGGAGAATCATTTGAATCCAGGAGGTGGAGGTTGCAGTGAGACATGATCATGCCATTGCACTCCAGCCTGGGTGACAGGGCGAGACTCCATCTCAAAAACAAACAAACAAACACCAAACTATAACCAAAAACTCTGGGTGAAACACTAGCAGTCAGGCTACTCGAGAAACAAACACTTCAGATCCACCACTAATGAAGAGAACCTCAAGCCCCAAAGGCGCTTGGGAACCAGAAAGCACAAAGGGCCTTGATTCCAGTTGTTCTCTGGATGCCTGCAAGGGCTCTACCCAAACTCCGAGGGGCATCTCAGGACTCTCTTCAAAGACACTGGGCCAACAGAGGTGGGGTTTCTGCCACTGGAGGGAAGAGGAGGCAGGAAGAGGGAGTTCACGGGAAGGGGCAGCTATTAAGGAGCTGGCCTGGACTGGGCTGAAAGGCTCAGGAGGAGACACTCCAATGAAATAGGAGAGAGTGGTGGCCACAGCAGGGGACAGGGTCAGATTTGAGGGATTCAGGGGCTTGGGACAAAGCATCCTGGCCTCTCTAGATGGGGATGGAGATGGGATTAAGCCTGAATTCCTCCTAGGAGGAGTTGTAAGTGATTCAGTTTCAAATCTCTGGAGTGGTTTCTGGTAACACAAAGCTAAGAGCTGGAATGCCTTTCATCCTTACAATTTTTAAAATTTGGTAATGATACCAGAGCCACCAATCCTCTGTTCCTTACATCTGTATCTGCTGTTTAGTGGCAGAGCCATCCCAGGCAAAGGAGGAAGGTAAAGAAGACTGTAACTCCAAAATAGAGCCTTCTTGCAAAAGTAGGTCACCATGTGTGTTGCCTAGCACTGCGTGTGAGGGAACCGCCAAGCAGAGCTGGAAATAAGCTGCACAGAGATGTCTTTCTTTCACCCTCTCTCTCCCTCTGCTTCTCTCCTTCTCTCCAATTCTTCCTCTCCCTCTCCCTCTTTCCCTCTTTTTCACAGACAGACACACATGCACGCGTGCACACACACACACACACACACACTCTCTCTCTCTCCCTTTCTCTCCTTTTCTAACACACCAATATCTTTTAGGAGAACTTGAACACTGGTTCTGAGGAATGGAACTGAGGAAACAGAAAAAGTGGTAGTCACAAAAAATAAGAGCTGAGGTTCAGAAAGAGAAGGTTACAGAGAGTACAAGGACTTGTCCAATATGACACTGTTTGTCACTGGCAAACCTGGAGCTAGATTTCTCTGACTCTCAGTCCAAAATGGAGGACAGGAGAAAATGAGAGCTTCCTGGGAAATACTATAGTTAGATTAAAGAAACATCTTCCATAAGAAGGCATATAAGACACTGAGTTGGAACATTAAATAAAAGAAACTTATTTGTCTGAGATATTCATTCAGAGTAAAGCAGGGCAATAAATTTATATCACTCCCGAAGTCTTTTCAAACTTTAGGGATACTTCTCCAATGTTTAGAAACCTGCTGAATGTTGGCCGGGCACAGTGGCTCACACCTGTAATCCTAGCACTTTGGGAGGCCGAGGCAGGTGGATCACGAGGTCAGGAGATCAAGACCATCCTGGCTAACACGGTGAAACCCCATTTCTACTAAAAATACAAAAGAACTAGCTGGGCTTGGTGGTGGGCGCCTGTAGTCCCAGCTACTCAGGAGGCTGAGGCAGGAGAATGGCATGAACCTGGGAGGTGGAGCTTGCAGTGAGCCGAGATCGCACCACTGCACTCCAGCCTGGGCGACAGAGCAAGACTCCGTCTCAAAAAACAAACAAAAAACCTGCTGAATGTTTTCTAAAAGTGGCCCAAGGCTAGACCCTGGGTACAGGCCAGGCTCTAGGCCAATACATTTGATTTCATGTTGGTCAGAATTTGTGTTAGTCTGGGACCTCAGAGAAGTAGGCAATAAAATGGGATTGCATATGCAGGGATTTATTAAGAGAAATGACAGCAGATAGGGAGGAAGTCTGAGAAAGCTAGGGAAGACGTGAGACTGCAATGTAAGTCTGACCCTGAGTGAAAGAGAGGATGAGGGAAGGTTGGGTGGAAGCTTCCTAGTCTGCCCTGCACTCTAAGGAAGGTTTGGCAACACCATCATGGATTCATGAAACCAAGGTCAGTTGGTGGTCAGTTGGCAATCAGAGGATTTCTGTGTCTCCCAAGAACAGGCCCACCTTAGTATCTTGGCCATGTAGCAGGTGTGACCTCAGCACAAATGCTGGGACGATTTCAGAGTGCAGCAGCCAAGACCCTTGGTCAATTATGCTCCCCGTAGTTGGAAGTCTTCCAGGAACATTCTCATGGGTGCCACAGAACTCCATCTTTAGCTTCTACTGTATTACTTATTTTCTCAGATGCAGCTGCTTTCTCCATACCCACAGGGACCTTTAGTCTTTAAAAAGCAGAACAGAAGAGGACAGGGACCAGCAAGCCTCTGCTTGATGCATTGAAGTCAGACCACCTTGAGTCTTGGCTCTTTCCTTCCACGGCCCTGACATCCCAGTACTTGTTCTGTTATGGGCTAACATGCTCATGCCACCCATGCTAGTTGTTGACCAAAGTCATTATACTCCAGAAGCCCTTGCAGTTACCCTGAATGTATGGACCCTTATGTGCTCCAGACATTCCTTATCTTTTCTATCTTCTTAATCACCCGAGTCTGGAGAATGGCCAAGGAGGTGAGGTAGGAGTTGGAGAGAGTGTCAGATGCAATTGTTTTCTTCCAACAGTGGGTGTGACTATTGGGACTAGGATAGGAGAGGGAAAGGTTGGGAAACTAACATTTCTTGAGCACCTCCCCTTTATATACTTAACCTGCATTACTACACACAACTGCACTGATAGGTATTAAGTATACCTGCTTGATGACTGAGAAAACAGAATGTATCTAAGCCACTTGCCCACAGTCACACAGTTCTAAGTGGCAGAGCCCCAGTGGGGAGGGGGAACTCAAACTCTGTCCTTCAGTGAGTGTTTTGTCTTCCAAAACTCCAGGGACTGGCTGGGGTACAGTCTCTCCCTGCAAGATGTTTCCACTGGAGGCCACCACTAGTTGACATTTCTATCTGCTGACAGCCATGACTTCAACTCAACTCCAGCCCCTGGGGGGGCACTGGCCTCAGCCTCTTCTTCCCAGGATACCGCTCACCTTCTAGCCTTGATAGGAGGCAGTGAACACTTGTGAGATATATATATATATATGCTGAGGACCACCACACCCTGCTAAATAACATGGTTGATCAAGATCGGAGTCATGGCTCAGTTACAGGTAAACGCCAGAGCAGAGGTCTATAACTGGCTTAAGGGGATCCAGCTGGGCTTTCTGGGCACTCTAGTCCATCCACCACCCACTGCACTGAATAGAATAAGTTATTCTTTCACAACACTGGCCCAAAGGGATTTCTTTATTGCTCTAACTTTGATTTTACATTTTAAAGCCCACACAACACCAATCCAGGAGATTTAACAAGCAAATTCCTGAACACTGAGTCATAGATGGAAAGAGGTAGAGGGAAGATTAAAAATCTTACCAAGGGAGGGCATCAAACGACCACAAATACTGTATGATCTCACTTATGTGTAAAATCTAACAAAGTTGAACTCATAGAAGCAGAGTTTAGAATGGTGGTTACTGAAGGCTGGTGGTTGTGGGGAATGGGGAAATATTGGATAAAGGGTACAAAATTTCAGTTATGAAACAAGTTCTGGAGATCTAATGTACAGCATGGTGACTGTAGTTAATAGCAGTATATTATGTACTTGAAATTTGTTAAGTGTAAATCTTGCCAGGCACGGTGGCTCATGCCTGTAATCCCAGCACTTTGGGAGGCAGAGGCGGGTGGATCACCTGAGGTCGGGAGTTCAAGACCAGCCTGACCAACATGGAGAAACCCCGTCTCTACTAAAAATACAAAATTAGCCAGGTGTGGTGGTGCATGCCTGTAATCCCAGGTACTCGGGAGGCTGAGGCAGGAGAATCGCTTGAACCAAGGAGGTGGAGGTTGCAGTGAACTGAGATCACGCCATTGCACTCCAGCCTGGGCAACAAGAGCGAAACTCTGACTCAAAAAGAAAAAGTAAATCTTAAGTGTTTACGCCACACCAAAACAATACTAACTATTTGAGGTGATGGATGTGTTAATTAACTTGGTTGTGGTAAATTTCAGACTGTATATGTATATAAAATCATCACATTGTATAACTTAAATATATACAATTTTAATTGTCAATTATGCTCCAATAAAGCTAGGATGAGGGGGAGGCCACTTAAAAAAGCAAAGTGACTATATATTGCCAAACATTATTGATAATCCCTTCTAGCCTGATTATTTGAGGGCAGGTTTATGTAATGTGTTGAAGAGGATGTTTTGTTTCTTTAGTATCACTAATGTTTAGTTTTGTGGAATATTTCAGTGAATCCTATTTTCTGAAAAAAGAAAGACCACTGGTGGTGTGGAAAAAGATACACATCTGTACTTACTTATCCCTGGGCAAGTCAAGTTTATAAATTAACTATGGGCCCATAGCCAGCAAGACAAGAGGCAAAATGCTGAACAGCATTAGGGGTCCCGGTGCCCAGTGCCTCCCTTCTCTCTGCTTTGTGCTGGCTGTCCCTCAAAGTCTGGTTCTTGGGAAGCAAGCTCTATGTGTGGGAATGGCAAGTAGATGGAATGGAGGCTGGCGGGTGGTTCTAGATACTCAGTACAAGCCCCTCGGAAGGAGCCAAAGAAGAGACATTCCTTGTGTGTGTGTGTCTCCCCAAAAAGTCAGAAGCTGGGACAAATTGTTTGTGCCTACTGGAGGCAGGCAGTCTCCTCAGAGGCCTTCGTGATGGGTAAAGAAAAAGTAAAAAGTCTGGAAATAAAATACTTCTGATCTAGCATGAGGGGAAAGGCAATGACAAGAGGGTCAATGGAGCTCAAGGACAGCATTGGTGACCCTGAAATTCATACTTTCAGAATCCTACGTCCTCCACATACCAGGGTTTGGGGACCTACTGAGGTGCAGAGTGGCCCAAAGTCAATGGAGGCTGGGAAGTCTGCTTCACTGGGAGTCTGTCCTTTAGGTCTCCTCATAGACATGAGGCTAATTTTCTCCTGAGCAGTGATCCTTGATCTTGACTGTACATTAGAATCACCTAGAGAGCTTTTAAAAATATCACTCCATCATTGATGGACATGTATACATATGTAACAAACCTGCACATTGTGCACATGTACCCTAGAACTTAAAGTATAATAAAAAAAATCACTCCATTCCTCAGAGACAACGATTCGGTTGGTCTGGGGTGGGGCCAGGACATCAGTATTTTTTTAAGCTCCCCAGAGGATTTTGATGGGCTACTGGGGCTGAGAAATACCAGTAACAACTCAAGTGACTGAAATTGGTGGAGATAGAAGGATAGGAAGTAGAGAGAGATGGATACTATGGAAAGTGCACACTGGCCTATCAGCTGGGAGGGCCAGCTGGATTAGGGCCATTTCTGCCACTGCATTACTGTGTGACCCTAGTCACGTCCCTGTTTCTCTCTGAACCCTCATGTCTCTATCAGTATAACAAAGGAGTCAGACTTGATGGCCTGTAAGGGTCCTTCCAAGTACTTTAACATTCTAGAAATTTACCGGACAGAAGGGACCCGGTGGCTTTGCACAGACAAGGCTTGGCTAGCAGGGGAGTGCAAAGAGCATTTCTAACCCAGCTCACTAGCAAGGGCTGGTCCTAAGGAATTGTCTATGCAGATCCAAGATTGAAAGGCATGCAAACAGTCTTCAGTTTCTCCTCAATTTTGAGCCCATGAAGCAGGGGCAGTACCCAAAGGTAGGCTCTTTAGAATGCTGGCAGCATCACATGAGTTTATTATTATTCTTAGTAGTAGTAGTAGTGGTTGTTGTTGTTGTTGTTGTCGTTGCACAGGTGATAATAATCTTAATTTACATCCAGTTTTCCCATCCCATAATAATGACAGCTCAAGTGTGTCTGTAGCAGCATCCCATGGAGTTGAAATCACCTCAACTGCTCTCTTATTCATTCTTTTTATCTCCCCTGGGCAGATGAAGACCCAGGGAACTAAGGTAGAAAGGTACATGGAAACTCATATTTCAATTCACCATTTTCCAAGCTCGGGCCTGGCCAAGAATCTTGGCCCACACACTGGACTTTAAGAATGGCTAGCTGCCCAATCGCAAGGAAGCAAAATGTCTTCTCCCACCTTCAATCCAACTCTTAGCCTCCCTTCTCTGCACTTTCTTTTCCCCAGCCAGTGCCCTCCTGCCACCTGGCAGTTTCTTTATCTACTTCTTGTCTCTCCCTGATAGCCCTACTTATGAATTAGAACACAATCCATGAAATAATAATTTATTCGTGCAACAACCATAACTCACACATAATCAACTATAGTCAATTACCTAGACTGGGACTTCCTTGGGAAAGAGACCTTGCTTCTTCCTTCTCTTCAGTTCCCCACAGCCTAACACAACTGAGTGAACAGTGGGTGCCATTCAAAGAGGTCAGCTGGTTAATCTGATAAAGTTGCCTGAGCTAATCAATCAAGGATTCTAAGGGCCCAGAGCAGTAGCCAAATATTCATGGACTTTGTGAATAGGTATTTTGGAACACAGGTCCAAAGCCTTGTCTTGCCACTGCAGGCTCTCCTCTCTCTCCCACACACTATACTCCTGCACATACCACAGAACTACTACTGACTGCTCCCCACATGGCTGCCATGCCCAGATGTCTCCTCTTCAGATTTTTTTCTCCTCTGGCCTCTGACCATGCCCTCTATACCGGAAGCAAAATGTAGGAGGAGCCACACCCTACCTCCTCCACTACCCCTTACTCCACTTGAGCCCTCTCTGCCTAAAATGGCTGGATGGACACTTACCAAGGCTGACCCTATCCTGCACATTCTTCATTGCTTCTTCATGGACATCAGCAAGCCTTTCCTACCCACCCCAGCCAGAAGAGCTTCTAAATTCCTAAGGGTCTTTTGCTTCCCTCTCTTATGGCCTTTAGTATTTTCTACTTTATAGTTAATCCCCTAATGACCCTGAGACAGCTCACTTATATAATCTTACACTGTCACTTAACCTTTCAAACTTTAGTTACTCATCCATAAAACAGGGATGACAATCCCTGCTCTAACTTTCCCCGAGATAAAATATATGAAAGCGTATAGTATTTAATCATAATTATAGTTAATATTTATTGAGTGTTTATATGTGTCAGGGACTGTTTCAAGTACTTCAGATATATCAATTCATTTAAACACTAAGCAAACCTATGCAACACATACTATGTTATCCTGATTTTGAAGAAACTGAGACATACAGAGATTAAGTAATTTGCACAAGTACATGCAACTACTAAATTATAGAATTGTACATCTGAATTTGAACCCAGGCATTCTGGCTTTAGAGTGCCCACTTGTGTGAGTCAGCCATGCACCAACAATGCAGATAATAAGACATTTATATGTATTTTTTATAAGAATACATACACTTATACAAAACTAAATGTGAAGCAATACACAAGAAATACAGTTGAAATTTACAAATTCAGAGGATAGATCAATATGATCTAGAGCTACTGAATAAAGAATCATGGAGGATATAATGACTTAAGTTGGGCCATGAAAGACATTATGGCAAAGAGGGTATCATAAGTGAAGGCTTAGTGTAGTCAAAAGCCCAGCGGTAGAATTTTTTTTTTTATTTTAAGTTTTAGGGTACATGTGCACAACGTGCAGGTTTGTCATATATGTATACATGTGCCATGTTGGTGTGCTGCACCCATTAACTCGTCATTTAACATTAGGTATATCTCCTAATGCTATCCCTCCCCCCTCCCCGCACCCCACAACAGGCCCTGGTGTGTGATGTTCCCCTTCCTGTGTCCATGTGTTCTCATTGTTCAATTCCCACCTATGAGTGAGAACATGCCATGTTTGGTTTTTTGTCCTTGCGATAGTTTGCTGAGAATGATGATTTCCAGCTTCATCCATGTCCCTACAAAGGACATGAACTCATCATTTTTTATGGCTGCATAGTATTCCATGGTGTATATGTGCCACATTTTCTTAATCCAGTCTATCATTGTTGGACATTTGGGTTGGTTCCAAGTCTTTGCTATTGTGAATAGTGCCACAATAAACATACGTGTGCATGTGTCTTTATAGCAGCATGTTTTATAATCCTTTGGGTATATACCCAGTAATGGGATGGTGGGGTCAAATGGTATTTCTAGTTCTCGATCCCTGAGGAATTGCCACACTGACTTCCACAATGGTTGAACTAGTTTACAGTCTGCCCAGTGGTAGAATTATGTCTCGAGTACAGGAAAGAAAACAGTGAGGACACTGGCTTGGCTAGAATAGGGGCATCATGGTAGTCAGAAAAATAATAGATGAGCAATGAAAGGAATGGTCTGTCCCCAACAGGAAGAAATGATAAATGTTTGAGGTGATGGATACCTAATTACCCTGATTTGATCATTACACATTGTATGCATATATCAAAATATCACAAGTACCCCATAAGTATGTACAATTATTATGTATCAATAAAAAAATAGTTAAAAGCCAGGCACAGTGGCACACGCGTGTGGTCCCAGTTACTTGGGAAGCACGAGAAGATCACCTCGTGCCGACTGGGTGTCTGCACTAAGTTTGGAATCATTATGGTGACCTCCCAGGAGTGGGGAACCACTGGGTTGTCTAAGGTGGGGTGAACATGCCCAGGTCAGAAATGGAGCAGGTCAAAACTCCCATGCTAATCAATAATGGGATTGTGCCTATGAATAGCCACTGCACTCCAAGATGGGAAACATAGTGAGACCCTATTTCTAAATAAATAAATAAATAAAAAATAACAGTTTTTTTAAAGGAACAGTCTGAAAAAAAATAAATATGACCTTCTGAGAGAGAGCTACGTGGGGTTTAAATGCAGCTCCCTCTGAGCCAATGAAACCAGATTTAAATATGCATAGAGATGGTCATGGATGGGATGTGTAAATGCATTTTAAAAAGGTGAGTCAAGGTGAAAGGTAAACTCTAACAAAGATAAATGACAGTTTCTGTACTAGGATTAAAAAGCAACCTGCTGCCAGGCATGTTGGCTCACGCCCGTAATCTCAGCACTTTGGGAGGCTGAGGTGGGTGGATCACTTGAGGTCAGGAATTCGAGACCAGCCTGGTCAACATAGCGACACCCCGTCTCTACCAAAAATTTAAAAATTAGCCAGGCGTGGCACCTGTAATCCCAGCTACTCGGGAGGCTGAGGCGGGAGAATAGCTTGAACCCAGGAGGCGGAAGTGAGCCAAGATCGTACCACTGCACTCCAGCCTGGGTGGCAGAGCGAGACCCTGTCTAAAAAAAAAAAAAAGCAACCTGCACAGCAGTAGGATAAGGGAGTAAGGGAGCTAGGGCTTAGCAGTGACATGTGTGAGAGATACCTAGGAGTTTTAGGCAACTGTAAGTTCAATGAGTACCAAGTTGTGAGATTCTACCTTATTGGAAATCTTGAACTGAATTGTTCAAAATGTACTTGGTCAGAACAAATGAGGAGATAGTCATGTTTTCCTCTGCTCTGAGTAGGCTATACCTTGAAGGGCTGCTGAGGTTCTGGGGCTCCATACTTTAGAACCAACTTGACTGTGTCCAGAGGAGAGTGAACTGTAGGCTGAGGACAATTGAAACTATGTCAGTGACCGTCAGTGAAGGACGACCTGTGTATATTTATATATCTGTGTATAGCTATATATGCAATAATGTATATGTATACATCACATATGTGTCGTGATGTAAAATGTACACATATATAACTGATATATATTTAAAACTATATATATAATCTTTATATATACCTCAAGCAAATTTCACAAAACTAATTATCCCTACTCTGCGTGACAAACTCTGAAATTTTCTAGTGCATATTATTTTTAAAATGCTTATTGTGACCTTCTAAATTAATTTCATGGGTTATAATGGACATTTTGGAAAACATTTTACTAGATAACCTTTGAGGTCCCCACATGCTCTAGGCCTTCACCCTTCTGTGTTGCTCACTGCTCACTCTCTGATTCAACAGGTACCTGAGCCTTTGGCATCTCTCTGCTTCTCTTTCCTAGAACGGGAACGGACAAGACTATTCCCAGCAGGATGAGAGGGAAGGCCTGCCATATTCCAGGCCACTTCCCAAATCCACCCTGCTGAGAGTGTGGTGGTAATGCTCCAAGGAAGAGAGTACACTGGCAATTGGAAGTGTGGTGGAAACTGGCTGACCCAGCCTCCATGCATGTCCAGTCTGGAGGGCGCCTTGGGGGCTTGCCAACTCTATTATCATCATTTCCCTATGATCCAAAGGGGTCAAGGACCAACCTACTGCTAGTAATTTAGCTCGTATTGTGCTCTGATAGCGGACAGTCATTGAACTTTTCCCTTCTCGAAATAGAGGGCTTCTTTGGCTCTTAACTATAGGATCCTCTAAGCCCCTTATTAATGGTAGCACATCCCTTCTGTTTCTGACAGCATGACATATT
Source organism: Homo sapiens (assembly GCF_000001405.40). Lineage (NCBI taxonomy): Eukaryota > Metazoa > Chordata > Mammalia > Primates > Hominidae > Homo > Homo sapiens. The sequence continues at coordinate 74,451,896 of NC_000023.11, read as the reverse complement.
TAAGTCCAGGCTCATTCCCTCCTATTTATAACACCAGGAAGGTTCAAGTATGCCAAAAGCATCTGATCAGTGTGGCACATTTGCTGTCACATTCTTCTATAAGACATTTGTCCCATGACAGGTGGGGGGACCCCCCAAGGGATGACATTTCAATGCAAATAGGCACATCACTATAAGCAATTTTCCCTCATGTACACACTTCCTTCTTGATCTATTTTTGAGCTATTGGGTCCTGAGGATCCAAAGGGTTCACCCTACTTCATAGTTCATGGCCCATCACTAACTATCAATTTTCCGTGTCACTTTATGGCCAAGCCTACTGAGGTTTAGCCACTTTACAGTCATTTGTTCCTTGCCTGGAATAAAACATTGAAAGTAACCACAGGGGATTCATTGGAAAAGTGCACTTGCAAGTCTGAATAATCTCACACAGTCAGAGAAAAAACATCAGAACTGGAACAAACCTCAAAGATTGTCTAGCCTAAATCTGATGTTTGATCATGGAGCCTAACTGTATGTGTCAAGGAGGAGGGAGGTATGAGTAACCAGCTTCTCAAAGTATTAAACACATGCTTTAGGCTTCATACATTCTTTGTCTGATAAATATGCTTTGCCTTTCCTCAAACAGCACTTCCCCTCTGAAATTCACCACATACTCACATAGTCATTGCCCAATCCCAGCTTCAGCCTGACTCATCACACTAAAAGAACACATACGAAACAAACCACCTTTCTACTGGTTACATATTTTGAATCAGAGAATAAAAGATTTCCAATATTGGAGGTCTCTTAAATGTCATTTTAAGTTTTTTTAAAAAGTGTTTAAAGTTCATGTGTTTTACCCACAGATCCCCATGGAAACCCAATTCAGAGAGACAAAAAGGGAAAGGCCCACTAAGAGAGACTCTACCTTTTCTGGTTTTCTGCCTAGTTCCCTTTAATCCCAGGCAGGTTGGTCTGTGTATATTTTTATGGCTGCATAAGACTTTTAAAATCAAGACCTATGTGCTTATAACAGTGGACAAGAATTTTGTTCTGCAATGACCAGGACTCCCAGATCTCCAACAGCTTACTGACTCCAACCACTACCAGAGCCAAGGGGATATTGTCTGGTCAACATACTTCTCATGGGACATCAAAGACAAGGCAGAGGAGGCAAGGAGCGGAGGACCTTGAATGTTGTGCCTTTGTGTCATAGGAGTGAGACCTAATCAGCAATCCCCATTGGCATAATGGGAAGCAGTGGCTTCTCTGATATTGGCTTGGTCCAAAACCCCAAGTTATATTCTTTTCCCTATCAGCATGATCCCAATACTATCTGATGACTAGATGGAAGTTTCTTTTACTTCTTTGGGTGGGGCGGGGCAGAGCAGGGGTGGTGGCGGCAAGTGGTATTTGGTACAAGAGTACGGATCACAGAATTATGAACTCCCAGAAATGGAAGACCCCTAAAAGATCACTGAGTTCAGTGCAAAATTCTACAGAGGAAGAGACTTAGACCCAAAGAGAGGAACATGCTCAAGGTCACAAGATGGATTAGTGGCTGATCCAGGTCTCCTGACTCAGCTAGCATTATTTCCTTTAGCTTTTAGGTATGTTTAGTCTTCATCTGTTCGGCCATTATTCATTCAACAAATATTTATTGAGCATCTATTATGTGCCAGCCAGCCCTTGTGCTAGGCCCTGGGGCATATAATGGGGGTGGAGGGTCCATAATTTCTCAATAGAAAGGGCTTAGGGAAAGCAATTTGGTTGGAAGGAGGTGACTAAAGGACTTGCCTTGATGCTTGCTAGCATAGCAAGTGCATGAGTTTTGCTTAAATTATCTATTTATTAGTCATGGCTTTGAGCGATGCTAAAATTCCCCAAGCTAGCCTTGTTGCTGTCACTAGTGGTGGAGGAAGGATGGACCATCCTGGTCGTCTATAGTGCCCTGTTGCAAGACAAAGATCATCCCATTATCCATAGGGGATTTTGAGGGAGGTGGGAGGGAAGAAGTGAAGGAAGCTTGTTGATGGGAGAAGGGTTAGGCAGAGGAGAAATTCCCAGAGTAAAACAGCTGCCAAACTTAAAAGAGTTCCTCACAACCAGGATGAATCAAGGCCTTTACAGTTAGAGAAACCACAGCCTGTTGGCACTGAGCCAGTGCCAGCAGGTAACCTACTTAGAGGGGTGTGTGGCTAAAGGAGTCAATGCACTGAGAAGTCGCACAGATGCTGCAGAGCTGAACAAGAGAGGACCAGGGAGGAGACCCTGAAAAACAGAGTTAGTTACATTGTCAGGCACCCACATCCAGTGGGAAAAGCAGTCTTCAATTGCATCTGACTGCCTTTGAGAAGTTGACATAACCAGAGTACAGTGGATCCAGGCTGTGTTGAGATGTTATCAGCACAAAGCCAACACAGCAGGGTGCAAATATATTATGCAAGTTACTTTGGAGGTTATATCTTGAGCCTTTGGGGCTAACAACATATGTTTTCCAAGAGTGGACTCAAGATATGCGATGAATGAAGGCAGGGAATGAGCATCACTCATTAGATACCCACCCCTGACCCTCCAGCTTGGCTCTTAAATTAGCATCACTCAATTAGAACAGAAAGGTTGTGAGTCCAAGCTACTCATTGCACAGGTGCAGAAATGGAGGCTTAGAGGAGTAAGGGCCTAGTCCACAGTCACACAGCAAATGAACATGACAGTGGTAAGGTTAGAACCCAGGTCTAATGACAGTCTGTGCTTCATTCATACTTCCCTCCCCAGTTTGGCACGAGCTCATCTTAACGCACAAAAATGCAAACTACTGAATGGTTAGTCCTGCCTTGCCTTCCACAGCCATCTTTTTATTCTACTTCCTATCCTGGCTCCAAGAACAGAAGACCAAGGCCCCAGACAGCCCTGCACAATTGGGCAGGGTGAAACACAGTGCTATGAGAGTGATAAGCACAGCTAAAGATGCGGGCATGAAGGAACAACTCTCAGGGGCTGTCTCAATGCTGGGTAACTGACATTTGAGGCATTTTTCAAAGCATGTCATTATCGCTGCACGTAAGGCTGCTGTCAGTGATAGTAATGGGAATGACGCCCAAATTCCCCTGAGATCAACACTCAGCCCCAGCCCAAGCTTCAGGTAACCTGGTGCCACTGGACATTCCAGCTCCCTCGGCACAAGAACTGGCCTCCATATTTCACATACTTCAAACTTTGCAGCCTGCCTTGCTTTTTGAAGGAAGGGGGACACCAACTCCTGCCCCAACCCATGGTCCCTGGAAACAGAGGCATAGGGTCTAAGAATGTATACCTGCCTAGTAAGTTGGGAGCCTAGCTTTAAGGATCAAGCTCAAGGACTTGGAGACCTCAGAGATGGATCTGACATGGTCCTACCATCAAAGTACTCACAGTTCTAGAGACATGGAAGGACAAGTAATTGATCAGAAAGGGTGAGAGAACATAATATTAGGTGTTCTATGCAAAGAGGAGATGATGAGAAGCAAGGCAGACATGCTCTGCCCTTACTTTCCCATCTGGCCACTTTGCTGTAGGCTCCTGCCCCTCTGAGCCTGGTTTCCTCATCCAAAAAAAAAAAAAAAAAAAAAAAAATCCAAAGGATTCAACCAGACAAATAGTTCCCAAACCTGTCCTATTATGAGAATCACCTGATAAGATTGTTTAAAATACAGACTTTGGGGCCTTACCTCAGAAATTCTGATTCAGTAGGTTTCATGAGCCCCAGGGAAGGTATATGTTCAACATACTCCTTACATGATTTTGATAGTCAGCTAGGGTTGGGAACCGTTGGGATGGATGACTGCTGAGAACTTTCTAGCCCTGTATGGCAGGTTTGGACCAAGTACTTTATCATAACAATGTCACTGTCACTGTCCAAAAGGTTTTTTTGTGTTTTTGTTTGCTTGTTTGAGACAGAGTCTCACTCTGTCGCCCAGGCTGGAGTGCAGTGGAGGGATCTCAGCTCACTGCAACCTCCGCCTCCCAGGTTCAAGTGATTCTCCCACCTCAGCCTTCTAAGTAGCTGGAATTACAGGCATGCACCATCATGTCTGGCTAATTTTTGCATTTTTAGTAGAGACGGGGTTTTGTCATGTTGACTGTTGACTAGGGTGTTCTTGAACTTCTGGCCTCAAGAAATCCACCCGCCTCAGCTTTCCAGAGTGCTGGGATTGCAGGCATGAGCCACTGTGCTCGGCCTTTTTTTTTTTTTAAATACATAGAAACAGGTTCTCACTCTGTTGCCCAGGCTGGAGTGCAGTGGTGAGTTCATAGCTCACTACAACCTTGAATTCCTGGGCTCAAGTGATCCTCTCACCCCAGCCTCCTGAGTAGCTAGGACTACAGTGTGCGAGCCACCATGCCTGGCTACTTTTTAAATTTTTTTGTAGAGACAGGGTCTCGCTATATTGTCCAGGCTGGTCTTGAACTCCTGGCCTCAAGTGATCCTCCCACCTCAGCCTCCCAAAGTGTTGGGATTACGGGTATGAACCACTACACCAGGCCCCCAGAAAGCTTTTTATCATGCAACTCCCTTCATATGACTTACGTCTGGGTACTTTTTTCACACAGGGAGTTAGTGGGCCTCTGTGAAAACTCACAAAGATTGAAATTGACCATGTGTTCAGACCCAAAGAACATACTTAATGTCTCTTGAATATTGGACAAACTTTTATTTGAATAAGTCAATAACTTAATAACCTTATTTAGGAAGAGAAGGGCAAAAGCCTATTGAGGGGTGGCAAAAGGAAAGATATTCAATTACATGTTGGGGCAGGACAGGGTGGGGAGGAATGCATTCTCTGTTGCAAACAAGTAACTCCGTCATTCTGTCATCCTCACCTTCACCCAGGCCTTAGGCCAAAATCTGAACTTCCCACAGTAAGAAAATAGAGACCTTCATCTGTCTGGCATGGCTGGAGGCAGGAGGTTGAACCTAAAGGCTTAGGGAGAACTGTATCTGTCACAGTGCTTTAGAATCCTAAGTTGAGAAGTTCTTTCTTTTGGCTTAATTTTCTTCTGCTGCAAGTTTACCTCATCAGTACTCTGGTCTTTGCATAAGAGGTAGGTAAGCTTAAATTATTGAACCCTGGATAATTATGTGGCAGAATCTACTGGAACTCAGGATTCTATCTGCCTGACCTATCCAAAGATGGCAGTGGGCTAGCAAGAGAGGAGTCTGTTCACCTTGCCAGCTTTTCTCATGAAGGGGAATAAAGCAGAGAATTTTGGTTTGTTTGTTTGGTTGTTTTGTTTGTTTGTTTGTTTGTTTGTTTTGAAACAGGGTCTTACTCTGTCACCCAGGCTAGAGTGCAGTGGTATGATCATGGCTCACTGCAGCCTCAATCTCCCAGCTCAAGAGATCTTTCCACCTCAGCCTCCTAAGTAGGTGGAACTACAGGCGTGTGCCACCACACCTGGCTAATTTTTGTATTTTTTTGCAGAGATGGGGTTTCGCCATGTTGCCCAGGCTGGTCTCAAACTACTGGGCTCAACCCTCAGCTTCCCAAAGTCCTAGGATTACACATGTGAGCAACCGCGCCCAGCCTTAAAGCAGAGAATTGACTTAGGTAAGTGGGAGTGGGAAAGCCAGGCTTCCCAGGGAAGGACAGGACCAATGTGTGAGAAATTTATCCTGCCCAGTTGCACCTGGAGCACAGATGAGGCAGACCATGCTTTGGGAATTCTAGACTTGGACAGAGGATCAGTGAGAGTGTGGCTCTACCCTGGAGCTCAGAAATCTGATTGGTCCCAGGGGAAGAGGAGGGGGCAAAAAAATCTTGGCACCCGCAACTAGCATCAGAGTCTGTGGACAGGGCAAGGAAGTGGGAGAGTCATTTGCCAGGTGTCTAGAGGCAAAGTGAAGCTTGGAGGCTTCCTGTGGGATTTCTTAGGCAGAGGGGCATGGTTAGCAGTCAAAGGAAAAGCTAAAAATCTGACCTTGGTTGCTAAGAACAATGATGTCAGAAAACAAACCCAAACACAAAGCACCTTTAAAGCAGCCTTGCAAATAAGGCCTGAGAAGTCAGCAGTGGATCCTGGCTTTGCCCAGCATGCCTGGAGTGAGAGGCATGAACCACTTGGCCCCTCTTGCCCACAATGCCTTCCCCAAAACAAGCTCATGTTCTCCCACTCCTGGCCCTCATTTCATTTCAATACAAAGTTATCAAGCACTGACTATGTATAGTGCATTGTGTTAGGTGCTAGAATCACTATGTCTCTCCTTATGAAGCATTATACTCAATTGTTAGCTCTAACAGTAAGAGCTAACAATTGAGTATAATGCTTCATAAGGAGAGATATAGTGGTTTATAATCAAGGTAGATCTGTCATGGTCTACCTTGATTCAAGTATGGCATGAGTGTATGTATGTCTGCTCATACAGACATAAGACATACAGACATGAGACATCGTTCTCTATCTCCCCTTGACCCTCTCCTATCATAGCATCTAGCAAAATGTGCTATATATAGTGAAATGAAATAAGTCTTCTTGCAGGAACACAAGCCGAATAGAGAAGGAGGCAGAAAGGTAGTGCACAGTCAGTATCTTTTTGATCCATTGCTTAATTTTTATTAGGCTTGCTGCCTGGTTTTATTTGATTCGTGGAGACTGATGGTTATCTTAATAGCGAATCCAGATCCCTTGCCTCTCATATGCTTCCAGAAAAACTTCCTACCCACCTCAATGCATGCACACATGTGCAAGCACACACACACACACGCAACTTAGAACTTGCCACTTATTATTTATGTGCCCTTTACTTCACTTCTCTGCGTCTCAATTTCCTTATCTGCAATAATGGGCTAATAATAATATCCAGAGACAAGCTGCAACTTCCCAAATAGATCTCTCTTATGGTTTGCATTGATTTGAGGTTGTCACCGCTCCTGTGGGTGTGATGACAAGGTCTTTCTGTGCAGAAAAGCCCAGCTACATTTGTCCATGGAAGAGGAAAGAGGACCCTGTGAGAATCCTGTGTGATTCCCTGTCATGGACATAGACATTACAGAAGCAGATGATCACCTCGTCTTTACAGCAAACAGTGGAGGTGGACAGGATATAAGCTAGGCTGGGCAAATTTGCATTATTGTGTATATGGAAGGGCAGTCAGGCAGCAGGGAATATTAACAATAACAACTCCTCCTTTTTGAACAGTACTTTAGGGCTCGCCAAGTATTTCCAGGTCATTCTCTCATTTGATCTTCAAAACAAGCAACAGAAATCTCCTAGATGTTTTTTCCATATATTTTTCCCATTTAACCCTGTGTCAAACTTTAAAAAACAGGCTGGTCTTTACAAATGAGGGAACTGAGGTTCAGGGCAGTAAAGCACCTTTCCCAAAGTCAGGGAGGGAGGGAGATAGTGGTAAAATTTGCAGATAGTGGTAGAACCCAAGCTTTCGGATTCCTTGTGGCATGCTGCTTCCCCTGTAACAAATAACAAGGGTAAATGAGTCAGGGGCAGAATATGGTGCCAGGACAGCCAGGATTGAAGAGGGAGGGAGATATTGGTAAAATTTGCAGATAGTGGTAGAACCCAAGCTTTCGGATTCCTTGTGGCATGCTCCTTCCCCTGTAACAAATAACAAGGGTAGAGGAGTCAGGGGCAGGATATGGTGCCAGGACAGCCAGGATTGAAGAGGGAGGCAGTATGGAGAGGGAATACAGAGAGCATGAGGATAAGAGAAGATGAAGAATGAGTGGTTTTTGTATCTGAACCACAGCCCCTTCCCCATATTAATTTTCTAAGTGCTACTCAGGGGTCTCCCAGGGAAACTCCTTTCCCTCAGATGTTGCCTCCACAAGCAACTTAGCTTATTCCAGACCCTGAGCAGTGCTCTGCTGGAGCCAGCCTAATACCACCACCTCCTCCTGCCCCTGCCCCCAGACACACATGCACACACATACACACCTGGTACCAGACTGTGGATAATATTACTCTGTGAGCCAAACTGCCTTCCTCTTCTGCTCAAGATGCAGAAGGGGATAGAAAATCCATCAGCAGCTTCCAAGAGGAAAAGGTATGATGGGGCGGGCAGGGAAGGAAATATTCATCTCAGCCCACCCAGGAAGGCTGTGGACAATGCAGAATCAAGGTTAGCCTCTGTCTGCAACTCCTCCTAGCTGTATCATGCACTCAGAGAAGGACGCACACAAACACAGGCACAATCACACAAGGAATGGAGTGGCTTCCCTGAGCCCATTTTGCAGGAATTTCTTATTTGCCAATTTAAAGAGATATTTCCTGTTTTTCTCAGGAGGCGGAGAGTTACAGGGCCCAGGCCTAGAACCCAGAGCACCTTCTGGATACTGTTACAGAAAGTACCTCACCTGAGACCTGGAGCCAGGAGTGAGGCAGCTGAGTCAGAGCCCCGGGCCAACTCAGCCCGAGCTGACTGGGGGTCACTCACCCACTCTTTTTCTGCACCACACATGGAGAGAGCCTAGTGGGGAGGAGAGAATGGCAGATTACAGCCAAGGGACCCGAGGCTGCTCGAGTTCATGGGGAAGGATTACCATAGAGTTGCTGACCTCTGGAATGTCAAAGCTGGAAGGGGCCTTAGGAATCATCTAGATATGGAATCAGATATCCACAGAGGAGCAGGGAAGAGATGACCCTCGGCTTGAGAGTCACAGGTCTGTAGTTGAATCCTGGATCTACTGTGAATACTAGCACTTGACCTTGGATGAGTCACTTAACATTTCTGTTCCTCAATACTCTAATGTGTGAAAAAAAAGGGAGGAATATCCCCTCATAAAGCTATTTTGAGGCCTAAGTGAGATAACCCATGGAAACATTTTAGCATAATGTCTAGCATGCAGTAGGTTCTCAATAATTTCTTTTTGTCAAGCAGAGTTAAGACTGAATTCTCACTTCCCCACTCCTAGCTGTTTTACTTTGAGCAAGCCACTTCACCTCTTGGAGTGTCATTTTTTTTGGACGAAGTCTCCCTCTATTGCCCAGGATGGAGTGCAGTGGCACAATCTCGGCTCACTGCAACCTCCGCCTCCTGGGTTCAAGTGATTCTCCTGCCTCAGCCTCCCGAATAGCTGGGACTACATGCGTGTGCCACCAGGCCTGGCTAATTTTTTTGTATTTTTAGTAGAGATGGGCTTTCACCATATTGGCCAGGCTGGTCTTAAATTCCCGACCTCATGATCCACCCGCCTTGGCCTCCCAAAGTGCTGGGATTACAGGCGTGAGCCACTGCGCCTGGACCTCTTGGAGGGTCTTAATGGGACTAATCCTACTTCACAGGGCTATTGTAAGGATTCAATGAAATAATTAATACTTGTAAAAGTCTAACATCATGTTAGGTACATAGTAAATGCTCAATAAATATTGGCTGAACCTGAACTGGTTTATCACTAGGACATGAGACCTGGACTGTTTTCTCAGAGCTATGCTGCAGCATCCCACACTCTTTTGTCTCATCTTTTGTGTGACTGGTCAGACAAATGGGTACAGCCCAAACAGAGGTTCAAGCAAGATGAATTTGTTCAGATGAGAAAAGAACAGTGGTTTTGGATTTTAGCTTCATTAGCAATGGGCTACCCTAACTTGCATGACCAATTCCTCGGCCAACGCTAATGAGACTAATGGCTGACACCCACCCTTCTCCTGGGGGCACAAATTCCCATTTCTTTTTTTTTTTTTTTTTTTTTGAGACGGAGTTTCAGTCTTGTTGCTCAGGCTGGAGTGCAATGGCGTGATCTCGGCTCACGGCAACCTCTGCCTCCTGGGTTCAAGCGATTCTCCTGCCTCAGCCTCCCGAGTAGCTGGGATTACAGGAATGCGCCACCACGTCTGGCTAATTTTGTGTTTCTAGTAGAGACGGGGTTCCTCCATGTTGGTCAGGCTGGTCTTCAACTCCCAACCTCAGGTGATCCACCCGCCTCGGCCTCCCAAAGTGCTGAGATTACAGGCATAAGCCATGGCACCCGGCTGCAAATTCCCATTTCAACAGCCAGTCCTGACACTCCTGGGGCATCTCTAGCCATTTCCCCTGCCCCAGAACCTGAAGTGATAAGGGCAGGTACAGGAAGGTCAGAGACTGGGGGTGAGGGGGAGGCTTTCCTGTCTCTTATTGCCCAGTCTGGGGACACTTTCAGCTTATGTCTGGCCTACATCCTGTGAAGGCCTCTAGTGGATCTCTAATAGAGATCAAGGTTTGTCTCCAAGGCAAACCACATCTCTAGGTGGTGGGGTTGGAGAGGTGGGAAGTTGAACATATTCAAAGCCCTGGAAAGTTTCCACTGTTGGACATGGTCCTTCAGGGAGACAGGTCTGGTGGATCAGCCATTTGTCAAATCTCCTTCTGCTCAAGTCTAGGCCTACAGACACCTCAAGCTTACTCTTAGGCAGCTCCCTCAACCCACCTTGACAAGCACCCATTGTTTGCAGAAACCTTAAATAAATACTGGGCTTTTATTCCAATGCATGGATTAGCAGCTGGTTCCCAATCAGGATTATTGTGACTGCTGCTAGTATACTCTCAATCACTGCCAAGCAAATTGTAAAAGTGTGTAGGTCTCTGCCTGGTGCGGTGGCTCATGCCTGTATTCCCAGCACTTTGGGAGGCCAAGGCAGGTGGATTACCTTGAGGTCAGGAGTTCGAGACCAGCCTGGCCAACATGGTGAAACCCCGTCTCTACTAAAAATACAAAAATTAGCTGGGCATGGTGGTGGACGCCTGTAATCCCAGCTATTCGGGAGGCTGAGGCAGGAGAATGGCGTGAACCGGGGAGGCGGAGCTTGCCGTGAGCCGAGATCGTGTCACTGCACTCTAGCCTGGGCGACAGAGACAGACTCCGTCTAAAAAAAAAAAAATCCAGGAGGCGGAGCTTGCAGTGAGCCGAGATGGCGCCACTGCACTCCAGCCTGGGCGACAGAGACAGACTCCCTCTCACAAAAAACAAAGTGTGTAGGTCTCGTTACACATGCCTTTTTCCTCACGTGTAAAATAAAGTGGTCGTCTATGTGATTGCTCCTTGAAAGTTAAGGAGTTCACAACTCAGTGAACCAGAGGTCAGACCTGACTCTACCCTATCCATGCTCATGCATGCGCGTGCACACACACACACACACACACCCTCATTTATTCTTACCACATCCGTGTTCACGTCCACACACATCCACACCTACATGCATGCCCATAGTTACACACAGTTGGATATACTTAAAATTCCACTCACACACATACATACTTTCCACAGCTTTGACACAAACACATACACACAATACACAAAACCACACACCACAATTGACTCTCTCTCTCTTCTCTTCTGAAGTTGACCAGGAAATAAACACGCTTGGCTAAGAGCTCCATTACATATTTATGTACAGCAGCAAAAAAAAAAAAAAAAAAAAAGGAATTTATATTCAGAGTAAACAATCTCCAGTCCCAAGGCTGAAAAGGCTGAATAATCTCCCTGCCCTACTCTCTACTGCCCAAACCAACACACACACACATACACACACACAAACAAAACAGAACACATACACACCTTTTTTAAAGACATCTTGTGAGGAGCCCTTATAGTTTGCCCTTTCCCGGCAAGCTGGAGCGATTTGTTCTAAACTTACAATGAACACACATCTTGGTTTTCCTGGGACAATTCTAGTTTATGCCTGTGGTTCCAACAAAAATGTTAATAGAGTTCTCTTTCACCCTCAAAAGTGTCCCAATTTGGACAATAAATGATATGATAACCCTACTCCCTCTCTAAAACCCTCCTCACCCTGGTCATGGCTGGGCCACCTAAGATGAGCCCATTACATAAAGCCCAGGCCTCTCTCTTCCTGAGAAACCATCTTGCTCTCCTCTAACCATGCTTAACTCTTCAACTCTATCACTAGGAATTCTTTTTTGTTCCAACCTTGCAAATAAGCAAAACAATTTTCTAGCCTACATTCTAGTGATTGAGGGGAGGCTGAAGGACTCTGCCATTTGATTTGAGAAGTTATCCAGCCACCAAAATTCTAGTTGGCCTCAAAGTGGGCGTAACTTTTCTCCTTTTTGTCTCACCTCATTTAATTCCCCAACTATGTTCCTCTTGCTTATAAACCTCAATACCCTCACTTTTCCCTCTTCTTTCCCTCTTCCTCCTCCCTGTCTCTCCAAAACCTTAGGCTCTAATGACCCCAGGACCTCTTTGAAGCAAATATACTTCATGGTACCACCCCCCACTCCCCCACCACACATACCCTAGGCTTAGAGATCCTTAGAATAAAAAGCAGTGGCAAAGAGAGGGCAGGAAGGGAAAAGAGAGAGAGAGAAAGCGCAAGAGTGAGGCTGGGTGTGGTGGGTGACACCTGTAATCCCAACACTTTGGGAGGTTGAGGCAGGAGGATCACTTGAGCCTAAGAGTTTGAGACCAGTGAGACCTCATCTCTACAAAAAAAAAAAAAAAAAATTAGCCGGGCCTGGTGGTGCATGTCTGTAGTCCCAGCTACACAAGGAGGCTGAGGTGGAAGAATCACCTGAGCCCAGGTGATCAAGGCTGCAGTGAACCATGATCACACCTCTGCACTCCAGCCTGGGCAACAGAGTGAGGCCCTGTCTCAAAAAAAAAAGAAAGAAAGGAAGAAAGGAAGGAAGGAAGGAAGGGAGGGAGGAAGGAAGGGAGAGAGAAAGAGAGAAGAAAGAAAGAAAGAAAGAGAGAGAGAGAGAAAGGAAGGAAGGAAGAAAGAAAGAAAGAAAGAAAAAGAAAGAAAGAAAGAAAGAAAGAAAGAGTTGAGCAAGCCAGAGAGAGAGAGAGAATGAGAGGGAGAGAGAGAGTTTGATTCAACTTCAACTTCATTTAGGCTCTGTGACTAATTTTCATTAGGCACGCTGCCCAATTTCTTTTAGCTTTGGGGCATATGGGCCAGTGACTATTTTTGTGGCTGGATTAACTACGTTTTGAAAAAAGTCTGAAAATGCTGTCAGCTCTTTGCAAACATGGCTATAAATATGCTGTGCAGGCTAGAGTCGTAGTGCTATTCAAAGAGCAACTGGACAAGGATCCATGTTCTCCAGACATGTGTATGTCACATACTGCAGCTTGAATTTTTGCAGCAGCTGTGCTACTCTGCAAACAAGGTGGAGACAGAGAAGAAGCCTCAGCAAGGGCAAAAGGGACATTATCAGTATCAAGTGGAGGAATTTACAAACAGGGCCTTTGTCAGACCCCCGGAAAACTGGATTATCTAGGCAGAAACTGAAGGGTATGGTATGCTCACCTGTACAGCTATGAGGCTATAGATGTACACACATATGCATGCACACACTTACAGAGATACATATACATTTGCTTGTGTGGGTGTACGTGTGTGAGAGAAGGAGAAAGTATATCCATGTGGATAAATGTGTATGTGTATGCACTTTTAATTGTCTGTGTCATGAGTTCAGGCTTAAGATCAGATGTATGTGTAGTTTTGTACATATAAGTGGTTGCTTATACACGTGTGCATCATGGGTGGTATATCAATCTGGCTATACGTGCATAAGCACATGTGCAAGTCTATAGATAAACTTATGTATGTGGTAATCATGATGATAATGCAAAGCTGTTTTCAAAGGGCTTTCACATCCATCTTTTCATTTGAACCTTATCGTAAGACTGTGAGGTAGGGATTATGATGCTCCCACTGCCCCTTTTTTACAGATAGGGAGTGAAGCTCAGACTTGGTCAAGATTGCAGATCAGGTAAATGGCAAATCCAGGACTCTAACACTGGTCTGTCTGTTATAAGATCCTGTGCCTTACCCTATACTACAAAGCATGTGGAAAAGTGAGGCAAAGGAGAGTTGAACTTTGGGGTCTTCTTTGTGACTTCCCACTCCAAGGCTATCTTTTCCTTTAGTGCTAAAAACAGATTCCATTTTTAAAAAGAGAGCCTCAAGGCAAATGTTAGTCTCTGTTGAGCTATGGCCTGGAAAGTAGCCTTTAGGTTGGGTGGTCTTACGTGGAGATAATAAGCAGATCCACTCATGGGACACAGATGAGCCATTGCCTTCTTGAGCAAGTGATATGCTGGAGCCCATAGGTGTGTGATGAGGGTGGGGGTCCTGTGATTAGGAGCTGGAACAATAGGTTTTTTACCTCCCTATTCTCTCTTCTTGCTGCCTGTGGATCTATCTGTCTTCTCTTCCTAAAAGCTGCAGTTTCTCAACATCTGGTCTGACCGGTTTCACCTGAGCTTTCCATGTTTGAGATATTCTGTGAGGAAGGCAGCAAATAAACCTGTCTGGAGTCCTGCTGACCTCCGTTATCCAGGCCACCAGGTCCCTGCAGCTGTTTGGCCAGATCTAAGGAAACCTTGCTTTTGGCTAGTTTTTCCATAGGCAAAATATCTAGGGTAAGGCAAAAAACACTGGCTCTTGGAACATAAAACTGTGCTGTTCACCATTTGGATGGTTAGAACCTGGCCAAGATGTGTAGGGTAATGAAGATACTGATAGTGACTCCAAGTTTTCCGGGAACACTGAACTGAAGTCCTTGAACAAGTTAGGGTTCAGGGAAGGAGCTTGATCTCCTCGTCATGTGGAGGCAAAAGAGCCTCACACATTCCTCTTCCGTATCATGACCATGCTCAGTCATCTGAACTTGTCACTAGAACTTTAACTTGCTAATGTTTAGAGCTTCCTGCAGGGGGCCTTATTTGGACTTCCAGGCATTTGTCCTTCTCTTCCCCTGGCCCCAGAAGATAAACCATCCTTCCAAGTAACAGGATGGGAGGTCCCAACCGGCAAGGAGGTCACGAGGCTTGGCAGGTTAAGCTCTCAGAAGCTGGGACACGGGGCACCCCGCTGTGGATGGAGCAGCTTGGGTTCAAAACTGTTCTTTGTGAATGTGTAGACCCCTCTTAGTCATTGGTTCCCTCCAGAGCATAGGGAGGAGCATACAGGCTGGCGTGGCCAGTACAGGATTATCCAATAGATGGATGAGCATGAGCTTAGGGCACCAGTGAAGCAGGACCACCATCAAATGAGAAAAACATAGATTTAATTATTTCAGAATTTGGCCATCAGTAAACCAGTATTTAGAACCTCTAAAGGTCTTAATCTGGTCCTAGGTGTGGCCAACATCAGAACAGCCTAGAAGGTACCTTGATAAGAAACCCCTAACTCCCTAAATTTCTGACTGGGTAATACTGAGCTCCTTTGGGCTCACTTGGGGGTCATATTTGCTCTCTGAAACCCAGCTGTATAGATGCATGAGCTGTAGTCTACTCAGTAGATAATAAGAATAGGAAACATTTACATAGTACTTTGCATATGCCAGGCACTGTTCTAAGCTAGCTAGCTAGAGATACATATATAGACATAGATATCAACTCATTTAACAACCCTACGTGGTAAGTACTCTTGCTATCTTCCTGTTACAAATGAGGAAATAGAGGCACAGAGAGTTTAAGTGCCTTACCACAATAAACAGCTAGTGAATGGTGGAGCCAGGATTAATCCAGACAGTGTGGCTCACTCAAGTGGGCTCCATGAAAGGGGGACTTTCAATAGTATCTTACCCATAAGACACAAACCCCTTTTTAAAAGTAAAACCAACGTCTTAGAAAAGTGATCTTAAAGTGGAGATTATTAAAGAGATTTCCAGAGATATTGACTCAGCATATTACAATCTGTCCCACCAAACATTAGCTTCGCATTGAAATTCTTGCTCACTTGCACGCATGCGCACACACACACACACACACGTACACACTCTTCCTTTTTCCCCTCTCTTGGATAGAATTCTCCAAGGATATAGGATAGAGACTATGAGGTAGATACCCTTTCCAAAACTCACCTTTGCTCAAATTTGAGAGGATCTGTTTTCCATTTTCATCAGAGAAGTTCTCTTCCACTCACAACCTCACCACTCTCCATCACCCTCAGCCCCTTGTCAGGAAGTTCCCAAAGCCTCCTTGGTTTACAGATACCATTGGTTCTAAGTGTCACTAAGTCTCTGGGAAGTTCAACTTTCTCAATGCATAAGTGGAGAAATTTGAAGTTGAGAAAGGGGAAGGGACTTGGCAGGGTCAGAAAGACAGCCAGTAACAGAGCCAGAACCAGAACCCAGGTCTCCTGACTCTTAGTCCAGTGCTCTTTCTTGATCCCAGCCAGCAGGCATTATTTATGTCCAGATCCTTCCTTTCATGAGCCCCTGAACTTTTAGACTCTCAGTTCTTTGTTTCATCATACTATACTGCTTCTTACCCATACACTTAAACTTTAAGCTGCTACTAAGTTTAGGAAAATTTTTATTCCACCTTTCAGGTAGCTTCTACATTTCTTCCCCCATAGAACATGGAATTGGGAGGCCTCAGTTGTAGTCCCAGATCCACTAAAAAAAAAAAAAATATATATATATATATACATATATATATGCATATATATATATGCATATACATATATATAAGAGATGGGATCTTGCTCTTTTGTCCAGGCTAGGTTGCAGTGGCATCATTAAAACTCACTGCAGCCTCAAACTCCTGGGCTTAATCTGCTAAATATTAAATGTATTACCTCAGGGCACTCACTTGCCCTCAATGAAAATGCTGTCCATTTTCTGCAACTGTAAAGTGGGAATATGAATCTCTATACAGTCCTTCACTGCAGTGACCTTTTCCCTAAGTAACACAAACCACGTTGACTTTTCATTTTCCAGAAACTCCCAACATAGCACTTGATGTGACCAAAAATATTGGCACATGATGAAATTCAATTGGGTATTTTATTTCATAACTGCCTCTGTTGCAAGTGTCAATGTAAACTAAGATGTAGGGCTGGGCGCAGTGGCTCACACCTGTAATTCCAGTACTTTGGGAGGCCGAGGCAGGCGGATCACAAGGTCAGGAGTTCAAGACCAGCCTGACCAACATGGTGAAACCCCGTCTCTACTAAAAAAAAAAAAATACAAAAATTAGCTGGGCATGGTGGCATGTGCCTGTAATCCCAGCTACTTGGGAGGCTGGGGCAGGAGAATCGCTTGAACCTGGGAGGCGGAGGTTGCAGTGAGCCGAGAAGCCGAGATCGCGCCACTGCACTCCAGCCTGGGCGACAGAGCAAGACTCCATCTCAAAAAAAAAAAAAAAAACAAACTAAGATGTAAACTACAATGCCCACACACACAGGGAATTTTTATCATTCAATATTCTTCCCTCTCCTAGGGCTTATGGGATCTGAGGACCTGTTTGGGACACAGAGTGAGGGGTTGAGAGCTGCTGCTACTTATGCTCTTCTTTTCCTTGGACCTCTTAGAAATGCACTTGGGTGGCTGACATGGAAGAGCAGGTGGTGGGGGCTGAGTAGGCTGTGCCACAAACCATCTGTAGGCACCTCATTCTGTGGCCCAGTGCCCAAACATTCCCCCTCCCCGTGTCCTTTTCCCCAAATGTCCTCAGTATTTTCCTCTCCTCCTGCCCCTCCACCCCACCTGCTGGGTAAGGCCTAATGGGGAACAGTGACTCACTAGGCTGCCAGAGGGCAAAGACCCAGAATCCAAGCAACAGCCCAACTGTCCATTTCTCTGCCCCCACTCTGCCACTGCCCAATTCTCCACTTAGCTAAACCCTATTTCAAATTCCAATTCTATCAGGGCCTTGATTCCTCCTGCCCTCACAATCATTTCTCTTTTTCTACATCACCACATGAAAATTGCATTCAATGTAATATACACACTTTTTTTTTAACTACTTAGCACAACTGTAGTTGTTTGGTGTGTTATGTCTTCTCAAGGGAATCATACACTTCTTGAGGGACCCTTTTCCTTCTCTGGTGCATCCAAGGTCCAGTCTAACATAGGTCAAAGACCTATTGACTTGAATTCAACCAATATTAATTGAATTGGAGGTGGAAGGTATAGGGAGGGCTGGTGAGCAGGGAGAGCACAAACACTTAGTGAACACTTAGTACGTGCCAGGCTGTATGCTAGATGTTTTACATGCCTCATCTCATTTAATCTCCACACCAGCAATAACAGATGGTATTATTATACTTATTTTATGTATGAGAAAACTCAGACTCCAAGAAGTTTTAAAACTTTGTCAAGGCAAGTCATGTGGAAAGTAATCTGAATCTAGCACTGTTTGACACTAAAGCCCCATAGTCAAAGGTTAGTAGCAGTATGAATGTAAGGTGTTGATTAAATAGATTGTGATATGGCCATAAAATGGAATATGGTGCAATCATTTAAAAAAAATGAAGACTTTATGAACTTAATGTACCAAGATATAGTTCGAAGTATGAAAAGCAAAGTGGAGGATAAGGTGGATGGTAGCCTACAATTTGTACTTTACAAGTAGGGCATACCACATGTTCCTATAAGTGGGAGCTAAACATTGAATACACATGATCATAAAGATGGGAACAATCGACATTGGGGATCACTAGACAGGGGAGGGAGGGGTGCATGGGCTGAAGGACCACTTGTTGGGTACTATGCTTATGGCTTGGGTGATAGGATCATTAAGACCCCAAGCCTCAGCGCCACATAATTTACCCACGTAAGAAATCTGCACGGGTACTTTTTTTTTTTTTTTTGAGACAGAGTCTCACTGTGTTGCCAAGGCTGGAGTGCAGTGGCACAATCTTGGCTCACTGCAGCCTCTGCTTCCTGGGTTCAAGCAATTCTCCTGCCTCAGCCTCCCAAGTAGCTAGGATTACAGGTGCACACCACTGCGCCCAGCTAATTTTTATATTTTTGGTAGAGACGGGATTTCACCATTTTGGCCAGGCTGGTCTTGAACTCCTGACCTCAAGTGATCCACCCACTTCGGCCTCTCAAAGTGCTGGGATTACAGGTGTGAGCCACCATGCCTGGCCTGTGTGCTCTTTAATCTACAGTAAAAGTTGAAAGTGTTAAGGGTAGGGTATACACACACACATGTGCACACACACAATTGCTTGTACATATACAGAGTATCTCTGAAGGGACACACCAGATAACACTGGTGGCCTTTAGGGAGGGAAACAGGGTGGCTGGGAGATAGGAGTGGGAAAGAGACTTTTCACCATCATACCTTTTGAATTTTGTCTCCATCTCTTTTCACAAAGTAGGGCCTGGGGATTGACTTTGAAAAGTTCAGGGAGAGAGAAAGGGGAGAAGAATGCCAGTGATTGAGCTGGGGAACACCTAATGCGACAGCAGCCTACCGCTTATTCCCCAGTCCTCTGACAAACCAAGCTCTACTATAAGCATCTACTCACAATGCTGATTAAAGTCACATCTTTCCAGGTCTCAGTTTTTCACCTTAAGATGGGAACCAGAGGGAGTAAGACTGTGTGATTTCCAAAATGCCTTCCAGATCAGAAGGCATTTAAATTACTGAAAATCAATATGGTGAGCCCTAGTATATTTGAAATCTTAGTCTTAAAGAAGGGTTTAGGAATTTTGTTTTGTTGTTTGCAACAAAAAAGCAAAACATTTTTGTTCTGATTTGCCTACTAGCTTGTCTTAATGAAAACTCCCTTAGTGGCCATTGAAATGCTTAATCAAAACCGCTTTGGCAATCCTTCTTTGTGAAGGCCACAATCCTGTGGCCTCTGTTTTCTGGAGCTATCCTGTTCAGAACACAAGGAAACTGGCCCACTCCAAAGCTGAATACAAAGGAGCAAAGCTCCTTCTATGCTTGATGTCCCCTAGCCCAGACCTTCTGACCCTAAATATCCCTTTCCTTATTCTTCGTTACCTGCAGGAGAACAGAGGCTCTGTGAGAGACCCTCGGGAGGAAGTGACACCCTAACTCCACCCCACCATCTGCCCCCAACCCGTAGCAACTCCTACTAAAAAAACTCAGTCCTTGACTTGTAGGGAGGTTTGTGAGCTCCTGCCAAGTGCTGTAAATATTTCAACATGCCTTGCTTCCTTGAATGTATATGACCTAGGATCTGGCCCCTCCTCTCCCTGGGCTCTCAGAGAACTGAGGAACAAAGAAAACACAGCTAGTATTTAGCTACAGGACACAGGGGTCAAATTGCAGAAGAACACAGTGGGGAGATGGAAAAGATGGAGTGGGAAGGTGGGAGATGGGGAGGAAATACTTAGAGCAACATTTAGAGAAATGGATAGGGACTCTGTTTTTAGAGGCTGGAAAAGGATAATAATAATAACAACCACTTCATAATTTACAAAGATCTTTCACATACTCACACTTTGATTTGACCCTTCATTTTCTTATTAAAGTAGATACTGTATGTCTTATTTTGTAGATAAGAATACTGAAGCCCAGAAAGTTATGTGACTTATTCAGGGCTAAACAACTAAGAAGAGACAGTTTCTTTTTCAACTTTTATTTTAGGTTCCGGTGTACATGTACAGGTTTGTTACATGGGTAAATTTCATGTTGCTGAGGTTTGGTGTACGATGATCCTGTCACCCAGCTAGTGAGTATGGTACCTGATGGGTAGTTTGTAAACTGTCATCCCCTTCCCACCCTTCCCCATCTGGTAGTCTCCAGTGTCTATTTTTCCCATCTTTATGTCCATGTATGTCAATGTTTAGCTCTCACTTGAAAGTGAGAACATGTGGTATTTGGTTTTCTGTTTGTTAATTCGCTTAGGATAATGGTCTCTGGCTGCATCCATGTTGTATCCACGTTGCTGTAAAGGACATAATTTCATTCTTTTTATGACTGCATAATATTTCATGGTGTATATCTACCACATTTGGTTTATCTGATCCACCATCAATGAGCACCTAGGTTGATTCCATGTCTTTGCTACTATAAATAGTGCTGCAATGAACATATACAAGCATGTGTCATTTTTGGTAGAATGATTTGTTTTCCTTTGGCTATGTACCCAGTAATGGGATTGATTGCTGGGTCAAACGGTAGTTCTGTTTTAAATTCTTTGAGAAATCTCCAAACTGAGACTGGGTGCAGTGGCACACGCCTGTAATCCCAGCACTTTGGGAGGCCAAGGAGGGCCAATGGCTTGAGTCCAAGAGTTCGAGATCAGCCTGGGCAACATGAAGAAACCCCATCTCTACAAAAAATACAAAAATTAGCTGGGTGTGGTCATGTGCACCTGTAGTCCCAGCAACTTGGGAGACCGAGGTGGGAAGATCCCTTGAGTCTGGGAGGTCAAGGCTGCAATGAGCGAAGATCGTGCCACTGCACTCCAGCCTGGGTGACAGTGAGATGCTGTCTCAAAACAACAACAACAACAAACTCCAAACTGTTTCCAGCTGAACTAATTCACATTTCCACCAACAGTGTATAAGTGTTCCTTTTTCTATACAGCCTTACCAGTACCTGTTATTTTTTGATTTTTTAATAATAGCCATTCTGACTGGTGTGAGATGGTATCTCATTGCGGTTTTGATTTGCATTTTGAAGAGAAAGTTTCTATGGACCTTTTGGACTCAAGAATTATGACGCTTTGCATATAGATCTGGGTAGAGTAAAATGGGTAGTTAGAAGAGTATGCCATGTATCATGAGACTATCAATCTTTTGATTTATTAACCACTTCTTGGTCATCTCTTTTTATCCTTGAGTCATAAGGATGCCGGAAGGTACAGGAATGAAAAACTGCAACTCCCTTGGTAGTTGCCCCCTACACCTTCACTATGTCTTAGGTGAGGTCTAAAAGCAGGAGTTCTAAACTCAGACTGTCTGGGTCCAAATCCTGGCTCAGCCATTATCTGCTATGAGTTTGAGCAAGTTACTTAATTTGTGTGCTTCTCTTTATCTGTGAAATAGAGGAAATAATGGTACCTACCTCATACGGTTGTTGAGAATTAAAATAAGTTGGTACATGTAAAGTGCTTAGTATAGTGCCTCGCACAGACTTAATTGCTAAATGTAAAATAAATGTTGGCAATTATTATTACTATTACTACCACCACTATTATTATACTTATTAGGGTGCATATTAGGCAGATGTAAGGAGGTAAATGTCAACGAAACTCCACCGTGGAATGCAGCAGAGCAGCCATCATTAGGCTGTGTGCTTCACATTTTTTTCCCAGTAGCAGGGAAGGCTTATAAGAAGTCATCTCTATTCTTCTACCTGGTCTCCCCTAGCATTAGTGACACCTCCACACAAGGGACATGGGCCATGAACAAAGGAAGAGCTCTTTTCTTTGTGAGAAGCCCAGTGACCTGAACAAGTGACTGAACCTGTGACCTCAGTCTCATAGGCACCATGTTCTAAGTAACTGTGCTAACCGGCTTGGACAGACATCACACACCCTGCTGTACACACATACACATAGGTCTGGACACATGAGTGCATGCATATATCCTTCCAGTCTGGATAAGCGGGTAGGTGAGGAGATCCATGGGTTAAGTTGAGGAAAAAGATGGTATGGGCATTGCTTGTTTGGCAACATTTCCCTTTCTTTTCCCCTTCAGCCATGTAAAAGCAGAAGAGCAACTAAACTGGGAGCTTCACTCCCCCACCTCCACCCTCCCTGAAGGCACTTTTTTTTTTTTTTTGAGACAGGGTCTCACTTGTCACCCAGGCTGGAGTGCAGTGGTGTGATCATGGCTCATTGCAACGTCAACCGCCTTGGCTCAAGAGATCCTAGTATCTCAGCCTTCCAAGTACCTGTGACCACAGGCATGTGCCACTATGCCAGCCTAGTTTTTAAAAATTTTTTTTGTAGAGACGGGGTATCCCTATGTTGCCCAGGCTGGCCTCAAACTCCTGTGCTCAAGTGATCCTCCTGCCTCAGCCTCCCAAAATGCTGGGATTACAGGCTTGAGCCACTGGGCCTGGCCTATTTTTTTCTTTTTCTTTCTTTTTGTTTTTGAGACAGGTGCAGTGGTGATCATGGCTCACTGTAGCCTCAACCTCCTGGGCTGGAGCAATCTTCCTGTAAAGGCACTTTTGACTCTCGTTAGGACTTGAGTGTCTGTCTTCTCCCTTCTCTGACCCCTCTACAACCAATTGTGCAGCAGTTTTGGCAAGAAAATAGATGTCAGGGGCTCAAAATAGAATGAACCAGAAACACGGAAGCTACCAAAAACCAGTATGAAATCTCTGGAAGTTCAGCTGGCCCAGGAGATGGGGGACAATGATAGTCAGGATTTGAAAAGAAAGGAATACAAGTAATGACGACATTTGTTGAATATTATTGAGTAAGACTTTCTACAATACTACCTTCTGAGCTGGGTTACTAGGGCTGTGGAAAGAGGTGTAGAAGTGACAAAAAGGGTGTCATAGCAGCTATCTTTATGCGAAAATCCAGAGGTGATGGCTTCCACACTCTTGAGTGCTCCATCGAAAGTCACCCTTCACCCAGAAAGTGGAAAGTAAGAGAGGAAAGGAAGGGGAAAGGGGGAAGGGAGGCCTCTGTAGGATGTGTAGGAGTGGGCCTGTGACTCTGGCAGGAGTTGGGCCTATACAACATCCCAAACCCCAATTGTTCCTCTAACTGAGCAGTAGGAAGAAAAAGAAAAGAGGGAACAATACTGGGAAAAAAGGGTATGGCACATATAGCAAACGTGATAAAAAATGCACTGTGAAAGTAGGAGAAGCTGAGAAAATATGTGATTGGGACAGCCAATTTCATCCCTTCTCCCACCAATGCTGGAAACTGGAGCGAAGTTGAGGATAAAAGAGGGTGAGACTCCTAGGGTGAAGAGGCTGCACTTCCTCAAGCCACCCAAACAGGCCACATTCCCCATCCACAAGGAGGTGTCAAGCGATTTCACATTATCTACCATAGCACCCAGCTTCAGGCAGGTGATGAAATCTCTCTAGGTTTAGTCTTCTGTCACCCCTAAAGCCAGAGAGAGCTGGGGTTGCCTAAACCCGCTTCCCAGTAATATTTGAATACTGGGAGAGATACAGGAGGATGAAGGGAGAAAGAGACTTGCAATAAAGTTTCCCAGCCCCACTGCTGGGGAGTTGCAAATGGGTCCAGTTCAAGAGGTACAATCCAGGCTGGCCATACTCTTTTCATCACTCTCGCCTAGCAAGCTTCTTAGTCTGGTTCCTTTGCACTAGTACAGCATAATCTTTACAGAAGCCTCTGGTACACCTAATTCCATGAACAGATGGGAAATGACTTATTTCAGATGGAATATTCATAATCTATGGCTTAGGGTGTAGGGTATGGGTGTGTGTGTGTGTGTGTGTGTGTGTGTGTGCGCGCGCGTGCACGCGTGCGCATGCGCTTGCGCACATGTGTATATGTGTAGAACAAAGCCTTTTCTCTAGGGTTCATTCATTCAATCTCAAGTGAGACAACACCTTTCAAGACAGGAAATCCCACTCCGTCATTCACACAATCTGAAAAGAGTAGTTTTCATCTTTTCAAAATGCAACAAAACCATAAAATGAGGCTGGTGGGAAAAGCAGTGCATCTTCCTGGGAAACTGGTCTGCTCAAAAGGTTGATATGGCATCCTTTATATACTTCTACAAATGTTGACAGTCCAGCTGCTTGTTTACTCTTCATGGGCTGGAGGCAATACGGCCAATGACTTCCAAGGAAAAGGAAAGAGAGCTCTGTGCCTGCTACTTCCGTAGGCACACTCTCAGCTAAGCCCTGACGCTGCAGTTGACCAGGGATTGTGGGCATCTAATGGGCCTTCTCCAGGATCACAGTAGCAACCCTCCCCAACCCCACCACAGCAGGATCCAGGCAGTGGCCCTGAGCCAGCTATCAAAACGCCCTGTTTGAAGACCTCTGAAGGGAACCTCATTTAGGAATCCGTTTCCTCTGCTAGCTGGAAGTAACAGCAAACCAAGGTCACACTGACTATGCATTTCTGAGAAATAAGACTGTGCTGTGGGAAATTCAGTTTCAGAAGAGGGGTCCAAACTGAGGCTTGAGGAAATGTTTATAATTTAATACTTTTGAGGAACAGGTTCAAACGCTGGAAAACAGCAGCATACAGACCCACCCTGCTTGCCTGCCAAATCCAGGGAGTTCTCTTGGAGACCCAGCTCTATACCAATCAGGACACTCTGGAAGAAGCAGCTCCACATGCAGGGTTGCCCTTACATACTAGGTAAAAAGGATTGGGTAATTTTTAAACACATCTATACCCATGGGCAGCCCCATAGTCTTTAAATACAAATGACGTGGGGAAATGATGTATATAGGGCTTTTCCTTGCTTTCCCAATCTTCTCCCAATCCATCCTCACTGTCATTCAGGCAGCTTAACGAACTTTTATTTACTTAAATGAGTCAAAATGTATGACATATGAATAGTAAAGAATAAGATATCACATAATTTTAGAAGGATAGAATGGTAGGGCTAGAAAGTTTATTTAGTCAAACCCTCTCATTTTATAGATAGATAAACTGACATACAGAGAGGTGAAGTGCCTGTCCAAAGTCACAGAATAAGTTAGGGGCACAAGTTGTCTAAGTCACAGTTACTGCCTAGCTGGTATCACTGAGACTGCCAGCTTTGGGGAGTCCAGATTTGGCCCTGGGTCTTGCTTTTTTAGACTTAGAATGAGCATTTGAGGCCACTGTACAGTGATCCAGGCATCCAGCCTCAACCAGCTACCCCAACTCAAACAAGCATCCTCCTGGTTGGCCTCCAAATGACCCAATCTCTTATTCTCATCCCTTTCAGTATCAGTCATGGTCATAGTTCAAGATCCCATTTGGTTGGAAAGGGGGCAGGGGAATGACGTGAGAGATGCCTGGCCAAGGGCTGTGTGGCTTGAAGCACCACAGCAGGCGCTAAGCCAACCTGATCTAGCTCTGCTGGACAGTAGTCAAGAGCCTTCAGCTGAAGTCAAGAGATTGGCAGATTTGCTCAAAATACACTTTGCTCCCAAAGTCAGCAATTTAGTGTTACAGTCCAGTGAGACACTGAACCAAGCAATGAAAACCCCTAAGGTGAGAAGGAGAAAGACAGCCTACTCTACCTGGCCCCACCCAACCTTGGGACTCTTGGTTCACCCAAAGGCAGAGTGTATCATTCTTCCCCATGCCTAGAAAATTCTGTTTCCATCAGAGTGGACCATCAGCCTGAACTATCTTGTGCCTAGTAGTGAACCTTCCTGACCATTGTCCCTTTCTCTGGTGATGAGAGCCTCAGCCTTGACCCCCCTTGGGAGCTTACAAGGACCATGCTTATAAACTGCCCAGTAAAACAAAAATGCCTTCCATATTTTTTGGCTCAATGGTGGACCGGCAGTCAAGTTTTACTCTGGAGTACTTTTAAAAAGACTTAAGCATAGAGCCAATGTTAGCAACTCTGGCTTGTTCTGCCTTGTCCTCTGAACTCCCAACCCTAACCCTATTGCAGGTCCAACTCACTTAGGGTCCCAATATTGAGCTGGGGCCTACAATCAATGGCGTCTTGCTTCTCTTTCCCCTCTTTCCTCCAAAAGGCTTCCCTACCACCCCAAGAAGCTATGCTTGGGCCTTTACTTTCCACAGAATTGCCTGGTTGCCTCCTGTCCTGTCTGCTGTTTGGTCTGGGTTGGGGAACTCACAAATTTCCCATGATCTTGGCAAGAAATACAGGCTCATTTCCCTCCTGATCTTTTTCCTTTTTTCACTAAACCAGAGTTTGATCACTTGCCTCCCTCTCAGGGACCTTTTGCCTGCCAATCCACCCAAGCCTAGGACCCAGGGAAAGTTGGCTTTCCTCCAAAACTGGTGAAGAGAGGGGATAAGATATACAGCTGGTGACACCACAAAACTGTATACATCAAAGGGTCCACAAAAACTGCACATTGCATGCTCTAGTAAGGCCTGAATCCCATATCCCTTCTAACTTCTGTGGCTTTTTCCCATGCCCAGAGGCACTCTGATGTGGAGCTGTTCCTCAAACATCAAAACTACCTTTCTTCCCAGCTACTTGGGAGGCTGAGGCAGTAGGACTGCTGGAGGCCAGGAGTTTGAGACCAGCCTGGGCAACATAGCAAGAGTCTGTTTTTAAATAAATAAATAAATAAATAAAAATTAGCCAGGTGTGGTGGCGCATGCCTGTAGTTCTAGCTACTTGAGAAGCTGAGGTGGGACGATTGCTTGTGCCCAGGAGTTTGAAGGTGTCGTGAAATATGACTGCGCCACTGCACTCCAACCTGGTCAACAGAGCAAGATCCCATCTCTAAAAATAAAGTATAAGAAACTACCTTTCTGTGGGGCTTCCTCACAACAATCCCAATCATCTGCAGGACCTTCCACCCATTAAGCCACTCAACACAGCTTTAGGTCTGTGAAGATATTAGGCCTAGTCAAAGAGAAATTGGGTTACGAGGTGCCTCCAAACACCAAATTCATAGACTCTTAGAGATGGAAGTCATGTCAGATATTAATAAAAATGGACGATGCACCAAATTCCTTGAGCGTGGGGGTGTACATTCTGTTTCTCCCAGAATGGCTATTGGACAAATACTGGCTGATAAAAATGACACAAACTTCTATTAGCTTCTTCTATCCCTTTGAGACACCAGTGCTGTGGCACAGACGGCTGGGAAATTTTGAGTAAACAGCAGAAAGTGTCTGCAGGCAAAGACATTCAGAATCTCAGGATCTGAATGGTTGCTTGGGAAAGTTGAAGAGCTCAGCAAAGGTAGTACTGAGGATGAGATTTTCTAGGAGCTCCATGTGATAGGGTGTTCCTGACTTTTCCAAAATAAAAACTGTGGTGTCCCTAAGAACCTCTAGTATAAAAAATAATGTCAGTGAGTTCAAGATACACCACAGCAAGGACCCAAGCCAAAGTATTCTGAGACCCTAGGGACATACCAAATTCCTTTCTGTTTCTTCCTGACCTATACTCACTATAATTTAAACCAGTGACCTCAGCCCCTCAGTGAACCTGGTCTGTGTCAGAGTATGCACTAGCCACACCTCTGCATAGCCAACTGCACCCCCACCACCACCCCCACCCTCTAGCTGCACTGTGAGGTCTTGACCGGAAAGTCCCAGCCAGCCCTCCCCCTGAGTCCCCTATGATCACCTACTTTGAAGTCTGTTCCCCAGCAGTGAGCCTCTTCCTGGTAAAATAGTGGTTTTTCCAAGTTTTATTATACACTCCTAAGATCACAGCTCTAGGCCTCCTCACACCATATAAATGCCAGGGCCTAGCTTCAGCCTAGCCTCTACTGCTTCTCATCAAGTTTCACTCAGACTTTGCCACTCACTGATCCTGAAGGCCAACAGCCTGCCTTCAACCACAGGGCAATGCTCAGCAGGTGCCCTTGGAGGTAACCTAGGCAACAGCATGAGTCCCTACACTGCCTGCTTTCCCAGGAGCCCCTGAACTGCATCAAAGCAGGGAAAAAGGTGGTCCCAGGGGTGACTGTGGCAGCCATCTTCCCCGCAGAAGTTGCTCTACACTGTCCCAGGACCCCTCCATTCCAGCATCACAGTGGGCCTGGGTAGTCAAGAGACTTCCTTTGACAACCACTGACGCACTATCTTCATCGGGGCCTGCACACCGCTGCTGTGCCAATGGATCACAAGGTCTGAGGCACCAAGATCCCCAAAGCCCCTTCTGCCAGGGAAGTCCAGCAAAGCTGCAAACTAAAACCACAAGTCCTGGAGAGGGCCCAGGGAATCCACAGGTGGACACTCCAGAATTCAAGGTTTCTATGTTCACTTAATAATTCCCAGGTCCCCTCAAATGGCAGTAGAAATATGTGGGGGTTGGAGGTTGGCGAGAGGATGGAACTCCTCAGTCCGAGGGCAACACTGCGAAAAGCCACATATTCTGAGTTGTGAACTTGGGGCTGGTGGCAAGAGTCGAGCTGTCCTGAGGAGCCACGAGAGGGAGCAAGCCTTGCCAGAGAGGGCATCCCAATCCCCCGTCTTCGTCTGAATCCCTCACCAGAACTGCTGAGGGATTTCGCCAGCGGCTTTGCTGGGAAAGCGAGATGGTTCCTCTGACTTCTCCCAGCTCACAGGCGGCCTCAATGAGAAGAGCGCACACGCCTGGGGTCTTGCGTCCACTGGCCTGGAAAGCGAGGGCTATGCCCCCCAACTCTGTCTGAGATCAAGTCAGCTCCAGGGGAAAGCTGGAATGGCGGGTCTGGCACTCAGGCTGTAGGCCGAACGAGGCACCCCACCGGTAGCAGAGAGGCGCGGGTTGCCGGGGAAGGCAGGGCTGAAGTTGGGGGCGGTGCGGAGTGAGCAGCAGGGCCCAGCCTGCCTGCGGCCTCACGCCTCTCTGGCAGGAGACTGCGGAGACCGCCTCCCCGCCCGCTCTGGGGCTCGGCTCATAGGGCACGGAGATCCATTCACTCCCGCGGGGCGGCAGAGGACTGCCGGGCCCAGCTGGGCCGTAACGGCGGCGGCCAGAGACGCACTCACACCCCGACTCGAACTCCCTCCCTCCCTTTCTCTCTTGCAGACACGCACGCCTGCCATGTGTTTGACTCTTCGCTCATAGTCATCAGGATTCCTAAAGTGTTTTTAACAGAAAACACCTCCGTTTCCCCAAAGGAACCGGGGGGCTGCTGCGGAGATCAGCGGTACAGTGCTTCTCTCAGAGCCCGCCCCGCCTCTCAATTCTCTCCTCTCCTCATGACTTCTCCCCACCTCCAAAAAAAAAAAAAGTCCTGCAAATATTTTCCCCCAGCACACAGGGGCAAAGGTACCTTAAACCTGAAAGGTGCATTTAGATTTGTCCCAGGGCAAAAAAAAGTCCATTGCTTGCCAAGGATCAATGAATGTCCCAGTTCGTACCCCCGGGACGCCTTGCACCTAGTCTCCCCAGTCCAAGCTGCCCAAAGCCCCGCAACCCGCACCCTAGGAGAGCCATGGAAAGGGGCAAGGGGCAAGGGGTAAGGGGTAAGGGGAGGAGTCGGAGAGGCGCGTTGGAGGGGCGCCTCGGACCGGGAGGTATGGGGTCGGTGGCAGCGGGAGCGGCCAACCTTGCCCAAAATGCCAAGTGGGGCGTGCGGGGCCACTCACCTGCTTGGAACTCCACTTGGCGATTTTTTTCCTTTTCCTCCTCTAGCAGCATGGAGTAGAGGATCCCGACAGAGTTATGGATGCCGAAGATGGAGCCGTTGCACCAGGTGGCAGCGAACACCACCACCCAGCCGAAGCCACCTTCGGGAGGCTGGAAGCCGCGCGCGGTGCCGCGGGTCTCTACCGTAGGCGTGGGCTCGGGTTCGTGCACCCGCTCGGACTCGAACTCCAGCTCCGGCAGGGGTGCGGGGTCCGGTAGGGGCTGGGGCTCCGGCTGGGGCTCGGGCGGGGGCACTGGCACGGGCTCGGGCTCGGGCTCAGGCTCCGGCTCAGACTCCGGCTCTGGGCTACCCACCGGCTCCTGCTGTTCCTGGTCTGCCTCCTGCCAGGGCCCCTTTGCTTCCTCGCTCGCCTGGCTTTGCAGCGCCATCGCGGCGGGGGGACTGTGGCTGCTTGGGCCAGAGGAGCCGCTTTGTGGCTGGTACTTGTTTCTGCTGCTGCAGCTGCTGCTGCTCGGAGGGCTGCTGCTGCCGCTGCCGCTGCCTCCTCCTCCAGGCTCCGCGCCCCAGCTGGCCAGCCCGTCCCGCGACAGACGGTCCCTCGAGCCCTCTCCTCCTCCTCCCACGTCCAACCCCCCTCCTCCTCTCCCCATGTCATCTCTCTCTCCTCCCCCTCCTCCACACCCCCCACCTCTTCCTCCCTCAACAGGCAGCCGCTACAGCCTCGCTCTTCTCCCCAGCCCTTCCTCCTCCTTTTACTCGCCTACCTACTCCAGCCGCCACTGCCTCCCCCAGCTCCCTTCCCAAACTACTGAACCCTGTTCTTGCCCGGATGCCCGTTAGAGGAAAAGTTAAAATGGAAAAAAGGAAGCACAAACTATCCTGTTCTCCTGCCCTCTTTTCCCCGCAGGCTCTAGAACCGACACTGATCAACCCCGAGCCTCGGGAAGACCCCTCCTATTTTTTGCTCCCATACCCTCCTTCCTCACAAGCAGCCCGCAACTGAGGTGGCACCGGGGACCCTAGGACGACAGCTGGCCCGCGAGGAACCCCACCCTGCCCTCAGGAGCTCCCATGTCCCTCCTTGGACTTGAGGAGGACGACCTGAGGGGACAGCCTGGGCCTCGGACAGCGGGTGGACACAATCTTCTCGAGCCCGAGGACTCGGCCCCCCGCGGTCCTGCGCACCCCCGGGAGTCTCCCCCTGCCCCCGCTCTTCCCGGCAAATCCCTGGCGGCCTGGGAGGGGAGGAGGCGGCCATGCAGCGAGGCCCGCCCCTCCGGGCAGTCAATCAGGGCTTTGTTTGCGCCAACCTGGAGCCCGGAGGAGCCTCAGAGGGCCGGGTCTGGGCCGGGCCAGGGCCGGGCCGGGTCTGGGCCGGGCCAGGGCCGGGCCAGGGCCGAGTGTGGGCCAGGAGCCGGGCCAGGAAGGGAGGGAGGTGGCACCAGTGGGGGCCGGGCCCAGGCCCAGTCGGGAGCCGAAGCTCAGTTCAAGCTCCTCCCGACAATCTGTCCCGGACTTAGGAGGAACGAGTTGGAGTCGGGTCCAGCCGCCAGTTTGGGATTGGGCTGCCCCGCCCCCGATATCTCGGCTGGGCTGGTCCCTCAGGCCTCGGCCGCGGCTTTTCAGGTGCTGGAGACTCAGCGGAGCTGCAAGCGGACGGATGTCTTCCCAGCACCCACCGCCCCCTTCCGCCCACCTCAGGCATGCAGACATGGGAGTCCCACTGTATGTCGCAGACTGAGGCCCCAGCCCCACTGAGGGTAAGGGAGAGTTTGTTCCCCAGGAAGCGCGCCGGGTCAGGGAGAAGGAAAGGTGGGGGATCTGTCTTTCTGGTGGCCGGGCACTCAGCAGGGGTGCGCAGGGGTGCCCAGCCTCAGCCCTCAGGGCCCGCTCGGCGATACCGGGAAGCTCTGCCTCCCCTAAGGGTCTACGCGTCTAATGCACTAAACGTGAAGTCGTGGTGTCGTTACCAAGCTACTCGGCTTCCACGAGCGGGCGGGCGAGTGGCAAGACCTTTCTACCCTGCATCTCATTAACCCTCCTGATAAGTGAAAGACTGCATAGCCAGAGGTGATGCAGCTCCGGGGCTGCGTGGCTGCGCTAGATGCCTGTAAATACAGTCATTAAGCACCTGAGGGCTGGCGGAGCTGGGTGGAAGGATATAGACGTCCTGAGGGGCTTGCGCTGCCATATGAGAGGAATCAGCCAAATTCAAAAATCACAGGGCCACGCCACTCAGCAGGGAAGGCATTGCCCGAACAGAGCACGTCCCTTATTGCCCTAAGGTTTATTATTACCTGCTTTTTTGCACGAAAACTGAGGCTCAACGAGGTCAAGGCATTTATTAGCCTAAGATCATGGGCCAAGTCAAGGACAAGCTAGAATTCAAGGCAGGTCTCCATATAACGAGAAGCTTCATGCTCCCTGTGTTTCACCAAAAGAGTCTAGGATTTGAGGCTCCCTGGGAGGAGACAGAGGAGGGAAGGCAGGATCTGACTGCACTATCACAGTGGGCTTCTGGAAGAGGTGGTGTTCAAGATGGGCCTGGAATTTTTTTTTTCTTTTTGAGACAGTCTCGCTCTGTAGCCCAGGCTGGAGTACAGTGGCGCCATCTCGGCTCACTGCAACCTCCGATCCCTGGTTCAAGCGATTCTTCTGCCTCAGCCTCCCGAGTAGCTGGGATTAC
The DNA here is from genome assembly GCF_000001405.40 of Homo sapiens. Taxonomy (NCBI): domain Eukaryota; kingdom Metazoa; phylum Chordata; class Mammalia; order Primates; family Hominidae; genus Homo; species Homo sapiens. Next base: position 74,419,379 of record NC_000023.11, on the reverse strand, counting down.
AGTCGTGCGCCACCACACCCGCTAAGTTTTGTATTTTTAGTAGAGATGGGGTTTCACCATGTTGGCCAGGCTGGTTTCAAACTCCTGACCTCAAATGATCCACCCGCCTCGGCCTCCCAAAGTGTTGGGATTACAGGCATGAGCCACCGTTCCTGCAAGGCCTGGAATGTTGAGTAGGATTTTAAAAGGCCAAGGGTAGGGGAAGGTGGTCCCCTACATCAGAGCATGCTTTGAGCTCAAAGCACAGAGCTATAGAGTCTACTCACAGAAAGAGGGAAGTGAAGGCTAATCAGGCCAGAAAGTTAATATGTATGCCGTCTGCCTCTCCTAGGAAACGTTTACATTTTAATAAAAATTCATAATGCTTCAGCTACGAGGAGTGACAAGTCATGGACACTATGGGCACCGGGGCTTAAGGTCTGCTTTTTAGTCAGGGGTCTCCCCATACATATGACCACCTGTTGCCCCAGGAGAACACTAGTTTGGTTTCCACTTGCAGGGAACCTGATTGAAGAAGACCCTAAAAATAGTTATTTCCTACCCCGGAACTAGGAATAGACCCTGGAATCTTGCATCCATCTAGATTCTTACTATCTTGAATTCTACTTCCCTCATTGTTTAAACTGGTTTTTAGATCACTGGAATGGGAGTATGGGTGGGTGATGACCCTCACTGAGAATCTCCTGTGAATCTAGCACTGTGCTAGGCCCTTTATATATGAGATCTTATATAATCTTCATAACATTACTATAAGATTGGGATGATTTGTTCCCATTTTGTAAATGAGGAAATGGAGGCTCCAAGAGGCTAAGTTACTTGTTTTAAGTCTACAAAGCTAGTAAGAGGTAGAACAGGGATCTTTGCTCATTTGTGTGGGTTTCAAAGTATGTGCCCCACCCAGAAGACAGAATTATGTAACTGCCATTTCACCATTCTAGTAACATATGCAGTACTACCATTTCTCCCCTCTTTAGAAGATACTTTATAACGGCTAAATCACTGGCATCAGGAGACCAGGGTTTTAACCTTGGTTCTACCGCTGCATGCCTGTATGATCCTAAGCAATTTCTTTTCCCTTTCTGAGCCTCAGTTTATCTGCAAACTACTTTGCAGAGTTACTAAATGCCATGCTAAGAGGTAAACGCTTTATTTTTGATATATAATACAAGATCACCACTGTTTTGAGTAGGAGAGTAACATCAGAACTGCATCTTAGAAAGAATATTGTGGTGACAGTTTAGATCAGGGGTCCCCAAACCGCTGGCCACAGACTGATACCAAGACCATGGCCTGTGAGGAACCAGGTCACACAGCAGGAGGTGAGCGGCAGGTGAGTGAGCATTACCACCTGAGCTCTGCCTCCTGTCAGATCTGCCGCAGCATTAGATTCTCATAGGAGTGCGAACCCTATTGTGAATTGCGCATGCAAGGGATCTAGGTTGCGCATTCCTTATGAGAATCTAACTGCTTGATGATCTGAGGTGGAACGGTTTCATCCTGAAACCATCCCCCTCAACCCCTGTCCCGTGGAAAAATTGTCTCCCACAAAACCAGTCCCTGATGCCAAAAAGTTGGCGACTGCCGGTTTAGATGATGGCATGGAAAGATAAGATGTAAGGAAACGAACCAATAGACTAAGTCAAAAAAAAATGTTGATGATCTGGAACGGGCACAGTGGCTCATGCCTGTAATCCCAGCACTTTGGGAGACTGAGGCGGGCAGATCACTTGAGGTCAGGAGTTCGAGACCAGCCTGGCCAACATGGTGAAACCCCATCTCTACCAAAATTACAAAAATTAGCTGGGCATGGTGGAGGCTGAGGCAGGAGAATGGCTTAAACCCAGGCGAGAGAGGTTGCAGTGAGCCGAGATCGAACCACTGCACTCCAGCCTGAATGACAGAGTGAGACTCTGTCTTAAAAAAAGAAGAAAAAAAGGTGATCATCTGAAATAGGGCACTGACTATGGAAATGGAGACAAAGGGATATCTCTGTCAATCATTGTTATGGTAGAGTTGATAGAACAGATTTGTGTAATGAGAGAAAGGGAAGAAACTGACATTTCTTGCTTGAGTAAAGGAAAGGATGGTATAGTGTTAATGGAGATTGGGAATTAGGAGCTGAATCAGGTTTGAAGTGCCTGTGGCTTCCTGTCTCTTTTCCCCTGGCCCCCAAACAATCCTGTCAATTATAGCTCTAAAGTACGATTTTATTCATGACACTCCTCTACTTTACAAATCTTCAATGATTGTCCATTTGACTTTCAAGTTTAAATTCCTCAGCCAGGCATGAAAGGTCCTCTGTGGTTTGGGACCAGCCTCATTTGTTCATTCATTCATTCATTCATCATTTACTGAGAACCTCTATGTGTCAGGCTCTGTACTGTATACCAAACGCAAACATAAAAGACCTGGTGCCTGTTTCTGAGGGGCTCATATTCAACCACTCTAGCATTACTCCCTGTCATTTTCTTCCCACCCTTTTCTCCCTTTCATACCATGCTGCAAACACACTGGTTAGCCACCATTCCATGACTTATGAGCGTCTGCTGGTCTCTCGGCCTTCACCAACCATTCTCTTAACTATCTTCCAGTTGAGATCCCATACCGTTCTTGACTCTCCAGAGTAGGTTAAACAAAACAGATAGCAAAGTTAGTCTTGAACTGAGGAAGCATGTCACTTGCCTTTCTCATACCACTCAGCCATTCATTTCCCAAATAGTTATCAAGCAACTATGTGTACCATTCACTATATTAGGCACTGGGGACATACAATGGTTCTTGTCCTCATGGAGCTTACATTGTAGTAGAAACTGTTAATAATTATAACTACCATTTATTGAATGTAACTCTACTAAATTGGGTGAAGACATTTTGAGATAGAAGTATATAAAAGATGAGACAAGGTTGAGAGTAAAGTTGTAGAAATAGGGCTAGTGTCCTAAGATGCATGAAGTTTCCTCTATAAATCTCTAAATCATGCTTGATCAATAAACATCATCAGCAACAACAGATCTTTAGAGAATACTACTACCATGTGTAGATTAATCAGCTTGGGTTATGCTCACAACAAGTAAGTAAGGTGTGGCTCCTGTAGCCCTTTACATTATTTTACTTGTCTGACTGTGGACCTTGGAAAAACCCTAGCAGATGTCTCTCATTCATATTGCAGGTTACAGAATGTGCTTTTCTTCTGTCTCTAACAGAAATGAGCCCACAATGGAATCATTCCAATTACTTATGCCCTTGATTATTCACTTTAGGGGGTGAAGCAGAGCAGTGGTTCCCTAACCTGGTTGCACACAAAAATCCCCTAGAGACTTTTCTAAAAGCACCAACTCCAAGGTCCCGCTCTACCCTTGCTGAATTGGAATATCTTGGGGTGAGACCCAGGAATACATAGATTGGACAAGGCCCCTAGTAATATTAATGCACTGCCAGGTTTGGAAACCAGAAAACCAAAACAATGCTTCCCCAAAATTTCAATCTGAAAGACCAGTAAAATTTCTCTAAAGTTTCTCCAGAAACTTTGGGGATCAACGTAATGCCAACTTTTTGTCATGTAAGGACATGTTTCTTCACTGTCATGTTATTATTGAAATGATATTTTAACATCAAAATCTAGAAAGTGTGGAAAGAACAGTCTTTTACTCAGAAAAGGCTTTCTTAAGATATGTCAGTTGATAACAATTTTTCTCATGTGTGTCAGCACACTGATGAAAATGCCATAGACTGTCATGGGTATGCAGCTTAGTGCTTGGGATTCCATGGACCAGATGACCTCTGAAAGTCCTTTCTACCCCTGAAATTGTCTATTTTAGGCAAAAGGCACATCTTTGCTTTGGGCCTCTCCTATTCTCCAATAGGATTTTCCAGCTGGAATGGAATTCACTAGGTCATTCACATCATCTCCCTGCCCTGTGCCTAAATCATTCTAACTACTTGAGAATGGATGATATATTGAGGGCATTCTCAAGAAGGTGAGTACATAATCTTTCTATCCTTTACTCCTTTTCTTTATTCATCTTTATAAGGGTAACTTCAGAGCTCTGATGACACAGCATCACCTTGGATTCAAGAGCCAACTGGGATGGATTGTGAGAAGGAGCCAGGGTGCTCTGATAGTGGAAAAGAAGTCCAAAGACAGAGAAGGCTTTGGTTTTGTTACCTGTAATCAGGAAGAGTCCTGATAGGAACCCACATTACTGGGAAATGGATTTGAATGTCAACACCTTTAGATGGCGAAAGTGGAAGCATGGAGGGTAAAGGATATTGGACATAGCCTGATTTCAGCTTGAGCCAGAAGGCTATTCATAATAATAGGTGCATTAAAAACAAATCAATTGGCTATGTGCATGGAGCCTGCTTCCTGAATGCCAAGGAAGCAGTCTGCTTAATAGTTTGTCTATTATTAGAGCAGGCATAGAGGGGGAAAGATGACGGAAGCAGCAGAAGCATTATGGAAAAGAAAGAGATAGAAAATACTTAACCCTCTGAGGGTAGTATAGAAGAGCAAAGCTTGAACTGAAAGTATGTAATGTATTGGTTTCTTGACCCTATCCAAGGGAGAAATTTAATGAGTTTTATTTTAGCCTTTTATTAATTCATTTAAAAAACTCATTTAAGAGATATTTATTGAAAGCCAATTATGTGCTAAATATTGTGCTAAGAATTTCCCCATTCTGAAAAGTGGAACCCTTGCAGGACTGGAACAGAGGTGTCTTGGGTACATGGTTACGATGCAGTATAAAGATGGGCTTTGCCCTTATTACATCTCATTCTCTTCTGATAGACTGACCTTGGGCATAGAATCAGCATTATTTGTTTTCGTATCCTTAGCATTTAACACGATGCCTTACACAAAGAAGGTGCTCAGTACGTAGATAAATAAATAGATGTCGCTACTTGATGTAATAAAGCCCTGGTTTCTTCATTCAGAAACAATAGAGATGAGGCCTATCTTTTAGGTTTGTTGTGAGGATTAGAAGTAAAGTATGGAAAGCACCTAGTACAGCACCCATCATGTGCTCAATAAATGTTAGCAATAAGATAGTTTGAAGATTGCTTTTATTGAAAAGAGAAAAGAAAACCTGATATGTTCTTTGGCATTAGTCCAATTCCAAAATCTAAAATAGCGCATCAGAGCTGGAAGGGACCTTCTACAAAGTCCAAACTCCTCATTTTACAGATGGGAAAACTGAAGCCTAAAGAGGGAAAAGGATTTACTTAATGTTACATCTAAATTATCTACACTTTTCCTTGTAATTACCTCAAATCATTGTGGAAGGTGATATAACATATAAACATACATATGAGCTAGGGACGTCATTTAATAAATGAGGAAATTGACATGGAAAAAAGTTAAATAATTTGCCCAAGGACCTATGATTCACACTATAGCAGTCTGGCTTCAGAGTCTGTGATTTTAACCGTTATACGTCTCTATTACAGCACTTATAAAATTATATTAAAATGACCCATTTGACATGTCTCCTCACTAGAACTTAAGCTCCTTGAGGGCAGGAAGTGTGTGATTTCCACTGTGGATAGTTATTTATTTATTTAACAAATATGTATTGGGCAACTATTATACACCAGGACTTGCTAGCCCCAGAGAGCAGGCCTTATCTTTGAAGCCAGATTATCTAGCTCTGTAATGCTATTGGTGTTCATTTTCCTTCTGTTATCGCCTTCTCTTTACTAATGTCTTATTGAGCGTTTCAGCTTAGTCTTGTCTGTTCTAAGGAGCACGAGGTTCTGTGCCCATGCCTGGACCAGGCTGTTAAAGGAGAATAGCCAGTGAGAAACTTCATGGGGAAAGTGAAGTGCCAGAGATATGATAAAATCTGGAGTTCCTCACCATTTGGAGAGGTTTCTTTTAGCAAAAGTTTTGGGGTATTGCATTTGGCAGGATTTTTTTTTAATTCAATTTAGAAAATGTCCTGGCCTTACAGTACCCTTTTGCCTATCTCCCACTCATTTGGCCTTCTAAGAAGTCACAGTCCTACCTCTACCTCTACCTCTACCTCTACCCTCTTTCCACGGTCTCCCTCTGATGCCGAGCCGAAGCTGGACTGTACTGCTGCCATCTCGGCTTACTGCAACCTCCCTGCCTGATTCTCCTAACTCAGCCTGCCGAGTGTCTGCGATTGCAGGCGCGCGCCGCCACGCCTGACTGGTTTTCATATTTTTTTGGTGGAGACGGGGTTTCGCTGTGTTGGCCGGGCTGGTCTCCAGCTCCTAACCGCAAGTGATCTGCCAGCCTCGGCCTCCCAAGGTGCCGGGATTGCAGACGGAGTCTCGTTCACTCAGTGCTCAATGTTGCCCAGGCTGGAGTGCAGTGGCGTGATCTCGGCTAGCTACAACCTCCACCTCCCAGCCGCCTGCCTTGGCCCCCCAAAGTGCCGAGATTGCAGCCTCTGCCCGGCCGCCACCCCGTCTGGGAAGTGAGGAGCGTCTCTGCCTGGCCGCCCATCGTCTGGGATGTGAGGAGCCCCTCTGCCCGGCCGCCCAGTCTGGGAAGTGAGGAGCCCCTCCGCCCGGCAGCCGCCCCGTCTGAGAAGTGAGGAGCCCCTCCACCCGGCAGCCGCCCCGTCTGAGAAGTGAGGAGCCCCTCCACCCGGCAGCCGCCCCATCTGGGAAGTGAGGAGCGTCTCCGCCCGGCAGCCGCCCCGTCCGGGAGGGAGGTGGGGGGTCAGCCCCCGCCCGGCCAGCTGCCCCGTCCGGGAGGGAGGTGGGGGGTCAGCCCCTGCCCGGCCAGCCGCCCTGTCCGGGAGGGAGGTAGGGGGTCAGCACCCGCCCGGCCAGCCGCCCCGTCTGGGAGGTGGGGGGCGCCTCTGCCCGGCCGCCCCTTCTGGGAAGTGAGGAGCCCCTCTGCCCGGCCACCACCCCGTCTGGGAGGTGTACCCAACAGCTCATTGAGAACGGGCCATGATGACGATGGCGGTTTTGTGGAATAGAAAAGGGTGAAAGGTGGGGAAAAGATTGAGAAATCAGATTGTTGCTGTGTCTGTGTAGAAGGAGGTAGACATGGGAGACTTCATTTTGTTCTGTACTAAGAAAAATTCTTCTGCCTTGGGATGCTGTTGAACTATGACCTTACCCCCAACCCTGTGCTCTCTGAAACATGTGCTGTGTCCACTCAGGGTTAAATGGATTAAGGGCAGTGCAAGATGTGCTTTGTTAAACAGATGCTTGAAGGCAGCATGCTTGTTAAGAATCATCACCACTCCCTAATCTCAAGTACCCAGGGACACAAACACTGCGGAAGGCCGCAGGGTCCTCTGCCTAGGAAAACCAGAGACCTTTGTTCACTTGTTTATCTGCTGACCTTCCCTCCACTATTGTCCTATGACCCTGCCAAATCCCCCTCTCCAAGAAACACCCAAGAATTATCAAAAAAAAAAAAAAAAGAACAGAAAGAAAACCTCTGTGCTTTGGGCTTTACCACTTATTGGGTTTGTGGCTTTTTGCAAGTTATATAACATGTCTGTGGTGCAATTATCTCATATGTAATCATAATTGTACTTCACACAATTGTCATAGAGATTTTCTGAGATAAATGATAATAATAATTGCTAACACTTCCTGGGCACTTACTATGTATCTGCTGTGTTCTAACCCATCAGGTGAGGCACTGTTTTCATTTCATATAAAGGGATTAACATTGAAAAAAAAAAAAAAGAAGTCACAGTCTAAATAAAAAGATCAGTCATTATATACATCCAGAAAGATAACTCCCCTGGTACCAGGTCATCAGTAGACACTAACTGCTAAAGAGGCCATAGGAGGGAAAGATGAGGGGAGACCTAGGGGTGGGGCACGGTGGGGCTCAGGATAGCTGAGGAAAGGCTAGTAGTGTATGTACTTTGTGTACCTGCATTCTCAGACCCTGGCCCCCCTCTTTAAGAGCGACTTCTCTGGCTCTAAGACAGCCACAGACCTAGGGCCTGAGGAACCCGAAGACCCTTGCACAGTAAGTTTCTAGACAGCAAGAGCTCGAAGAATGAAACATTGCTGGGCCTTAAATCTAGAATCAGGTATCAGTAGCTGAGCTGGAGTAGAGTAACTAGTATGCTCTGTCCCAAGGGCCATGTTTCAAGTCCAACTTGCTGATCTTGCAGATGAGGAAAGCCAGTTAAAGGGCAAGAAAAAATCATTCAAATGGATCGGGGCAAGGGGGCAAGGGGCAGGGGCAAGAGAGTTGGGTGGAGTGGAAGGACAAGGAGGAGGCAGTTTATTTTTCTCCTTCAGTATATATTTACAAAGTTCCTTCTGTGCTACAAAGTTCCTTCTGTGCCTAATTAAACTGAGTTTTTCCAGGGCCTCTTTTTGGATGCAGGAGGGGACAAAGGAAGAAGAGTGCATTTTGTTGAAACCTAGAGATATTAATTGACTCACCCAAGGACATACTGTGAATGGGACCAGAACCTTTGTCTCCTTACCTCCTAACTGCCTACATTTCTCCATGCCATACTACCTCCTATTATGTCATACACAGCTTAAAAATCTAAGATGATTCTTCACTGTTGAAAGGGTAAAGTCCAAACTCTTGTGCCACCTTGGGCCCCTAATTATCCTGACACTGTTAAACTCTCCAATTGGTTCCTAGACTACCTCCTACAATGAGATTTAAGCCCAAGTCTCACAGAGTTCTCTCCCACGTCACTGTCCCCAAGTGCTCTTGGTCTTCTTTTTCTTAACTGCTCCCTCTGCCCCTGCAACAAATTAAAAGAATTTTACAGTGATCACTCATATACTCACCACTGGATTCTACCATTAACAATTTCCTGGCTGGGCGCGGTGGCTCACGCCTGTAATCCCAGCACTGTGGGAGGCCGAGGTCAGCAGATCACCTGAGGTCAGGCGTTCGAGACCAGCCTGGCCAAGATGGTGAATCCCCTCCTCTACTAAAAAATACAAAAAGTAGCAGGGCATGGTGGCACATGCCTGTAATCCCAGCTACTTGGGAGGCTGAGGCAGGAGAATCACTTGAACCCGGGAGGCGGAGGTTGCAGTGAGCCAAGATCATGTCATTGCACTCCAGCCTGGGTGACAGAACAAGACTCCTTCTCAATTAAAAACAAAGAAACAAACAAACAAAAAAACTATTTCCAATATTTGCTTTATCACATATCTGTCCATCTATCCACCTTTCCATTGATCGAGCCACTTATTTTTATACATTTCAAAGTAAGTTGAAGATATCAGCACACATCCCTCCCCCAATACTTATGTATTTTTTTTTACTGTGAATATATATTTTATTTAGTCATTTTTTGTTTACAATTGAAACTCTGGGAATTCAAAATTAACATCCTTGCCCATGAGCTTCTTATAGACACCAGAAAAGGGTTCAACCTTGTGTTCCACATTGTTCTGCTGTGCTTCGTCCAAATGAATCTTTATGAGGTGGCTGCCATCCAGTTTCACGTGGATTCTCTTGCCCACAATTTCGCTTGGGAAGACCAAGTCCTCAAGGATGGCATCATGCACAGCTGTGAGAGTACAGCTCCTGGGAAGCTTTTGCTTATTGTTTGTACAGCTTTTTTGAGTTGGCTTAGGCAGAATTCTCCTCTGAGCGATAAAGAAAATATGCTTCACTGAACTTTTTCTTCAATTCGCGTACTAGCTGGACTTGGGTTTTCTGGAAAGATTTCAGTTGAGGAACGGGAACAAAGATTATGATAGCTTTCCGACCACCACCAACTTCAATTTCCTTGGCTGCCGTAATATTCAGCTCCCAGAGCTGAGCCTTGAGGTCCAAGTTCATCTCCAGCTCCAGAAGAGCCTGGGAGATTCCGGATTCAAACTCATCCGGCTTCTCGCCATTGGGCTTCACGATCTTGGCCCTTGAACTGAACATGGTCTTCTCCTTGCTGAGCGCTGGCGTAGGAAGAGTGCATGTATATTATTAACTAGAGTTCCATTTTTTGTAATTGTTTTCTTTTGAGCTAAAATTTACATACAATGAAATACAAAATCTTTTTTTTTTTTTTTTTTTTTTTTTTGAGACAGAGTTTTGCTCTGCTGCCCAGGCTGGAGTGCAGTGGCACTATCTCTGCTCACTGCAACCTCCGCCTCCTGGGTTCAAGCAATTCTCCTGCCTCAGCTTCCTGAGTAGCTGGGATTACAGGCGCACGCTGCCACGCCTGGCTAATGTTTGTATTTTCAGTAGAGATGGGGTTTTGCCATGTTGGCCAGGCTGGTCTCAAACTGCAGATCTCAGGTGATCTGCCCACCTTGGCCTCCCAAAGTGCTGGGATTACAGGCATAAGCCACCGCGCCTGGCCTGAAATACACAGTCTTAAGGGAATATTTGCTGAATTTTGACAAAGGCATACACCTGTATAACCCAAACCCCTGTCAAGATATTAAACACTACCATCATTCTCAGAAACTTCTCTCATGCCCCTTCTCAGTCAAATTCACCCTCACCTCATCCTACAAAGAGAACCACTACGGATTAGTTGTGTATGTTCCATATAAATGGAATCATACAGTAGGTAGGTAGCATTTTGAGTCTGGGATCCTTCACAGCATAATGTTTTTGAGATTCATCCATGTTGTGCTGAATACAATTCCATTGTATTTGTTTATCCATTCACCAGCTGATGGACGTTTGGGTTGTTTCTAGTTTGGGCCTATTAAAAATAAAGCTGCTAAGAACATTTATGTGCAAGTCTTTTAATGGACATATTTTCATTTCTTTTGGGTAAATACCCAAAACTGGAACTGTCAGGTCATAGGTTAAGGTGTATGTTTAACTACATAAGAAACTGCCAGAAATGATTCAAAAGATGTTCCACTTCACACTCCCACCAGCAATACATAAGCGTTCTAGTTACTCCACATCCTCACTAATGCATAGTATTTTCATTTTTAAAACTAAATTTAGTCATTCTAGTGGGGTGTAGTGATTCTAACTTGCAGTTCCCTGATGACTAATAATGTTAAGTACTTTTTTTCATATCCTTATTGGCCATTCATACATCTCTGTTCAAATACTTTGTGCATTTTTAAATTGGGTTGTTTGTTTTATATTATTCAGTTGTACATATCCTTGATACCATTCCTTTGTCAGATATGTTTTACAAAAATTTTCTCCCAGTCTATTGTTTGTCTATTTTAGAAGAAATATATTTAATATTAAAATACAAGGGCCAGGTGCGGTGGCTCACACTTGTAATCCCAGCACTTTGGGAGGCTGAGGAAGGCAGATCACCTGAGGTCAGGAGTTAGAGACCAGCCTGACCAACATGGGGAAACCCTGTCTCTACTGAAAATACAAAAATTATCTGGGCATGATGGCGGGCGCCTGTAATCCCAGCTACTCGGGAGTCTGAGGCAGGAGAATTGCTTGAACCTGGGAGGCAGAGGTTGCGGTGAGCAGAGATTGCACCATTACACTCCAGCCTGGGCAACAGAGCGAGACTCCGTCTCAAAAAAAAAAAAATTAAAATACAGGATAGAAAGTGACATAGACCACACAAATACATGGGTAAAATTATGTGAGGAGACAATACAGTATTTACAAACCATATATCAGGCAAATAATTTGTATATAAAGAACTCTCAAACTCAATAGTAATTTTCTTGACAATGTCTTTTGATGAGCAGACATTTTAAATTTCAAAGAAGTCTAATTTAGTCTTTTAATTTTTCTTGTTTGGGTGTGACTTGTTTAAGAAATCTTTGGCCAGGTGTAGTGGTTCACACCTATAATCTCAGAACTTTGGGAGGCCAAGGAGGGAGGATCACCTGAGCCCAGGAGTTTGAGACCAGCCTGGGCAACATAGCAAGACTGTCTCTACTAAACATAAAATAAATAAAATAAAATAAAATAAAATAAAAATAAATAAATAATCTGCCTATTCCCAAGTCATATGCTCCTATGTTTTCCTCTCAAAGCTTTATGACTTCAGATTTTATGTCTGGGCTTTTATGTTTGGGCTTATGATCCATCTCAAATTAATTTTCCTATATGGTTTAAGGTAATAGTTGAGGTTCATTTTGTTCATATGGATAGCCTGTTATTCTTGTACCATTTGCTGAAAAGACTTACATTTCCCCATTTGATTGTTTTGGCTTCTTGCCTTTTTATTGTTAGCTCTTTTATTTAGAAAAGTGGATATGTAAGCTCACTCAATTTTCACAAATGGAACACTCCCATTTAATCAATCCCTATATCCCAGCAAACATATCAAGAAATGTAGCATTACGAACATCCTAGAAGCTGCCTTCCTGCCTACTTACAGTTACAACCTCTTCTGTTACAACAGTAACCACCCTCCCTGTACTAATAGCATAGATTTGTTGTATCAATTTTTATGCTTTATATAAATGGAATCATACATTGTGTAATCTTTTGTGTTTGGCTTCTTTCTCTCAATATTAAGTTTATGAGAGTCATCCATGTTGTGTCTAGCAATAGTTCATACATTTTGATTGCTGCATATTTTTCACTGGAGGAATATACTACATGGACGTGGACATTTGTGTTGTTTCCAGTGTTTGACTATAATGAATGGTGCAGCTATTAACACGTCTTTTGTTGAAATGTGAGAAGGACATGACAATTTGGAGGGGCCAGGGGCAGAATGACATGGTTTGGATCTGTGTTCCCGGCCAAATCTCATGTTGAAATGTAATCCCCAATGTTGGAGGTGAGGCCTGGTGGTAGGTGACTGGAACATTGGGGTGGTTTCTAATGGTGTAGCACCATCCCCCCTAGTGCCATTCTTGTGATAGAGTTCTCATGAGATCTGGTTGTTTAAAAGTGTGTAGCACCTCTCCCCTCCCCTCTTCCTCCTGCTTTTGCCATGTGAGAAGTGCTGGCTCCCCCTTTGCCTTCTGCCATGTTTTTAAGTTTCCTGAGGCCTCCCCAGAAGCCGAGCAGATAGCCAGCATCATGCTTCCTGTACAGCCTGCAGAACCATGAGCCAATTAATTAAACCTCTCTTCTTTATAAACTACCCAGACTCAGTTATTTATAGCAATGTGGGAATGGACTAATACACTCCCTATAACCACCACAGCCTGGAATGTGCTGGGTTATGCCTGAAGCCAGCATATTTCCGAGTCTCACCCAAAGTCCATGGCATGTATTACCTGGATATCACTACTGATTATTCAGAGCCCAAGGGCTCTTCAGTTAGCAGGTGATTAATCTTGCCAGGACTGGGTCCTTCCCTTCAAGGCAGCAGTTCCCTTCTGGCCCAGGGTGTGTCTAGAAATGTCATCTGGTAGCCAGGGCCTGGAATGGAGGCCTCAGGACTCTGCCCAGTGCCCTTTACTACTGTGGCTGAGCTCGTATCTAAGTTGTAAAACAAAGCCCTCTTTACTCTTTCCTCTCCTCTCTTTAAGCTGAGGGAGGGAGTCTCTCCTGGAGCTGCAAGCTGCACTGCCTGGTGTTGTGGCCTAGACTGTCATTCAAGTTTATTTAGGACGCTAGAGCAGTTTATCCCATCATGGTGGGGCTTGCCAGAATTCTGGTTCCAACCACTGGGATGGGTGATTCCCTTCTGGCTAGGGCTGGTCTAAATGCTCCCTCCATGGGTGCCAGCTGAGTTGTGCCCACTGTTGCTTTCCACTGTGACAGGACAGCACTGAGTTCTAATGTAAGTCCCACAATCACTGCACTCTCCCTTTCCCAAGTGCACAGATTCTCTCTCCACACCATACTGTCACTGCCAGGGGATGGGAGAGACATAGTGTCTACAATTGATGACTGCCTTTCTTACCCTCTTCTGGGCCTCTTTCAGTGATATGAAGTTAAAACCAGGTACTGTGATCACTCACCTGATGATTGATTCTTATGTAGGGGCTTTTATTTTGTGGATAGTTGTTCAATTTGGTGTTTCTGTGGGGAGGACAATCAATGGAGGCTTCTATTTAACCATCTTGCTCCTCCTCCTCCTCCTCCTTCTTTTTTGAGATGGAGTTTCACTCTTGTTGCCAGACTGGAGTGCAGTGGCATGATCTCGGCTCACTGCAACCTCTGACTCCCAGGTTCAAGTGATTCTCCTGCCTCAGACTGCCGAGTAGCTGGGATTACAGGTGCACATGACCACATCCAGCAAATTTTTGTATTTTTAGTAGAGATGGGGTTTCACCATGTTGGCCAGGCTGGTCTTGAACTCCTGACCTCAAGTGATCCACTCTCCTCAGCCTCCCAAAGTGTTGGGATTACAGGCATGAGCCACTGTGCCCAGCCGCTCTGCCTCCTTCTTACTGGGCGTGTGTTTGTTGGGAGGTTTTTGATTTCTGATTCAATCTTCTTACTAGTTATCGATATGTTAATATTTTCTATTCATGATTCAATCTTGGTAGGTTGTGTGTTTCTATGAATTTATCTATTTCTAGTTTGTTCAATTTGTCAGCATACAACTGCTCATAGTATTTTTTTCTAACTGTCATTTAAATTTCTTTGGCATCAGTTGTAATGTTCCATTTTTTCATTTCTGATTTTAGTTATTTGAATCTTCTCTTTTTTTCTTAGTTAATATAGCTAAAAGTTTTTTCTTTCTTTCTTTCTTTTTTTATTGGTACAGACAGAGTCTTGCTATGTTGTCCAGGCTAGTCTCAAACTCCTGGCCTCAAGCAATCCTCCCACCTCGGCCTCCCAAAGTCCTGGGATTACAGGTGTGTGCCACCATGACTGGCCTAAGGATTTGTCAATTTTGTTGCTCTTGTTAAAACATCTCTTAGTTTCATTGATGCATTCTATTATCTATTCCCTTCATCTCTGATTAATCTTTATTATTCCCTTCCTTCTGCTAGCTTTGTATTTAGTTTGTTATTGTTTTTCTGGTTCCCTGAAGTATAAAGTAAGGTTGTTGATTTGAGATGTTTCTTTTTATAATGTATGTGTTTACACATATAAACTTCACACTTAGTTTTTACTGCATCCTATAAGTTTTGATGTGTAATAGTCTCATGTTCGTTTGTCTCAAGGTATTTTCTAATTTCCCTCATGACATCCTCTCTGGCCCATTGACTGTATACAAATATGTTATTATTTATTAAAATATATTTTAAGCCTTTTTAAAAGGAATGTGTTATTTAAATTCCACATATTTGTGGATCTTCCAGTTTTCATTCTGCTATTCATTTCTAGTTTTATTTCATTGTGACTGGAAGAGATATTTTGTATAATTTCAATATTTTTGAATTTGTTAAGATTTGTTTTGTGGTCTAACATGTGGTCTTTCCTAGAGAATATTCCATGTTCATATTCTGTTCTTTTTGGGTGGACTGTTCTATATGTCTGTTAGGTCCAATAGGTCTACAGTTTTGTTCAGGTCCTTTATTTTCTTATTGACTTTCTGTCTAGTTGTTCTATCCGTTCATTATTAAAAATAGGGTATTAAAGTCTCCTATTACTATTACTATTTTGCTGTCTATTTTTCATATTTTTTGCTGTCTCTTTTCTCACTTAATTCTGTCAAAGTTTATATATTTAGGAGCTCTGATGTTTGTTGCATGAATATTTATAATATTTTTTGGTGAATTGTCTCTTTTATTGTTATATAATGTCCTTATTTGTCTCTTATAACAGTTTTTGACTTAAAGCTTATTTTGTCTGATATTAGTACAGTCATCCTGCTCTGTTTGGTTACCATTTTTATGTAGTATCTTTTTCCATCCTTTCACTTTAAGTCTATGCATGTCCTTAGATCTAAGGTGAGTCTCTTATAGATAGCAAGCAGGTGGATCCTGATTTTTTATCCATTCAGCCAACCTATGTATTTTGGGGAGTTTAATCCACTTACATTTAAAGTGATTACTGATAGTGAAGTACTTCTTACTGCCATTTTGTTGTTTTCTGTATGTTTTGTCCCTTTTCCCTCCTTTCTTTTCTTACTGCTTTCCTTCATTTTCATTGTTTTTTTCTTATAGTGACATGCTTTGATTTCCTTCTCATTTCCTTTTGTGTATATTCTATTGGTATTTTCTTTTTGTGATTACCATTGCAACTACATAAAATGTTTTAAAGTTATAACATTCTATTTCAAGCTGACAACAACTTAAGTTTAACAACAAAAACTTTACTCCTTTACAGCATCACTCCCCCACTTTATATTATTGATGTCACAAATAACATTTTTTAAAGATATGGGCTCTCCCTCTGTCACCCTGGCTGGGAGTACAGGTGTGCATCACCATGCTTAGCTAATGCTTTTTAACTGAATTTGCTTCATAGAGATGGGGTCTCACTATGTTGCCCAGGCTGGTCTCAAGCTTCTGGCCTCAAGCAGTTCTCCAGCCTTGGCTTCCTAAAGTGCTGAAATTACATGCGTGAGCCACCATGCCTGGCCATGTTTACTGTATGTCTTATTATGGGCTGAATTGTGTTTCCTCAACATTTATATGTTGAAAGGCTAACCCCCAGTACCTCAGATGATGACTGTATTTGCAATAGGGCCTTTGAGGTAAATAAGTAAAAATGAGGCTATTATGGTGGGCTCTAATCGAATCTGACTGATGTCCATATTAGACTAAGACACACTGAGAGACACCAGGATGTGCATGCATAGAGAAAAGACCATGTGAGGATGCAATGGGAAGGAAGCCATCTGCAAGACAAGAAGAGAGGACTTAGGAGAAACTAAACCTGCTAACACCTTGATATTGAACTTCTAGTCTCCATAAGTGTGAGGAAACACAATTCTGTTGTTTAAACCACCCTTTATGTTATATTTTGTTATGGCAGCCCTAGTATACTAATATGTGTCTTTTATATATATAGTATTTTATATATACATATATATTTATATGCCCTAGCATACTAATATATTATCTTTTTTGTTTCTCACTTCCTCCATTAGTGCTTCCTTTTGTGATTAATTGATTTTTTTTGTTAGTGTACCATTTGAATCCCTCTTTGTTTCTTTTTCTGTATATTTTCAGTTTTTCCCTTAGTGATTACCCTGGGGATTACAATTACTATCTTATCTTTGTAACACTCAACTTTAAATTAATACTTAGTTTCAATAGTACTAGACAACTCTGGCCCCTTACAGCTCTGTCCCTCTTTTATGTTGTTATTGTCACAAATTACACCTTTATACATTGTGTACCCATTAGCATAACTTTAAAATTATTATTTTATATCTTTGTCCTTTAAATTCTACGGAATAAAATGGTTACAAACCAAATATGCAATACTACTGGCTTTTTATACTTATTATATTAGGTAGCTAGGGCTGTCATAACAAAGTATCACGGACTGAGTGGCTTAAACAATAAAAATTTGTTTTCCAGTAGTTATAGAGAATAGAAGTCCTGGATTTAGGTGTCGACTGGGTTAGTTTCTTCAGCAGCCTCTCTCCTTGGCTTGTAGATGGCCATCTTCTCCCTGTGTCTTTGCATAGTTTTTCTTCTGTGTGTATCTGTATTCTAATCTCCTCTTCCTATAAGGATACTAGTCATGTGGGATTAGGTCTCACTAACTTAATTACTTCTTAAATACCCTTCCTCCAAATATAGTCACACCCTGAAGTACTGGAAGCTAGGACTTTAATGCATAAATTTTGGTGGACACAATTCAGCCAATAACACTTGTGTATCTACCTTTACCATTGTTCTTTATTTCTTTGGCTATCCTTGAATTACTTTCTGTTTTCCTTTTATTTCAGTCTGGAAGACTCCCTTTAGCATTTATTTTTTAAAAATAAATCTTATTGTGTATTCAGGTTTACAACATGTTATGGAATACATGTAGATAGTAAAATAATTACTGTGTTGAAGCAAATTAACATATCTATCATCTCACATAGTTACTTTTTTGTGACAAGAACAGCTAAACTCTACTTAGTTGACAAGAATCTTTAATACAATTTTATTAACTACAGTCCTAATGTGGTATGTTGAAACTCTAGACTTGTTCATCCTACATATCTGCTACTTTGTATCCTTTGACCTACATTTTCCTGTTTCTTCCCTATCCCCACCCATGGTAACTACTGTTTCATTCTGTCTGTACTACATATTTGACTTTTAAAAAATAGAGTGCACAATATAAGTAAGATTATGCTATATTTTTCTTTCTGTGTCTGGCTTATTTTACTTAGCATAATGTCCTCCAGGTCCATCCATTTTGTGGCAAATGGCAGTATCTCCTTTTTAAAGGCTAAATAATATTTCATTATATATGTGGGTGTGTATAAATAAATAAATACACACACATATCTATATACGTAAAAAACACATTTTCTTTATCCACTTGTCCATTGATGGACACTTATGTTGTATCCATATTGTGGCTATTGTGAATAATGTTTCAACAACACGAGAGTGCAGATATCTTTACAAGATGGTGATTTCATCTCCTTTCAGTATATACCCAGAAGAAGGATTGGCTCTAGCATTTGTCGTAGGGCATGTCTGCTAGTGATGAATATCATCAGTTTTTCTTTATCTAGAAATGTCTTAACTTTTCCTTCATTTTTCTTCCTGAAATGTACCCTTTATTAGAAATATATTATTATCATTTCTACAAAAAAATTAGGTTCCTTGCTTTTCTAAATGGTGAGTCAAGTCCATTTTCCATCTAGTCAATTGTGTTCAGCAAAGAAATATTAAACAAGGTGAAATTCAAAGTAGATCTTGTGGCACAGTGGATAAGGACAAGACAGTTGTGCTCAAATAAATCTGGAGTTGAGTTCCAGGTCTACCAGTTATTTAGGGTGTGACCCAGAATGGCTTCTCCATTTTTCTAAAAAATAGACTTTACTTTTTAGAGCAGTTTTAGGTTCCCAGCAAAACTGAATGAAAAGTACAGGGAGATCCCATATACTCCTTCTCACACACATGCATAGCCTCCCTCACCACCAACATTCCACAACAGAAGTGGTACATGTATTTCAAATTGATGAACCAACCTTTACACACCATTATCACTCAAAGTCCACAGTTTAAATTTTCATTCTTGATTTTGTACATTCTATGGGCTTTGACAAATGTATACACTACTATAGCATCACTCAGAATGAGTGTTGAATTTTCTCAAATGCTTTTTCTACATCTATGGATATGATCATATAATTCTTCCTTTTTAGCCTGTAGATGTGATGGATTACATCAATTGATTTCCAAATGTTGAACTAGCCTTGCATACATGGAATAAATCACACATGGTCATGGTGTATAATTTTGTATGCATTATGGATATTTGCTAATATTTTGATGGGGATTTTTGCATCTACATTCATGAAATGTTGGCCTGTAGTTTTCTTTTCTTTTCTTTTCTTTTTTTGAGAGGAAGTCTGGCTCTTGTCCCCAA
Organism: Homo sapiens; assembly: GCF_000001405.40. Classification (NCBI taxonomy): domain Eukaryota; kingdom Metazoa; phylum Chordata; class Mammalia; order Primates; family Hominidae; genus Homo; species Homo sapiens. The sequence continues at coordinate 74,400,097 of NC_000023.11, read as the reverse complement.
GGCTGGAGTGCAATGGCACGATCTCGGCTCACTGCAACCTCTGCCTCCCGGGTTCAAGCTATTCTGCTGCCTCAGCCTCCCGACTAGCGGGGATTACAAGCGCCTGCCACCACGCCTGGCGAATTCTTGTATTTTTAATAGAGACGGGGTTTCGCCATGTTGGCCAGGCTGGTCTCGAACTCCTGACCTCGTGATTCTCCCACCTCGACCTCCCAAAGTGCTGGAATTATGGCTTGAGCCACCGCACCCGGCCAGTTTTCTTTTCTTGTAGTATCTTTATATGATTTTGGTACTAGGGTAATGGTGGCCTCATAGAATAAATTAGGAAGTGTTCCCTCTGCTTCTACCTCCTGGAAGAGACTGTAGAGAGTTTATATAAATTCTTCCTTAAATGTTTGGTATAATTCACCAGTGAACCCTAGTGCCATCTGTTTGGGAAGGTTATTAATTATTGATTCAGTCCCCTCCCCAGCCCCGACGGGCGGGCGGACTGCCCTGAAGAGGCGGGGAGGGGGTGCTGGGCCGGCCGGCTGGCGGGCGGGCGACGATGACGAACTTCTGCGCTGCCCCCAAGTGCACGTGGAAGAGCACGCAGTCCGACCTGGCCTTTTCAGGTTCCCGCGGAACCCGGCCAGATGCCAGAAGTGGGTGGAGAATTGTAGGAGAGCAGACTTAGAAGATAAAACACCTGATCAGCTAAATAAACATTATCGATTATGTGCCAAAGATTTGGAGACCTCCATGATCTGTAGAACTAGTCCTTATAGATAATGTAATACCAACAATATTTGATCTTACCAGTCATTTGAACAACCCACATAGTAGACACAGAAAACGAATAAAAGAACTGAGTGCAGACAAAATCAGGACACTGAAACAGAAAAAATTCGATGAAACTTCTGAGCAGGAACCAAAACATAAAGAAACCAACAATAGCAATTCTCAGAACCCCAGTGAAGAAGAGAGTGAAGGGCAAGATGAAGACATTTTACCTCTAACCCTTGAAGAAAAGGAAAACAAAGAATACCTAAAATCTCTATTTGAAATCTTGATCCTGATGGGAAAGCAAAACATACCTCTGGATGGACATGAGGCTGATGAAATCCCAGAAGGTCTCTTTACTCCAGATAACTTTCAGGCACTGCTGGAGTGCCGAATAAATTCTGGTGAAGAAGTTCTGAGAAAGCAGTTTGACACAACGGCAGTTAACACGTTGTTTTGTTAAAAAACACAGCAGAGGCAGATGCTAGAGATCTGTGAGAGCTGTATTTGAGAAGAAACTCACAGGGAAATGAGAGACTCACACTTCTTTTCCATTATCACTGACTATGTAAGTGGACATAGCAGGGGAAGAGCACCTACCTGTGTTGGTGAGGTTTGTTGATGAGTCCCATAACCTAAGAGAGGAATTTATGGGCTTCCTGCCTTATGGGCTTCCTGCCTTATGATGTTCATACAGAAATTTTGGCTGTGAAATTTCACACTATGATAACTGAGAAGTGGGGATTCAATAATGGAGTATTGTGGCCAGGCTTACATTGTGTCTAGTTGATCTTCTTCCTCTTCTCCTTCTTCTTCTTCTCCTTCTTCTTCTTCTTCTTCTTCTTCTTCTTCTTCTTCTTCTTCTTCTTCTTCTTCTTCTTCTTCTTCTTCTTCTTCTTCCTCCTCCTCCTCCTCCTCCTCCTCCTCCTCCTCCTCCTCTTCTTCTTCTTCTTCTTCTTCTTCTTCTTTTTTTTTTTTTTTTTGAGACAGAGTCTCGCTCTGTCGCCCAGGCTGGAGTGCAGTGGCGCCATCTGGGCTCACTGCAAGCTCTGCCTCCCAGGTTCGCGCCATTCTCCTGCCTCAGCCTCCCCAGTAGCTGAGACTACAGGCCCCCGCCACCGCGCCCGGCTAAGTTTTTTGTATTTTTAGTAGAGACGGGGTTTTGCCGTGTTAGCCAGGATGGTCTTGATCTCCTGACCTTGTGATCCACCCGCCTCGGCCTCCCAAAGTGCTGGGATTAGAGGCGTGAGCCACCGTGTCTGGCGGATTTTCTTCCAAAATGAAAGTTGTTGCTTCTAGACCTTTAGAGAAATATCCCCAAGCTGTCTACACACTCTGCTCTTCCTGTGCCTTAAATATGTGGTTGGCAAAATCAGTATCTGTTATGGGAGTATCCGTTGCATTAAGAACAATTGAGGAAGTTTGTTCTTTTTTCCATCGATCACCACAACTGCTTTTAGAACTTCACAATGTAATTTCTGTTCTTTTTCAGAACAGTAAAGAAAGGGGTAAAGAACTGAAGGAGATCTGCCATTCTCAGTGAGAAATATTAGATGGAATAACTGTATAGCTGGCCGAGTATTTGTACGCTGCAGTACAGTAACAGATTTTGATTTCATTGTTACTACTGTTGTTCTTAAAAAATGTCCTATCTTTTGAAAGAGCCTTTGGGAAAAATCTCCAGGGGCAAACCTCTGATGTCTTCTTTGCAGCCAGTAGCTTGACTGCAGTACTGCATTCACTCAACGAAGTGATGGAAAATATTGAAATTTATAATGAATTTTGGTTTGAGGAAGCCACAAATTTGGCAACCAAACTTGATATTCAAATGAAACTCCCTGGGAAATTCCGCAGAGCTCACCAGGGTAACCTGGAATCTTAGCTAACCTCTGAGAGTTACTATAAAGAAACCCTAAGTGTCCCAACAGTGGAGCACATTATTCAGGAACTTAAAGATATATTCTCAGAACAGCACCTCAGAGCTCTTAAATGCTTATCTCTGGTACCCTCAGTCATGGGACAACTCAAATTCAATACATCAGAGGAACACTATGCTGACACGTATAGAAGTGACTTACCCAATTCTGACATGCTCTCAGCCAAGCTTCATTGTTGGAGAATCAAATGGAAACACAGGGGGAAAGATATAGAGCTTCCATCCACCATCTATGAAGCCCTCCACCTGCCTGACATCAAGTTTTTTCCTAATGTGTATGCATTGCTGAAGGTCCTGTGTATTCTTCCTGTGATGAAGGTTGAGAATGAGCAGTATGAAAATGGACGAAAGCGCCTTAAAGCATATTTGAGGATCATTTTGACAGACCAAAGGTCGAGTATCTTGGCTTTGCTTAACATAAATTTTGATATAAAACACCACCTGGATTTAGTGGTGGACACATATATTAAACTCTATACAAGTAAGTCAGAGCTTCCCACAGATAATTCCGAAACCGTGGAAAATACCTAAAAGACTCTTAAAAATAGGCTATCTTATATTTGATATTTGGAAGAAAAGCCGTACGATGTATGTAGGCCACTTAATCACTAAATATCTTTGCCTACAGAACTCCATTGAATACCTTAGCCATTGATAATCTACCTGTTTAAATGGCCCCTGTTTGAACTCTCATGCTTTGAAGACCTACCTGTTTTTCCAGAAGAGAACATTGAAAATGCCATGTTTCCTTCTGCGTGATCTCTGCATGGCACTCTGGAATTGTTTTAGTTAAGTCATTTTAGACATAGCATTTATTATCACTATGGATCTCTACTTGTTGGGTGTTATGAATTCTTTGAAGAAATATATTTTGAAGAGGTGTGAGAGGAAGGACTACATTTTATAAAACGTTATAGTGGAGCCCACAATTGACCTTTGTCTAATAGGAGTTTTAAGTATGTTAAAAATCTATATTGGACAGTTACAAGAAATTACTGGAGAAAAGCTTGTGAGCTCGCCAAACAAGGATTTCAGTGTAGATTTTGTCTTTCTTGAACTTAAAGGAACAAATGACAAAGTTTGAATGGAAGAGCCTGCCATTGTTCCACATCTCGTTATTGCTGTTTACATTCCTTTGTGGAGCCTACATCTTCATAAGCTTTTTAGCAGGTATATGTTGAACACTTCTGTTTCATGGTTAAGACAGAATCAGAGGCCATGGATACTGACAACTGATTTGTCTGTTTTTTTTTCTGTCTTTTCCCGTGACTCTTATCTACTGCCTCATCTTGATTTATAAACAAAACCTGGAAAACCTACAAAACTAAGTGTTGTGGTTTATCTAGAAAAATATGGAAATATTGCTTTTTTTGGTGAAGAAAATCAATTTTGTATAGTTTATTTCAATCTAAATAAAATGTGAATTTTGTTAAAAAATTATTGATTCAATTTCTTTAATAGAGATAGGTCTATTCAGATAGTTTATTTCTTCTGTCTGAGTTTTTGCAGATTGTGTTGTACAAGGAATTAGTTCATTTCATCTAGGTTATCAAATTTGTGGGCATAAGTTGCTCATAATATTCCTTTTTTTTTTACTCTCTCCAGGCCTTTACAAAAATTACTTACATGAGATAATACTACTACTAACTATAGTAGTATCTAATTTTACTAGGACACAAAAAATCACAAATTCAACTTTTTCTTTCTTTTTTTTAACTTTTAAGTTCAGGGGTATATGTGCAGGTTTGTTATATAGGTAAACTTTAATCATGGGGGTTTGTTGTACAGATTATTTCATCACCCAGGTATTAAGCCTAGTGCCGATTAGTTATTTTTACTGATCTTCTCCCTCCTCCCACCCTCCACCATCTGATAGGCCCCAGTGTCTATTGTTCCCCTTTGTGTCCATGTGTTCTCATCATTAAGCTCTCATTTATAAGTGAGAACATGTGGTATTTGGTTTTTTGTTCCTGCATTAATTTGCTAAGGATAATGGCCTCCAGCTCCATCCATGTTTTTGCAAAGGACATGATCTCATTCTTTTTTTTGGCTGCATGGTATCCCATGGTGTATATGTACCACATTTTCTTAATCCAGTCTGCCATTGATAGGCATTTAGGTTGATTCTATGTCTTTGGTCTTGTGAATGGTGCTGCAATGTACATACACATGCATGTGTCTTTATGATAGAATGATTTAAATCCTTTTGAGTATATACCCAGTGATGGGATTGTTAGGTCAAATGGTAGTTCTGTCTTTAGGTCTTTGAGGAAAAACCACACTGTTTTCCACAATGGTTGAACTAATTTACACTCCCACCAATGGTGTATAAGCATTCCTTTATTTCTGCAACCTCACCAGAATCTGTTATTATTATTTTTTGACTTTGTAATAATAGCCATGGGCTGGGCATGGTGGCTCATGCCTGTAATCCTAGCACTTTGGGAGCTTGAGGCAGGCAGATCACTTGAGATCAGGAGGTCAAGACCAGCCTGGTCAACAAGGTGAAACCCTGTCTCTACTAAAAATATAAAAATTGGCCAGGCGTGGTGGCTCACGCCTGTAATCTCGGCACTTTGGGAGGCCAAGGCGGGTGGATCACCTGAGGTCAGGAGTTCGAGACCAGCCTGACCAACATGGAAAAACCCCATCTCTACTAAAAATACAAAAAAAATTAGCTGGGCGTGGTGCCACATGCCTGTAATCCCACCTACTTGGGAGGCTGAGAAGGGAGAATCTCTTGAACCTGGGAGGCAGAGGTTGTGGTGAGCCGAGATCATGCCATTGCACTCCAGCCTGGGCAACAAGAGAGAAACTCCGTCTCAAAAAAATAAAAATAAAAATTAGCCTGGCGTGGCAGGCACCTGTAATCCCAGCTACTCAGGAGGCTGAGGCAGGAGCATCACTGGAACCTGGGAAGCAGAGGTTGCAGTGAGCTGAAGTCATGCCACGGCACTCCAGCCTGGGTGACAGAGTGAGACTCCATCTCAAAATAATAACAATAATAATGGCCGGTCGTGGTGGCTCACACCTGTAATCCCAGCACTTTGGGAGGCCGAGGCAGGCGGATTACCAGGTCAGGAGATTGAGACCATCCTGGCTAACACAGTGAAACCCCGTCTGTACTAAAAATACAAAAAATTAGCCAGGTGTGGTGGCGGGAGCCTGTATTCCCAGCTACTCAGGAAGCTAAGCCAGGAGAATGGCATGAATCCAGGAGGAGGAGCTTGCAGTGAGCCGAGATCACACCACTGCACTCTAGCGTGGGTGAGAGAGCGAGACTCCGTCTCAAAAACAACAAAAATAATAATAATAATAATAATAATAATAATAATAGTAGCCATTCTCACTGGTGTAAGGTGGTATCTCAATCTCATTGTGGTTTTGATTTGCATTTCTCTAATGATCAGTGATGTTGAGCTTTTTTCCACATGCTTGTAGGTCATATGAATGTCTTCTTTCCAAAAGTGTCTCTTCATGTCCTTTGCCCACTTTTTAATGGGGTTATTTTTTCCTTGTAAATTTGTTTAAGTTCCTTATAGATGCTGGATATTAGATCTTTGTCAGATGCATAGTTTGCAAAAATTTTCTCCCATTCTGAAGGTTTTCTATTTACTCTGTCGATAGTTTCCTTGGCTGTGCAGAAATTCTTTAGTTTAATTAGACCCCATTTGTCAATTTTTCCTTTTGTTGCAGTTGCTTTTGGCATCTTCATCATGAAATCTTTGCCTGTTCCTATGTCCAGAATGGTATTGCCTATGTTGTCGTCTAGGGTTTTTATAGTTTTGGCTTTTAAGTCTTTAATCCCTCGAGTTAATTTTTGTATATGGTGTAAGGAAGTGGTCCAGTTTCAATCTTCTAAATATTGCTAGCCAGTTATCTCAGCACCATTTATTGACTAGGGAATCCTTTCCCCATTGCTGGTTTTTTAAATTTTAATTTTAATTTATTATTATTTTTTTCTGAGGCAGGGTTTCATTTTGTTGCCCAGGCTGGAGTGCAGTGCTGCAATCATGGCTCACTGCCGCCTTAACCTCCCAGGCACAAGCAATGCTCCTGCCTCAGCCTCTTGAGTAGCTGTGTGCCACCATGCCCGACTAAGTTTTGAATTTTTGTAGAGATGGGGTATTGTCATGTTGCTCAGGCTGGCCCATTGCTTGTTTTTGTCAGCTTTGTCAAAGATCAGATAGTTGCAGCTATGTGGCCTCATTTCTGGGTTCTCTATTCTGTCCCACTAGTCTATGTGTCTGTTTTTGTACCAGTACCATGCTATTTTGCTTACCATAGCCCTGTATTATAGCTTAAAATTGGGTAGCATGATGCCTCCAGCTTTGTTCTTTTTGCTTAGGATTACCTTGGCTATTTGGTCTCTTTTTTGGTTCCATATGAATGTTTTGTTGTTGTTGTTGTTTTGAGATGGAGTTTCACTCTTGTCACCCAGGCTGTAGTGCAACGGTGCGATCTCAGCTCACTGCAACCTTCACCTCCTGGGTTCAAGCGATTCTCCTGCCTCAGCCTCCCGAGTAGCTGGGATTACAGGCACCTGCCACCACGCCCAGGTAATTTTTGTATTTTTAGTAGAGATGGGGTTTCACTATGTTGGCCAGGCTGGTCTCAAACTCCCGACCTCAGGTGATCTGCCCACCTCAGACTCCCAAAATGCTGGGATTACAGGCATGAGCCACCGTGCCCAACACATATGAATTTTAAAATAATTTTTCTAGTACTGTGATGAATGTCATTGGTAGTTTAATAGGAATAGCATTGAATCTATAAATTGCTCTGGGCAGTATAGCCATTTTAGCGATATTGATACTTCCTATCCATGAGCATGGAATGTTTTTCCATTTGTTTGTGTCATCTCTGATTTCTTTGAGCAGTGTTTTATCGTTCTCCTCGTAGAGATTTTTCACCTCCCTGCTTAGCTGTATTCCTAGATATTTTATTCTTTTTGTGGCAATTGTGAATGGGAATGCATTCCTGACTTGGCTCTTGGCTTGACTGTTGTTGGTGTATAGGAGTGTTAGTGATTTTTGTACATTAACTTTGTATCCTAAGAGTTTGCTGAAGTTGTTAGTCAATGTAAGGAGCTTTTGGGCCAAGACTATGGGGTTTTTTTCTAGATACAGAATCATGTTATCTACAAACAGGGATAGTGTGACTTCATCTCTTCCTATTTGGGTGCTCTTTATTTCTTTCTTTTGCCTGATTGCCCTAGCCAGGACTTCCAACACTATGTTGAATAGGAGTGGTGAGAGAGAGCATCCTTGTCTTGTGCCAGTTTTCAAGGGGAATGCTTCCAGCTTTTGCCCTTTTGATGTGATTTTGGCTGTTGGTCTGTCATAGATGACTCTTATTTTGAGGTATATTACTTCAATACCTAATTTGTTCAGAGTTTTTAACATGAAAGGGTGTTGAATTTTATCAAAAGCCTTTTCTGCTCTGTATCTATTGAATCTATTGAAATAATCATGTGGTTTTTGTCTTTAGTTCTATTTATGTGATGAATCACATTTATTTATTTTATTTATTTATTTATCTATTTATTTTTTGAGACGGAGTCTCACTTTGTCACCCAGGCTGGAGTGCAATGGTGTGATCTTGGCTCACTACAACCTCCGCCTCCCAGGTTAAAGCAATTCTCATGCCTCAGCCTCCTGAGTAGCTGGGATTACAGGTGCCCACCATCACGCCTGGTTGATTTTTTGTATTTTCAGTAGAGACGGGGTTTCACCATGTTGGCCAGGCTGGTCTCGAACTCCTGACTTCAGGTGATCTGCCCACCGTAGCCTCCCAAAGAATGTTGTCTGCCTCAATGAATGTTCCATGTGAGCTTGAGAAGAATGTGTATCCTGCTGTTGTTGGATGAAGTAGTCTGTAGATGTCAATTAGACCTATTTGATGGTGCTCTTGGTTCAACTATGTCCTTATTGATTTTTGTCCTGCTGGATCAGTCTATTACTGATCAAGGGATGTTAAAGTCTGTAACTATAATAGTAGATAATCTATTTCACCTTGCGGTTCCATCAATTTTTGCCTCACATATTTTGGTGCTCTGCTGTTAGGCATATACACATCAAGGACTATTATTTCTTCTTGGAGAATTGACCCCTTTATCACCCTTTATCATTCTGTAATGCCTCTCATTATTCCTGATAATGTCCTTTGTCCCTTGCTTTGAAGTCAGCTGTGTCTGAAATTAATGTAGATATTCCAGATTTCTTTTTATTAATTTTAGCATGATATATCTTTCTCTATTCCTTTATTTTTAATTTGTCTGTCTTTATGTTTGAGGTGGATTTCTTGTAGACAACATATAGTTGGGTCTTGTTTTTCTTTGTGCACTCTAAGTCTCATTGTTGTGATGATATTTGTTTGTTCATTTGTTTGTTTATTTATTTATTTATTTAAGAGCTGGGGTCTTGTTATGTTGCCCAGGCTGGAGTGCATTTGCTGTTCACAGGTGCAATCCCAGTACTGATCGGTACAGTAGTTTTGACCCCCTCCATTTCCAGCCTGGGTCATTTCATCCGTCCTTAGGCAATCTGGTGGCCCCCTACTCCTGGGAGGTCACCATATTGATAGCAAACTTAGTTCAGACATTCAATCACTGAGCACACTATAGCTCAGAACTCCTGGGCTCAAGGGATCCTCCTGCCTCAGCCTCCCAAGTAGCTGGGACTACAGGCACATGTTACTGCACCTGGCTGTTGTGATGATTAAAGTGATTATTGCTATATAGCTGGATTAATATTTATGATATTTGTTACTATTTTTAGTTTGTTCCCCTCGTTCTTTGTTTCTATTTTTGTCTTCCAGTATTTTTCTGCCTTTGATAGTTTTAACTGAGCATTTTATACTATTCAATTTTTGCTCCTTTCTTAGTATATCAATTATATTTCTTTTTAAAAAATTTTTAATGGTTACCCTACAGTTTACAATATACATTTACAACTAATCAAAGTCCTCATTCAAATAATACTATACCACTTCATGGGTAGTGTAAATACCTTATAAAAAGGATTCCTAATTCTTTCCCCAATCCCTTGTATCATTGTTGTCATTCGTTTCACTTACGCATAAAGAATAAATATTGTGAACATTTTTGCTATTATTGTGAACAAAGTTTTTGTTAGATCAATTAAGAATAAGAAAAAGAAAAGTTTTTATTTTAATATCACTTATTCCCTCTCTAATGTTCTTCCTTTGTTTATGTAGATCCAAATTTATAACCTATATAATTTTTGTTCTTCTGAATTTCTTTTCTTCCAAGGAAGGTTTATCAGCAACAAATTCCCTCAATTTTTGTTTTTCTGAGAAAGTCTTTATTTCTCTTTCAGTTATGAAGAATAATTTTATTGGATACAGAATTTGAGGTTGATTTTTTTTTCTCAGCACTTTAAATATTTTATCCCACTCTGTTCTTGCATGGTTTCTGAAGAAAAGTCTAAGGTAATTCTTATCCTTATTCTCCTGTGGGTAAAGATTCTTTTAAAAACATTTTTCAGTGGTTGATTTTCTGCGGTTTGAATGTTATATGCCTACATGTAGATTTTTGGGCATTTATCTGGCTTGGTATTCTCTGAGCTTCCTAGGGTGGAGTTTGGTATCTTACACTAATTTGGGGGAATGTTTAGTCACTATTGCTTCAGATATTTCTCCTGTTTCTTTCTCTCTTTCTCTTCATTTTTGTATCCTCATTATGCATATGTACACCCTTTATAGTTGTCCCACAGTCCTTAGGTATTCTGTTCTGTGTTGTTTTTCATTATTTTTTTCTCTTTGTTTTTTAGTTTGGAAAATTTCTATTACCATATCCTCAAGCTCACTGATTCCTCAGTCATGTCCAGTCTACTACTGACCCATCAAATGCATTATTCACTTCTATTACAGTATTTTTTGTTTCTAGCATTCCTTTTTTATTCATTCCTAGATTTTAATCTTTGGTTACATTACTCATCTGTTTTTGCATGTTTACTTTGTCCATTAGAGCCCTTAGCATGTTAATTACAGTTATTTAAAATTTTCATATCTGAGTCTGGTTCTGATGCTTGCACTGTATCTTTAAACTGCAGGGATTTTTGCCTTTTAGTATGACATAATTTTTTACTGAAAGCTGGAGATGATGTACTCTGTAAAAAACTTGTGTGTAAATAGCCCTTGAGTGATTTGGTGGTAAGATGTGAGGGGAGGTGAATCATTCTATAGACCTATGATTAGATCTCAGTCTTTTAGTGAAATTCTTCCCATGGACTGTGACCTTTCCAAGTGCCTCTCAGGTTTTTCCTTACCTCTGCAGGTCAGAAAGGCCGAAGGGTTATGGTGTTGGGTATTTCTCTCTCCCCAGGCCAGTCAGGCTCTTATAAAATTTTCGTAGGTTATATTCCAGTGAAATATTTTCTCTTGAAGGCAGGACTTGTTATGAAGAACAGAATACTCTGGGCATATTTCAAAATGACTATTTTCATCCTTCCCTTATAGAAATCAGACAGGGATTTTTCTTCAATTTTAACTGTGAGACTCTGGTAAGGCTCCTTGAGGTAAGACTAGTGAAAGTGTAGGGTCCCCCTAAACTGAGGTTTCAATGTGGACAAGTTTGAGAATTAAAAATTCTCGTTGAATTTTCTCATTGAAACTCCAGCAATTCACCAATTAAAGTTTAACTTTTCCTACCCATGGTTGCTGGTTCACATGAAGGTTTCAGTGTGAGGGTTTCTGCTCCAGAAAACCATAATCTATATCTGCCAGTCTTTCCAATTTGGGGGCAGCATTTTGCCCCATGACCTCAATTCTCTGAGGAACCTAAGAATTGTTGGTTTTTAGTATGTTCTATTTTTTAATTTTTTTTTTTTGAGAAGCCTTGCTTTTGTCCCCCAGGCTTGAGTGCAATGGCCCGATCTTGGCTCACTGCAACCTCCACCACCTGGGTTCAAATGATTCTCCTGCCTCTGCCTCCCAAGTAGCTGGAATTAATGCACCTGCCACCATGCTCGGCTAATTTTTGTATTTTTTAGTAGAGATGGGGTTTCACCATGTTGGCCAGGCTGGTCTCGAATTCCTGACCTCAGGTGATCCTCCCGCCTCGGCCTCCCAAAGTGCTGGGATTACAGGCTTGAGCCACAGTGCCCAGCCTACTTTTTAATTGTTATTAAGACAAAGTGACAACTTCTAAGCTCCTCACAGACTGGACTGGAAACTGAAGTCATTTTTTTCTTTTTTCTTTTTTTTTTTTTTTTTCTTGAGACGGAGTCTCACTCTGTGGCCTAGACTGAAGGGCAGTGGCATAATCTCAGCTCACTGCAACCTCCACCTCCCAGGATCAAACGATTCTCATGCCTCGGCTCCTGAGTAGCTGGGATTACAGGTGTGTGCCACCATGCCTGGCTAATTTTTTTGTACTTTTAGTAGAGATGGGGTTTCTCTATGTTGGCCGAGCTGCTCTCAAACTCCTGGCCTCAAGTGATCTGCCTGCCTTTGCCTCCCAAAGTGCTGGGATTACAGGTGTGGGCCACCGCACCCAGCCTCTTCTTCATTTTTAAAGTATAGTTTTGCTGGATATAGAATTCTTGTTTGATTTTTTTTCTTTCAGCACTTTAAATATGTTATCTAATTGCCTTCTGACTCTGTGATCTCTGATGAAAAATTGGCTGTCAATATTATGGAAAATCCCTTTTATGTTTTGACTCACTTTGTTTTGTTTGTGTGTTTTCAAGATTGTCTCTTTGCCTTTGGCTTTTGGCAGTTTTATTAAAATGTGTGTCTCTGTGGATTTTTTTGAGTTTATCCTTCTTGAACTTCTTGAGCTTCTTGGATGTGTAGACTCATGTCTTTCCTCAAATTTTGGAAGTTCATGGTCATTATTTCTTCAGATATTTTCTCTACCCCTTTCTTGCTCTCTTCTTTTCCTGGGGCCCTCTTCTTGGGCTATATATATTAGTAACCTTAATGGTATCTGACATGTCCCTTAGGCTCTGTTTATCTTTCTTCATTCTTTTTTTCCTACTCTCCAGACTAGATAATCTCAATTGACCTAACAAGTTAATTGATTTTTCTGCCTGTTGAAATCTGATGTTGAACATCTCCAGTGAATTTTTCATTACAGTTATTGTATTTTTTTTTTTTTTGAGACAGAGTCTTGCTCTGTCGCCCAGGCTAGAGTGCAGTGGTACAATCACAGCTCACTGCAACCTCCGCCTCCCAAGTTCAAGTGATTTTCGTGTCTCCGCCTCCCAAGTAGCTGGGATCACAGGCGTGTGACACCACACCCAGCTAATTTTTGTATTTTTAGTAGAGATGGGGTTTTGCCATGTTGGCCAGGCTGGTCTCGAACTCTTGGCCTCAAGCAATCCACCTGCCTCGGCCTCCCAAAGTGCTGGAATTACAGGCATGAGGCACCTTGCTCAGCCTGTATTTTTTTTTTTTTTTGAGACAGGGTCTCACCTTATTACCCAGGCTGGAGTGCAGTGACATGATCATGGCTCACTGCAGCCTCGACCTACCAGGTTCAGGTGATTTTCCCACCTCAGCCTCTTGGGCAACTGGGACTACAAGTGTGTACCACCATGCCTGGCTAATTTTTTTGTAATTTTTATAGAGACAGGATTTTGCCATGTTGCCCAGGCTGGTCTCAAACTCCTGGGCTCAAGCAATCTGTCTGCCTCAGCCTACCAAAGTGCTGGAATTACAGGCATGAGCCACCATGCCTGGCCAATTTGTATTTTTTAGATTCACAATTTCTATTTGGTTTCTTTTTATAATTTCTCTCTCTCTTTATCAACGGTCTCTATCTGTTGAGAAATCATTCTCCTGATTTATTTCAGTTCTTTGTCTGTGGTTTCCTTGATCTCTTTGAGCATATTAAGAATGTGGGTCTAAAATCTTTGTCTATTTAAAAATAAAAAACCATAAAATCATATGGCTATAGTCATTCCCACACTTATATTTCAAACATAGTACGGCCACTTACATGTAAAATAATATATTATAATCAAATTGCATCAGTCACATACATGTATATCCCATAAACGTCAGCTACACTAGGGCACAAGCTGATGACTAAAGAAAGAAAATATCATTACAAAGTGGCATTTGCTTAGGGAGACTGAGGCCATAAAATTGGGAGTGTGCTAGAGTTTCTACCATGACATTATGCATGACCAAGAGGAAAAGCTACCTTGCATTTTGTGAGGCATTGGTGAGGCTCTCTGTCTTCAAGGTCCAGTGGAACATACCAGTTTCAGCATTGGGTGTGTAGATTTCCAGCACTATTAGTATTATAGAAGTTGAACTGTGTAATAGGTTGGATTTAGGTAAATTTTCTATTTTATTTGTTTTATAAGCTTAAAATATGTCAAAGTTTACACAGTCCTATAAAATTTTGTATATACATCCAACAGAAGGAAGAAATGTTACTCTTTTAGATTTTACCTTCAGGGTTTTTAAAAATGTAAATGAAATTATTATGGTTAAAGTGCAAAAAAAATAAAGTCTTTGTCTAGGAAGTCCAATGTGTATGCTTCTTCATGGATATTTTCTATTAATTTCTCTTTTGTTTCTTTGCATGCTTCATCATTTTTTTTTTTTGAAAACAGGACATTTTGGGTATTATAAAATGACAACTCTGGAAACCAGATTCTTATCCCTCCCCAAGGTTTGTCTCTGTTGGCTATTGTGGGCTGTCATTGTATGCTTCTTTAGTGACTTTCCCCAACTACTTTAGTATTTTTTGTTGTATGTGACCACTGAGTTCTTTGTTCTATTAGCCTACTGTTTGGTTGGTGTTTTCAGAGTTCCCTTAAATGACTAGAGCTAAGAAATGAAAAAAAAAGAAAAAAAGAAAAACAATCCTATTCAACACATGGTTCTGGGATAATTGGCAAGCCACATGTAGAAGAATGAAACTGGATCCTCATCTCTCACCTTATACAAAAATCAACTCAAGGTGGATCGAAGACTTAAATCTAAGACCTAAAACCATAAAAATTCTAGAAGATAACATCGGAAAAACTCTTCTAGACATCGGCTTAGGCAAAGAATTCATGACCAAGAACCCAATAGCAAATGCAACAAAAACAAAGTTTAAATAAATGGGATCTAATTAAACTAAAAAGCTTCTGCACAGCAAAAGAAATTATCAGTAGAGTAAACAGACAACCCATAGGGTAGGAGAAAATATTCACAAACTATGTATCTGATGAAAGATTAACATCCAGAATCTACAAGGAACTCAAACAAATCAGCAAGAAAAAAACAAATAACCCCATCAAAAAGTGGGCAAAGGGCATGAATAGACAATTCTCAACAGAAGATATGCAAATGGCCAACAAACATATGAAAAATGCTCAACATCACTATCAGAGAAATGCAAATTATAACCACAATGTGATATCACCTTACTCCTGCAAGAATGGTCATAATTTAAAAATAAAATAAATAGATGTTGGTGTGGATGTAGTGAAAAGGGAACACTTTTGCAATGCTGGTGGGAATGTAAACTAGTACAACCACTATGAAAAACAGTGCAGAGATTCCTTAAAGAGCTAAAAGCAGAACTACCATTTGATCCATCAATCCCATTGCTGGGTATCTATCCAGAGGAAAAGAAGTCATTATATGGAAAAGACACTTGCACACATATCTTTATAGCAGCACAATCTGCAGTTGCAAAAATATGGAACCAACCTAAACGCCCATCAACTAACGAGTTGATAAAGAAAATGTTGTATATATACACCATAGAATACTACTCAGCTATAAAAAGAAATGAAATAATGGCATTTGCAGCAACGTGGATGGAGTTGCAGACCATTATTTTAAGTGAAGTAACTCAGGAATGGAAAACCAAATGTTGTATGTTCTCACTAAACTATGAGGATGCAAAGGCATAAGAATGCTATAACGGACTTTGGGGACTAGGGGAATGGTGGAAGTGGGGTGAGGGATAAAAGACTACACACATTGTACACAGTGTATACTGCTTGTGTGATGGGTGCACAAAAATCTCAGAAATCACCACTAAAGAACTTCTGCATGTAACCAAAAACTACCCATTGCCCCAAAACTATTGAAATAAAAATTTTAAAAAATAAAAACAAGAAAGGAAAGAGTACTATCCCAGTCTCCACATATTGGCCCTAACTCTGCCTCAGCTTTCCCTTCCTGCATATGTGGAGCCTGAAGGCCTGCCTGAGGTGAAAGCTTAGGTTCTTCTCCAGTCTTTTCAAGCATGTGTCCTCCCCTGGGAATGATTGTGGCTTTATTGATTCCCTGGTGTACATAGGAGCTTTTAAAAATTCTTTTTCCCATACACATCTTCAGTCCCAATCTCTTCTTTCCCAGGCTTCTAGGTGTGTCTATCATTTGTCTCAAGTGTTATCCCTAACCCCAGGCTGCTGCAGCCAATACCTGTGCCTTTAAATACTTTCAGTAACAGCCTCCTTGGAAGCCACTGGAGCCCTGCAAACACTCTGAGTCAGGTGAAACATAGGAAAACCTTCCTGCCAGTTTTTGAGGGAGCCTCCAGGCTGGTGGAGGCCCATACCACAATTCTTTGAGAGTAAGGTTCATATTGCTCCCTCTGGAACTAGCAACTTGCACCAAGAGTGCCATCTACTGTCCTCACAGCCACTGCTGATCTAGGGCATGGGGGATGATAAGTGGGTGATTTAAAATGCCACAACAGTCTCTTACCACAAAGCAACATCTTTCTTCACCAAGTATTCCCCTTGTTGTAAGTTTTTGACTAGATTCCAGCGTCCTTCAAAAGCTGATTCTGACAGTTTTTCTAGCGCATTAGTTTCTTTTTAGGAGGAATGTAGATCTGGAGTTTCCTACTTTATTATTTTTGGTGCCTGATATACCTTAATCTTGAAAACACCTTGCTAGCCAAAGCAAAGAGTTATGAGTGCTACATGAAGCCTGAAATGGCTTCGGAATTTCCAAATAGACAGTTTTTAAGGGTGGCAGGGGGTACTGGTTGGAAGAAGGGACTAGGGAACGGTTTTTCAAGATGTGTTTGCAAAAGCATATTACCTAAATTTGAGAAAACACCAACTGTCAATATCATGGATATGTGAGTACTAATGTAAATTATGAGAGGAGGTGTTAAAACCTTCCCAGGCTCCCTTGGTGCTGTTGAACTAGCAAGTGGTTATTTGTTTGGAAAGCTGCTTCTGAGACTACAGGTCAGGATGGGAAAATGAACCTGATGAGCCACCAATAGCCCCTTCTTGAGAGGACTTGGGAGTTAAGCAAACTGATCTGAATTTGGGGTTATGCTCAGGATTTACTGAGCCTTTTTCTATCATTCTGCTTTTGGGTTGAAGAAGGAATACAGCCTGGTCAGGTATAATGGCCAGAACTATAAAGGGTTTTTAGGTTCATCCTCCTTTCCCCCGACCCACAAACTCACAGTCTCTGAGGATGGTTGAGAAAAACCATGCTCTGGAACTGGTTGCCCTAAATGGATACCAATCTAGACCCAAAGGAACACTCTATCCACAGCCCTTTATGCCTTTGGCCACTAGGGGGCACCTGGACTCTGGAGACTATTACCCCTACCCACACCCTTAAGACTAACTTTGAATGGCAGCTTCCTAATTTCTCCCCATAACTTTGCCTGGAGCCTGTAGTGGACTGCAGTAAAGTGGGCAGCTTTCCAAATCACTTGACTTAGAGTCATCAAGTTACCCCTCAGGCCAGAAGAACACCCAAGACGTGCTGTGGTGATTTAGAGTCTTAGAATGTCAGCACTGGAGGGACCTTCAGGATTTCCTGGGCCAAAGTTTTGGGATTTCTTTTGTTTCAGGGGATGTGTGTGTGTGTGTGTGTGTGTGTGTGTGTGTGTGTGTGTGTGTGAGAGAGAGAGAGAGAGAGAGAGAGAGAGAGACAGGGTCTCGCTGTGTCACCCAGGCTGGAGTGCAGTGGCACGATCTCGGCTCACTGCAGCCTTGACCTCCTGGGCTCATGCGATCCTCCCGTCTTGGCATCCCACAGTGCTGGGATTATAGGCATGAGCCACCATGCCTGCTGCAAATATTTTTTTAGCCACAAATTTCTTTCTTCAAATTAAAAGTGTGTGGTGGCCCTGCGCTTATAATCCTAGCTATTTGCTAGGCTGAGGCAGGAGGATCGCTTGAACCTGGGAAGCAGAGTTTGCAGTGAGCCGAGATCGCACCACTGCACTCCAGCTTGGGTGACAAAGTGAGACTCCGTCTCAAAAAAAGAAAAAAAAAAGTGCAACTCATGGCATTGGGAGGCCCTGGGCTCAACCCTGCTCTGAAGGGATGTTTCAGAATTCTAGAGCAGTGTTGCCTAACTTTCAGTTCTGCCCAGAGCTCCCATATGATTTTTATATCTGTATCTACCAGCCAGCTTGTTGTAGGGGCCAAGGGAAAACTTCCCCTTTGCCCTCTGAAGGCTCGCAGAAAAATCAACTCAAAAAAGGTAGGTAATAGGAGGAAAGACATATGATTTACTAGCGTGTACACAGGGAGCATCACAGAGTGATTGCCCAACTCCCCCACTGGGGTGCAGAAGCTTATATACCATCTTGAGGTTACAGAAAGAATGGGGCCCAGAGAATGGCCAAAAGAGGTAATGGTGGTAAATCAGTTTATAATGCCAAGACAGGTTATCGGAGGGAGAGAAGAGGAGGCCTGTCTAGCAAAAGTGTCTCATTGTGTAGATGAAACCTCACAGGTAGCAACCTTCAGAGAGAACAGATGGTAAATGTTTCTTTCGGTTCTTTAAGGTGTCAGACTCTCAGTCTTTCCTAGATTTGGACAAGGGAAGGCCTGGCTGCATCAATGCAGATTCTCTACAAGTGCAAATCTCCCCCACAAAGGACAGCTTTGCGGGGCTACTTCTGTTTGCTGGCCCCCTGACAGCCATCTCAAAATGTGTCAAAGAAATATGTTTTGGGGTAAAATATTTTTAGTTCCTTCAGTGTTCATATTTAATATGTTTCTTTAAATTGACTCACTTTTTTCTTAAATAAATTCAGCCTCATCCTATGTAACATCACAGACTTAATGTTTTAGGTATATTTTTTTCTAATTCATATTAAAAATATATCCACAGCTATTGTAATTTAAAATTTGCTTCTGGCAACACCTAACGTTGTCTCATGTCCTTGTGTCACACTTTGAGAAATGATACTCTATGGTACCAAAGAGCACAGTTGGAAAAGTACTCAACAGAGTTCACTTTATTTTGAGGTGAAGACACCAAGAGACCCACAAAGAGTGAGGGACTCACTCAAGGTCACTCAGTCAATCACAGTGGCAGTGCTGGGACTTAAATCCAAGTATACTGACTCCTAGCTCTTTAATCCTTTCACTGTATTAAATTCTAAGGGCCTTAGGAAGCTCCTTCACCACCCAGACTACAAGTGGAAGGAAGGAAAGAAGAAAGGAAGGGAGGGGAGGGAGAAAAGAACTATTTGCTTAGTGAATTGGAGCTGGTACAGAAGCTGTAGCTTAGGAGGGCCAAGGTAAGATGTGGGGTAGAATGATTTCCCATGTCTCTTTGGGCCGAAGTACTTATAAGGCCCCATCTTACAAAGCCTGGGCTCATTTGCATGAATTTATTAGAGCACCCATCATGTGCCTGGGCACACAGAAAGGAGCTCACAAGCCAGTGGGTAAAACAGCTCAGCAAATAGCTGATTAGTTTGTAGTGGAGGAGGGAAGGACAGTAGGCATAAGCCCTGCCCTACACAAGTTCAGCAGCCCTAGTCCAAAGGCTCGATTTTCTCTTCTCTCAAGTATGGGGACTGATAGGTGTTAAATACCCTTCAGAGTCTGGGGTTGGCAACCCACTGCCAGCCAGAGGTCGTGGCCATGAAGTCCTTTGCTTTATTTTTTTTACCACTGACAATTGTCACCAATGCCCCCATCCTGGTCCATTATCTCATATGCAAACTCAGAACCCACCCTCCAAAGGGGAATGGACAAATTGAATATGGCCAGAAACTTAACCCCAACAGTACTGAGCTTTGGACTGTAGTTCCTCCCGACTTCCTCTTCTTCCCAGACTTGTTTATGAAGCACTTCAAATAGAAAGTGTTGGAAATAGGTCTGTAACCACTTAGTGTTGTCTGATTCTTTTTTTTTTTTTTTTTTTGATATAGGATCTCGCTCTGTTGCCCAAGCTGGAGTGCAGTGGTGCGATCTCAGCTCATTGCAACCTCCGCCTCCTGGGTTCAAGCGATTCTCTTGCCTCTGCCTCCCGAATAGCTGGGATTACAGGTGCACCCCACCAGGCCCAGCTAATTTTTGTGTTTTTAGTAGAGACGGGGTTTCACCATGTTGGCCAGGCAGGTCTCAAACTCCTGACCCCAAGTGATCTGCCCGCCTCGGCTTCCCAAAGTGCTGGGATTACGGGTGTGAGCCACCATGCCCGGACAGTGTTGTCTGATTGTGGTAGCTCTATTTGACTTCCCCTAGTTGGGTGAGAAACAGGAGACCCATTCCCACCCCCTTCACACATGTGGTGCTTCCCCAGATATCCGGACACATGAATTTTGTTGCTGGTTGGTTGCTTCTAATAGGGCCCTGAGGGCTATTTTTACCACCACCTCTGCCCCACACCCACGAAACAAAAACCCAGCAACCCCCAAAGTTAAATCTTCTAATGCAAAGAGGGCTGGAAATATTGTTTCTTTCCCAAGTACCCGCTAAATTTGACCCCTCCCAGCCTGGGAAGTGTTCTCCCAGAGGGAGTTTTACTGATTGAGATAACAGGTTTGTTTTTGCCTCCATGACAAAACAGGTACTCATGAGGCATTGAGCAGGGGAAGAGGCAGACAAGCCACATCCAGCACAAGATTAATCTTCAACTGTCTCTACCTCTCCCTTTAACATCCTTCTACCGGTTTGTAGTTTTCTCCCTCGTTCCTTCCCACTCTGTCCCCATCCACAGAGCCCTCCAGTACCCCCTACCCTAAATGATCTGAAAAATTCATTTGTGGTAGAAAAAGTTCAGGATGGAGATAAGAAAACCTGGGTTCAAGTATTAGCTTTTCCACCTACTAGTCAAGTAATGTGGAACAAAATAATCTCAACTCTCTGAGCCTCAATTTCCCCTCTGCAAATAGGCATGGTGATCCCTGACCTGCTCACCTCGGAAAATTGCTATACAGATCAAAAGGATACTGGATATGAAGTTGTTTTGTGAAGAACCAATCAGAATGCACATGTGAAAGATTGAGTGAGTCACCCATATTGGAAGAGTGGTATTTTGAAAGAGAATAACTTAAGGAAGAAGCCATTAATGCAGCATTTTAAACACAGGGTAAGAATGAGATAGATGGCAGAGGCTTGGGCCACTTTGTCAACTTTCTTATTCACTTGATAAACCAATTATTAAACATCTACTATGTGTTAGGCACTCTTATAGATACTGGGGATAAAAATCCCTGCCCTCATGGAGCTGACATTCTAAGAGCATGGCAAGGGCCTAAGAAAAACAGTCCCTGTCCCTCCAGCCTAGGAAACAATCTAATGTCCAGTTCAGAGCCTCAGGGCTATAGAAGAGCTTTCAGTGATTTGATTTATTCCTTTCTGCACAAAATCTGTTTTAGCATTAATTTGACAATATGTACCATTTGCTGAGGCCTTTTGCAAATCCAAAATAATGTATGGCATGTATTCAACAACAAGCATTTCATTCAACAATTTTTTTTTTTTTTTGAGACGGAGTTTTGCTCTTGTTGCCCAGGCTGGAGTGCAATGGTGCAATCTTGGCTCACTGCAACCTCCGCCTCCCAGGTTCAAGCGATTCTCCTGCCTCAGCCTCCCTAGTAGCTAGGGATTACAGGCATGTGCCACCACACCCAGCTAATTTTGTATTTTTAGTAGAGACGGGGTTTCTCCATGTTGGTCAGGCTGGTCTCAAACTCCTGACCTCAGGGGATCCACCCGCCTCAGCCTCCCGAAGTGCTGGGATTACAGGCATGAGCCACCACACCCGGCCTTCATTCAACAAATGTTTATTGAGTACCTACTATGTGCTTATCACTCTGTAATTGTGGGGATAATGAATGGAAAAGGTATACAGAATTAAACAAGTTCGAGTTTCAGCCCTTAAAGAGCTCCTGTACTAGAAAGAAATAATTACAAAGAGATTGGCCCCATGACACAAAGCGGGGGTTGCTCTAACAAATATTTTAACCCAGTAATGGGTGAAAACAGATGCCTAGTAAGTGAAATAGTATAATTAGTGAAAAGTGCTTATGTGACCTCTGAGGAGACACTTTTTTTTTTTTTTTTTTTGAGACGGAGTCTTGCTCTGTCGCCCAGGCTGGAGTGCAGTGGCGCAATCTCGGCTCACTGCAAGCTCCGCCTCCCAGGTTCAAGCCATTCTCCTGCCTCAGCCTCCCCAGTAGCTGGGACTACATGCGCCTGCCACCACGCCTGGCTAATTTTTTGTATTTTTAGTAGAGACGGGGTTTCACCATGTTAGCCAGGATGGTCTCGATCCCCTGACCTCATGATCTGCCTGCCTTGGCCTCCCAAAGTGCTAGGATTAAAGGCATGAGCCATCGCGCCCGGGGAGGTCAAATTATTCTTGTTCACACTATGCAATTAGTGTTATGTTGTCATCAGTTTAAAATAATGGGTTACAAGGTATTATTGGCAAGCTTCATGGTAACCTCAAATCAAAAAACATACTACAGATACATTAAAAATAAAAAGCAAAAAATTAAATCAGACCACCTGAGAAAATCACCTTCACTAAAAGGAATACAGGAAGGAAGTAAAGAAGGAAGAGAAGACTGCAAAACCACCAGAAAACAAATAGCAAAAGTCCTTATTTATCAATAATAACATCAAATGTAAATGAACTAAAATCTCCAATCAAAACACATAGAGTGGCTGAATGGATGAAAAAATAAGACCTAATGATCTGTTGCCTACAACAAACATACTTCACCTATAAAGACACACATAGTCTGAAAATGAAGGGATAGAAAAAGATATACCATAGTTCACATTAAAATGTAAACCAAAAAAGAGCAGGAGTAGCTATATTTATATCAGACACAATAGATTTCAAGACAAAAACTTTATGAAGAGACAAACAACGTCACTATAAGTGGTCAACTCAGCAAGAGAATATAACAATTTTAAATATATATACACCTATGCACCCAATACTGCAGCACCCAGATATATAAAGCAGATATTATTAGAGCTAAAGAGAGAGATAAGTCCCAATACAATAATAGTTGGAGACTTCAGCACCCCCCTTTCAGCATTGGACAGATCTCCCAGACAGAAAATCAACAAGGAAATATTGGATTTAATCTGTACTATAGACCAAAGGGACCTAATAGATATTTACAGGACATTCCATCCAATGGCTGCAGAATACACATTCTTCTCCTCACCACATGGATCATTCTCAAGGATAGACTGTATGTTAGGCCATGAAACAGTCTTAAAATATTTTTAAAAAATTGAAATTATAGCTATTTTCTGTGGTGCCTCAGAGGTGTTCAGCTGCTTCAAGATGAAGCTGAACATCTCCTTCCCAGCCACTTGCTGCCAGAAACTCATTGAAGTGGATGATGAACGTAAACTTCATACTTTTTATGAGAAGTGTATGGCTACAGAAGTTGCTGCTTATGCTCTGGGTGAAGAATGAAAGGGTTATGTGGTCCAAATCAGTGGTGGAAACGACTAACAAGGTTCCCCCATGAAGCAGGGTGTCTTTACCCGTGGTCGTGTCCACCTGCTACTGAGTGAGGGGCATTCCTGTTACAGACCAAGGATAACTGGAGAGAGAAAGAGAAAATCATTTCATGGATGCCAGTCTGAGCGTTCTCATCTTGGTTATTGTAAAAAAAAAAAAAAAAAAAAAAAAGGAGAGAAGGATATTGGATATTCCTGGACTGACTGATACTATGGTGCCTCGTCGCCTGGGGCCCAAAAGAGCTAGCAGAATCCACAAATTTCTCAATCTCTCTAAAGATGATGTTTGCCAAGTATGTTGTAAGAAAGCCCTTAAACAAAGAATGTAAGAAACCTAGGACCAAAGCACCCAAGATTCAGCATCTTGTTAATCCATGTGTCCTGCAACACAAACAGTGGCGTATTGCTCTGAAGAAGCAGGGTACTAAGAAAAATAAGGAAGAGACTGCAGAATATGCTAAACTTTTGGCCAAGAGAATGAAGGAGGCTAAAGAGAAGCGCCAAGAACAAATTGCAAAGAGACACAGACTTTCTTCTCTGCGACCTTCTACTTCTAAG
The DNA here is from genome assembly GCF_000001405.40 of Homo sapiens. Lineage (NCBI taxonomy): Eukaryota > Metazoa > Chordata > Mammalia > Primates > Hominidae > Homo > Homo sapiens. Next base: position 74,376,145 of record NC_000023.11, on the reverse strand, counting down.
CCTGAATCCAGTCAGAAATAAAATTTTTTGAGTAACAAGTAAATAAGATCAGACTCAAAAAAATGAAATTATATCAAATATCTTCTCTGACCACAATGAAATAAAAATCAATAGCAAGAGGAATTTTGAAAACTATGCAAACACATGGAAATTAAACTATATTCTCCTAAATGACCAGTGGATCAATGAAGAAATTAAGAAAGAAATTGAAAAAAAATTCTTGAAATAAACCATAATGGAAACACGACATACCAAAACATATGGGACACGACAAAAACAGTACTAAGAGGGAAGTTTATAGCTATAAGTGCCTACACCAAAAAAAGAAAATTTCAAACAAAAATTTAATGGTACGTTTTAAAGAACTAGAAAAGCAAGAGCAAACCAAACCCACAGTTAGTAGAAGAAAAGAAATAATAAACATCAGAGCAGAAATAAATGAAACCAAATCAAAAAAATACAAAAGATCAACAAAACAAAAAGTTGGTTTTTTGAAAAGATAAATAAAATTGACAAACCTTTAGCCAGACTAAGAAAAAAAGAGAGAGAAGACCAAAATAAATAAAATCATGGATGAAGAAGAAGACATTATAATCAATAGTGCAGAAATTAAAAGGGTCATTATGGGCTACTATGAGCAACTATATGCCAACAAATTTGAGAACCTAGAAGAAATGGATAAATTCCTAGACACATACAACCTACCAATACTGAATCAGAAAGAATTCCAAAACCTGAACAGATCAATAGCAAGGAACAAAATCAAAACCATAATAAAAAGTCTCCCAGCAAAGCAAACCCTGGAACCCAATGGTTTCACGGCTGAATTTTACCATTTAAAGAAGAACTAAACCAACCATACTCAAACTATTCTGAAAAACAGAGGAGGAGGGAATACTCCCAAACCCATTCTATGAGGTCAGTATTACCCTGATATCAAAATCAGGCACCAAAACACACCACAAAAACAAAAACAAAAACAAAAACAAAACAAAACAAAAAAACCCACAAAACCTATAGGCCAATATCTCTGATGAGCATTGATGCAAAAATCATCAACAAAATACTAGGAAACCAAATTCAACAACACATTGAACAGATAGTTCATCACGACCAAGTGGGATTTATCCCAGGGATGCAAGGGTGGTTCAATGTACACAAATCAATCTATGTGATACATCATATCAACAGAATGAAGGACAAAAATCATATGATCATTTCAATTAATACTGAAAGAGCATTTGGTATAATTCAGCATCCCTTCATTAGTACAAACCTTCAAAAAATTGGGTATAGAAGAAACATACCTCAACACAATAAAAGCCATGTATAGCAGAACCACAGGTAGTATACTGAATGGAGAAAATTGAAAGTCTTTCCTCTAAGATCTGTAAAATGACAAGGATGCCCCCTTTCAGCACTGTTATTCAACATCGTACTGTAAGTCCTATCTAGGGCAATCAGAGAAGACAAAGAAATAAAGGCATCCAAGTTGGAAAGGAAGAGGTCAAATTATCCTTGTTTAGATATTATCTTATATTTGGAACAACCTAAATATGCCAGCAAAAAACCATTAGAACTGATAAACCAATTCAGTAAAGTTGCAGGATACAAAGTCAACATACAAAAGTCAGTAGCATTTCTATATGCCAATGGCTAAGAATCTGAAAAAGAAATCAAGAAATAATCTCATTTACAATAGCTACAAATAAAATTAAGTACCTCGGAATTAACCAAAGAAGTGAAAGATCTCTAAAATGAAAACTATGAAACTTTGATGCAAGAAATTGAAGAGGACACAAAGAAATGGAAAGATATTCCATGTTCATGTATTGAAAGAATCATTATTGTTAAAATGTCCATACTACCCCAAAGCAATCTACAGTTTTAATGCAATCCCTATCAAAATGCCAATGACATTCTCCAACAGAAACAGAAAAAAAATCCTAAAATTTATATGGAATAAAAGTAGAATAGAGTTTATGCTCCCTAGGCTTATGTATTTTCTCTGTCAATTATTTGTTCGTTAGTTTAGATGGTTCGCTGTTATTCTTCCAGTTTCAGTTTCTTCATTTGTACAATTTGGTTAAAAATAATTACTCTTTAAGGATGATGTGAGACCAGATAAATGCGTGAGTAAATGTAAAGTGTCTGGCCCAAAGTAGATGTACAATAAGTATCCCTGTAAGGGAGCCCCAGCCTTTCTACTGTATAGATCTGAGGCCCTTTCTCAGGCTTAGATTAACTCCCAGTGTTCCTTTGCTGTGGGCACCAGTGCCTCAGCCCCTTTCTTTGTATCTCATGTTAGATACCACCGTTTTAGGCTCTTGTGGACCTCTGTAATTTTCTTTCATGGACATATTAGTTAAAGTACAAGTTTTACCCACACTCTATTCTAAGTAAAATGTCCTTGCCCAAAGCTGATGTCACCTACATAGCCACATTTTCTACCATATGATTCTGCCTGTCCCTCTTCCCCCTACCACAGCCAAATTTTTGTGGTAAGGCAGGAAGAAAGACCTGTTCTAAGGGTGTAAGCTGGCCTGTATGGGCTGGCTTAACAAATTAGCTGGGCCAATCAGATTCTCTCTTTCTTAAATGTAAAATATGAAACAGAAAATGACAACAACAACAAAAACAAATAGTGAATTATTACAGCTAAAAGGTCATGAGGTATAGTTGAGGCTGAAGAAGTCATGATAGGCCATGAACAGGGAGATTTATTAGTAATGATGAGTAATTAGAGGCAGTCAAGTGATAGTGGAATGGAAAGAAGCATGCATTAAAAACCTAGCCAAGTCACTATAATGAAGACCTTAAACTCCTGTTATAAGTCTCTAGGGCCACCTTGAAGCCCAAAATATCCCTTACTCCAATCTTGGTGTGGTCTATTCCTGTTATTTTTTAATGAATGAATGAATGAATTATTCCAGCCAGGGTCTCGCTCTGTGGCCCAGGCTGGAGTGCAGTGGCACAGTCATAACGTACTGCAGCCTGGAAATTCTGGGCTCAAGTGATCCTCTGGCCTCAGCCTCCCAAGTAGCTGGAACTACAGGTGTGCAACACCACACCTGGCTTCTGTTATAGCTTTTATTCTTAGATTTCTGCACCATTCCTTCCATCCTATTAGTCCACTCATAGTCTTAGAATAAACTTCACTTTATTTTAGTTAGCTTAAATGGGTTTCTTGCAAACAATTTAGCCTGAATAGACCCTCTGCTCTTTCTTGTATTTCTCATGGAATATATAGAACATTTTGCCCTGGATAAAATGACCAAATTAAATATGGATTTCAATTACATGAAAACTTGCATCAAGTAATAATGGATATTAGTTGCAAGAACAATTAAGATGTTTCTCTCAATATTCTGCCTGGAAACAGGGATGAAGGGAAGTGGAGACCTCTGATAGAATGCAGGATCATTTGATGTAGGTTGAAGGGGCTACAGTGGCAATGAGAAATGAGCTCATCCAAATAATGTTGATAAGGGTGTGGGAGCAGGAGTGTGGTCTTGCAGAAATGATCAGGAAAGCTCAAGTCACTGCCTCTTCACTCTCCTAGCTACATCAATACAATATGCAGCTACCCTACCTGGTTTGGCTGACCTCCAAATGAGTCAACTGGTTTTTAACTTGGTGCTTTTAGAATGCTCTGGTTGATCTCTAGAGCTTTCTACCTCACTTTTCTCTCATATTATCATCTAGTTCCCCCTACCTCCTCCTCTGTCATTTCCCTCCCTTGAACTGCCTATCTTGTCTGGTTGCTTACTCTTTAGCTCTGTTGTATTTCTGCCCTCCCTGCCTCAGAAGCAAACCTATGCACCATAAAGCATTTTGCCTATCATAGCAACTTGATTTCTGGAGAACTGACCTAGTGTTCCTTGCTCTATCCTCTTTGAGCTCCCTGGGTGAGATTCTAAAGATTGTCTGATAAGTGTGTTTCATTCCTCTACTGATTTGGTATCTATGTTCACTCTGGAACTCCCCATCTTTCCCCTTTTTCCACAAATCCTGTCAACTCACCCTAAATACATCTATAAATTATCTACTGCTGCAGAATGGAAATAAATGCAGCTACTTTGCTGGCACTGACTTGTGGCTTGGCTCTGACTCAACCTCTTGGGTGCAGGCAAGAGTAATAACTGAACAGTGGCATGTCAGCCAGTGGAAAGAAATGGCTTGGAAATAGACTGAAGCAGGTAGGATATCGGTCTTTCTTGGACATTGTTCTGGATGAAATGATAAAAAACAATTGAAAGAAAATTGGTCCACAAATTTAGGTATAATGATCAACCTGAATAAGGTGTCTGTACTACTAGTCTTCAACTACAAATAACAGAAAACAATGTAACCTCGGGCAAAATAGGGAAATTTATTATAAGTTAGGGTGTGTCACAAAACCCAAGGTTAAGCAACTTACTGGACCTCAGAAATGGACTAGAACAGGCAACTTCAAAGTCTTCAGAAACTCGGACAACAGGCAACATCATTTATTCTTCTCTTTATGTTTCTCCTTGTTTCATCATCTGTGATGAGTAGCTTTCTCTGCTCCTTAGAAAGCATGGGAAAATAGCTTGCCCATACTGCCAAGGCAGTATTGTTTACTTTCTAACCTTCAGCTACAGGGAAAAAAAATCTCTCCCTTCCTCCCTGTCTCACTCTCTTACTCTCTCTCTCTCTCTCTCTGTTTCCCCTGAAATTTCAAATTCCTGGAAAGCGCTTCGAAATAGTCAGGTGCTCCTCCTTGGGCCAATCAAGTTAGGCCTAGGGTTGGGACAGCAGTTATAACCCACATCCACTTTAAGGATCCCACCCCTATGAGAATGGAAGTAGAAAATGAGGGATAGTTTAATGGGTCACCTGAAATACACAGTCACTCCAAAAGGGATTTACTCAGTGGCCAAGCAGAGGGCATGCATCTGAGAACAAGCCCCAAAGGGCTTTGCTTCCTCAGTAACTGCTCTCAGTTTTCAGTTCCTTAAGAGTGAAGAAAACAAAGATTTAAACTCTGATGGGTGTTGTGGCTCACACCTGTAATCCCCGCAATTTGAGAGGCTGAGGCAGGCAGATCACTTGAGGCCAGGAGTTCAAGACCAGCCTGGCTAGCATGGTGAAACCCCATTAAAAACCCCATTTTCTATTAAAAATACAAAAAAATTAGCCAGGCATGATGGCACACGCCTGTAATCCCAGCTACTTGAGAGGCTGAGACACAAGAATTGTTTGAACCCAGGAGGTGGATGTTGAAGTGAGCCAAGATTGTGTCACTGACCTCCAGCCTGGGCAACAGAGAGACTGTCTCAAAACAAAAACAAAAACAAAAACATGAAATGCAAGAGGAAGTTAAAGTAGTGAAATAAAATGGCTAGCAACCTGTTTAGTGGGTTGAGTCAAACCTAACTATGACTAGGACTGTAACATAGCAAACACTTAAGAAATGTTAGCTATTATTATGGCAATCAGAAGAGGCTAAGTGCAGTTGGACTCTGAGCAAAAGGGATTAGACAATCTTTGCAGATAGTTGCTACAGAGCATGAAGGAGCCTGAGAAAGGTTTCCACTATGTAGGAGAATATACCTCCTTAGGATCCAAGACTCAGGCTGCTACATACAATGGTCTCTTCCTTGTACAGGGCTGATCAACAATGACAAATTCTTGGGTTTGGGCTCTATTTTTTCTAGATTCTGTGCAAACTTTTCTTTTGTTATGACAACACAACAGTTACCTCATCCTTGTTACAGTTGAACCCAACCAAGACAACTCTCTGCACATCCTGCTCCCCCTCCACCCAAATAATTCTATTCCAGTCGTTTCTGCTTCAGAATCAGCCAGATTGAATGTGTAAAGTTCCTGGTGTTTTTTATTATGCTTAGAAGACATATAGTCTCCTTAATAAAAATATGGAAAACACTCAAGTAACAATATAATAAACACACACCATCCCTCCAGGTCGACTACCTTTTGCTAATCTCCATTTTCTGTTGATTTCTTGAGAATTCCAACTGGAAAGTCTCTTTCTGACCTTGTCCCCAAATGCACCCTTTGGGGCCTGTGACTTCCCCTTGATAGTGGAGTCACATCATACATACATGTGAAAATAAGAATATAAATAATGGGAGTGAATCTGCCTACCATTCCACTAAGTAAGTCTATGTCCCAGAATGAGTGAAGGTTGGGAGACTTGAATCTGCTGTTCAATTAGGTGATTTCAGTTTCTGTGTGCTTCTTGTAATGTATTTCATCATCTTGAGTGTGTTACTAGTGTTTAAGTATATTTACTTTTCATGCAGTAGGGGCCATAACCAGAAGCCAGCTACTTAATCTGTTGCTTAATTGAAGAAACAGGGATCTGTTCCAACACTGACCTCACTGATAAGCGTTATGTAGATCTTTAACATGGAGCCTTCATAAATGAGTTTCAATGATAATTTTGACTATATGTCATTTTCCCTTAAATTTTGAATCCCCTTTAGAATCAGGCCTCAATATAAAATGAAATTTTACTGTACGAACTATAATCTGCTGGCTGAGAAAAATGGCTTTTTTCCCCTACCAGCTTACTAAGAGTGTGTGTTTTAGACAAGCTACTGCAAAGTAGGTATAGCATAGAGAGAAGAGAAAAAGGGTTGGTCATGGACACCAACCCTCTGAACACTTGGCCAGTGGTTGTGAAATTTTCTAGTTGGTGCTTGAGGACTGGGGACTGGAGATGGACATTGTACCCTCCATATCCCACCTTACAACCTGTCTTAGTCCATTTGTGCTTCTATAACAGAATACCTGAAACTGGGTAATTTATAAAGAACAGAAATTTATTTTCTTACAGTTCTGGAGGCTGGGAAGTCCAAGATCAAGTGCTGGCAGGTTCAATTGTCTGGCAAGGGCCTTCTTGCTGCATCACATTGCCATTAAGTTCCAACACCTGAATTTCAAAGAGGACACATTCAAACCATAGCACAACCTAAGATTCTATTCTGCCAGTAAAGCAAAGGTTTATGGAAAAATAATGAATCAGGTAGTATATTTTCAAATTAGCATCCAGGAACAAGGCAATTGTAAAGATATGTGGGATGAGGAATGGGGAATAAGATGCAGAAGTTCTGTTAAAAAGAGGACATTTGTTGGGAAGGGATGGGATCCTGAAAATTGGAGTAGGGGACTATGAGAAGATCCCAATGAAGCTGGGGACATCAGACTCCTAAATTCTACAGAGTCTTCTTTGCCAGCCATTCTAGTCTTGTCTGAAAAGGTTAACCCTGCTTTGCCTGAAGAACCTGCAGTGACCTTCCTTGAGGTAGTTTCCTTGCAAGGCACTGATGAGTTTCATGAGGACTTACCCACAACCCCTCTTTGCTTCTAGACATACAGTTCGGCTCAAGTTGCAGGAGGCCTTGAAAGGTGTGCTACACACCAAAACAACTGCAAGATTTTTTTTCAGTTTATATAGATAGAAATCTGGGGAATATGTGTGGAAGTGGATATTAAGGGTGTGGGATAATTTTGGAAGGAATAGGAAGTTGAATCAGGCTAACTTTATTAATATAGGCCCACTAAGAAGAAATAGTGAATTGAATGTTTTAGCTCAATGTGTTAGGGCGCTAACAGTTTGGTTGGTTGGCTGAAACATGGACCAAAAGTGGCCTACACCAAATGAAGTTGAAATGACAGAACTGTCTTGGTATACTGTAAAGGAAGGGATTTAAAGGCTTAGGAAGATTAGAATGTTAGAGTCAATTTATTGTTTAAGATCCCTTCACCCACATTGGGAGAACACATCTTTCAACATGGTTGTGAGAAATAGATTTGTGAGGGGGAACCCCTGCATCTTTGAAGAGTTCTGTGGTTGCTTTTCTCTGTAGGTCAGAAATTATAGTGGGAACTGCTGCCACCAAACTGGGATCCCTGAATGCAATAGAGGCAATCGGATCCTGGGGCAGCAGGGGCCAAATGGCAGAACTAAATCATCAAAGACAAGGTGAGTGTGGTTGCTGTGATGGACAGGGGAGTCAAAGCAATAATCAAAATAGTGTAACTTTCGGAGACCTTTGGCATTGGCTGGTTGATCATCATGTCCCTAGAAAAGAAATAGATGGATATAAATTCTTCCTTGATCTGTATAAGCAGGAGCATTCTAGTTTGAGTGAACAATGTCTAACTTGAATCACCAAAACATAGACTCACTGTCCAACGAACTCCCAGACTTCAGCCAGTTAACAGACCCACAACCCCTTGAATGAAGGGGAAGCCCTTGAGGAAGAATCCTGTTATACTGCCAAAACTTTATACTGTTACTCTTCTTTATAGACTTCCTCAAAGGAACCTATGGCCATTTATCAAGTGGCTATGCATTGGGGAAAAAGAAATAATCAGACATTTTGGGTATTACTGGACACTGGCTCTGAAGTGACACTCATTCCAAGAGACCCAAAATGTCACTATAGTCCACCAATTAGAGTGGGGCTTATGAAAGTCAGGGGATCAATGTAGTTTTAGCTCAGTTCTGTCTCACAGAGGGTCCAGTGGATCTCCAAACTCATTTCGTGGTTATTGTCCAAGTTCCAGAATGCATAATTGGAATAGACATACTCAGCAACTGGCAGAGTTGGCACATTGGTTTCCTGATTGTTGATTGAGGTCTACTATGGTAGAAAAGGTCAATAGGAAGCCACTAGAGCTGCTTCTACATAGGAAAATAGTAAACCAAAAGCAATACCATAGCCCTAGAGGGATAACAGAGATTAGTACAAACATCAAGTACTTGAAAGATGCAAGATAGTGATTCCCACGACATCCCATTCAACTCACCCATTTGACTTGTGCAGAAAGCAGATGAATCTTGGAGAATGACAGTGGATTACTATTAACCAGGTATTTATCTCCAATTACAGCTGCTGTTCCAGATGTGATTTTGTTGATGAGCAAATTAATATATCTCCTGTTACCTGGTAGGTAGCTATTGATACTTATTAATAAAAAAGACCACCAGAATCAGTTTACTTTCAGCTGACAAAGCCAGCAATACATCTTTCACTATCCTATGTCATGGGCATGTCAACTCTGTGGCCCTCTGTCATAATTCAGTCTGCAAGGACCTTGATCACCTCTTCTTGCCACAAGCCATCATACTGGTCCATTGCATTGATGATATTATGCAAACTGGACCTAGTGAACAAGAAGTAGCAACTACTGTAAACATATTGGTGAGACATTTGCATGTCAGAGGGTAGAAAAAAATTCAGGGAACTTCCAACTCAGTGAAGTTTCTAGGTGTCCAGCGGTGTGAGGCATGTTGAAATATCACTTCTAAGATGAAGGATAAGTTGTTGCATCTGGCCCTTACTACATCCAAGAAAAGAGGCACAATGCCTAGTGAGCCTCTTTGGATTGTGGAGGCGACAAATTTCTCACTTGGGTGTGATACTCCTGACACATTTACCAAGTAACCTAAAAAGCTGCTAGTTTCCAGTGGAGCCAAGCGAAGGCTCCACAAAAGTTTTTGGCTGCCACGCAAGCTGTTCTGATATGTGGGCTACTTGATCCAGCCGATCTAGTGGGACTTGCAGGGTCAGTGGCAGGTAAAGGTGCTGTTTGAAGCTTCTGTAAGGCCCCTATAGATTAATCAAGTTCAGGCCATTAGGATTTTGGAGCAAAGCCCTGCCATCCTTTCTGAATAACTATTTTATTTTTGAGAAACAGTTTTTGGCTTCCTAGTAGGCTTTTTTTTTTTTCTAGGGAAAGAGAGGAAAGAGAGACAGTGTTTCACTTTGTTGCCCACGCTGGAGAGTGGAGGCATGATCATATAACCTCAAATTCCTAGGCTCAAACAATCCTCCAGCTTCAGCCTCCTGAGTAGCTGAGACTACAGGTGTGCATCACCATGCCTAGCTAATGTTTTTACATTTTTTCTTTTGTAGAGATGAGGTCTCACTGTGTTGCCCAGGCTGATCTCAAACTCCTGGCCTCAAGCGATCCTCCTGCTTCAGCCTGCCAAAGTGCTGGGACTACAAGTGTGAGACACCATATGAGGCCCTTACGGGGTCTTAGTAGAGACTGAACACTTAGCCATGGACCATTAAGTTACCATGCAACCTGAGCTACTTTAATTTGTGTGAATAATTTCTTAGACACGACTGTCTGTGTATCTTTTAATTATTGTGTGGTACTCTATACTTACGTTGTTCTACTGCCCACCCCCCACCACCCCGATTTAATAATACTATTGCCGCTAGTACCAGGGAGATTGTGGGGAAAACTCATTTGTAGCATTGGAGAGTTGCACTTAGTATAGTTTGTAGGGGCAAGTACTTTGTAAGGGGGTGGGATGGGGGGTTGCTACTCATTAGAAATCTACTGGAATTTTGAGCCAAACACAAGTGAGGGATATATCATCCAGGGTCAGACAAGCAAAACTTGTGACAGGGGAAGTCATCTGATTCCCTTACAGGTTCTCCAGGTTCCCTCTGCTGCCTGTATTATCTGAATACCTATGAAGGCAAGTTTGTGTGACTTAGTGCAATTCCAGATTGTGTTAATAGGAGCTTATAATGTTAAAGTCAGACAAGCTTGTGTGTTATCTGTCTTGCACTCAGCACCTAGATCAACTAAACTGGTTATGAGCTCAGCTCACCATTTCACATTTCACATTTGTGTGAAATTACCCTCTGGATGTTGTCATTGGATAATGATAGAATATGTTCATCTTGCTAAGTGAGGTTTTGAAAGGTGCTTGGCCAGGGGAGAGGATTATGCTATATGTACTAAAATCAGGTTGGTAGAAGCAAGCCCAGCATGGTTGGATTTGCTGTCTTATATATCGCTGTGGCCAAAACTATATACAAGTTTGGTTTGGTGGGCAACTTTCTGTTTCTACTTGCCCAAATTAGTGTGTATTGGTACTTGGATTTCCTGCTGATTGCTAATAGTAAATAGCATCAGTGTGTTTCCATGGGCATGGAATAGGTTTCACAGATGCTCTTAATGGTTCAAAACAAAAGTTGTCAATTTAGCAGCACACAAAATTATATCCTAAACTGTGAAACACTCACACGTGGGATCTTTACAGATGGATCAAGTTATTTGGAAAGTAGTCGTCAATTATATTACACATGTGGCCCATTCCCTTCCCTGTTTATTGCAATATTGCTGTGCTTCAGTGGAGGACCATGGCCTTCATTTTAGGGGAAAATTTTCTAGGATGGCCATTTATACAGTTTTATTAGCCTCAGGGGTGGTCCCTTGGGAGGTGGCCATGTGACTATACCAATACATTTAGCTTCACTACTAGGCTTCTCATTACTGCTTCTGTCTTCTGTAAGCTGGGGCATTTGCTTTATAAGGTGCCCCAGAGGAGTAACATTGGGTGGCCATTTTGCTTAAATATTTTCTAAGTCATTGTTAATGATGGTCTTGGTAAACCCAGCAATTTTTATAATAGTTGTAAGCAAGTAGTTGGTCAATTTGGGTAAATAAGCTTCTATACAGAGAGAGGTTGGATTTCTCCATGGGATCAAATATGTTTTTTACATGAATTGGCTTTGCTTTAACACTTAAGAAATATGATTCTTTTCTGTGAACAGCCAGAGATGCAACTGTTATAGAGTTTGCTTCCATTTAAGGTTGTGTAAAACTTGCAGTTGATATTGTGAGAGGTTGGGTTAGGGAAGCATTGCCAAGATGGTGGTTGTTCCTGATTTTTTAGACATGCTTTGGCCCAAGTAATATGTGGTAGACATTGCCTTCCTTGGATACTGACTGTTGTCTAGGAAAGGTATATTGGTCAGGGTTTCTCCAGAGAAACAGAACCAAGAGGATGTATATGTGTATGCATGTGTGTGTATGTGTGTGCATGGAGAAAGAAAGAAAGATTTATTTTAAGGAATTGGTTCATGTGATTTGGAGGACTGGCAAGTCTAAAATTTGATGAGATAGGATGGCAGGCAGGAGCCTCAGGGACAAGTTGCAGTTCCAGTCCAATATCTGTTGGCAGAATTCCTTCTTGCTCAAAAGAGGTCAGACTTTGCTCTCTTAAGGCCTTCAACTGATTGGATGAGGCCCACCCACATTATGGATGGTAATCTGCATTAGTCAAAGTCCACTGATTTCTTCAATTTAATTTATTTTTTAAATTGACGAATAAAAGTTGTATAGTTTATCATGCACAACATGTTGTTTTGAAATATGTATACATTGTGGAGTGGCTATATCATAATGATTAACATATTCATTACCTCACATACTTATTTTTGTGGTGAGAACTCTTAAAATTTACGCTCTTAGCAACTTTCAATAATACAATACCTTGTTATTAACTATGGTCACCATGTTGTACAATAGATCTCTTGAACCTCTTCTTCCTATCTAGCTGAAATTTGGTATCTTTTGATCAACATCTCCCCAACCATACCCTCTAGCCCAGTGCCTGGTAACCACTGTACTACTTCCTATTTCTATAAGTTCAACTTTTTAGATTCCACATTTCAGGGTGATCATGTTGTATTTGTCTTTGTACAGAAAGACAAACATAAATCTAGCTTATTTCACTTAATATAATGTCTTCCAGGTTCACCCATATTGTCACAAATGACAGGATTTCCTTCTTTTTTTAAGGCTAAATAGTACTTGTGTATATGAACCACATTTTCTTCATTCATCTGTTGACAAACAGGTTAATTCCTTATCTTGGCTATTGTGAATAATGCTGCAATGAACATGGGAGTGCTGGTATCTCTTTGAGGTACTGATTTCATTTCTTTCAAGTATATATCCAGAAAAAGGATTGCTGGATCACATGGTTCTATTTTTATTTCTCCCTTTTAAAAAATGAGATCTCACTCTATGATTCAGGCTAGAGTGCAGTGGCATGATCATAACTCACTGCAGCCTTGAACTCCTGGGCTCAAGTAATCCTCCCACCTCAGCTTCCCAAGTAGCTGAGATTATAGGTGTGTGCCACCATGTTCAGCCAATTTTTAAAATTTTTGCAGAGATGGGGGCCTCACTCTGTTATCCAAGGGGGTCTCAAACTCCTGGCCTCAAGTGATACTTCCACCTTGGCCTCCCAAAGTGCTGAGATTACTAGCATGAGCCACCATACCTAGCCCTATTTTTTATTTTTTGAGGAACCTCCGTACTGTTTTTCATAATGGCTGTATTAATTTACATTCCCATCAAGAGTATATAAGAGTTCACTTTTCTTCATATCCTCTCCAAAACTTAACTTTCACTTTTTTGATAATAGCCATTCTAACTGGTGTGAAGTGATATCTCATGGTGGTTTTAATTTCCATTTCCCTAGTGATTAGTGGTTTTGAGCATTTTTTCATATACCTGTTGACCATTTGTATGTCTTCTTTTAAAAAATGTCTATTCAGAGCCTTTGTCCATTTTTAAATTAGGTTATTTGTTTTCCTACTACTGAGTTGTATGAGTTGCTTATATATCCTAGATATTAACCCCTTATCAGATGTAAGGTTTGCAAATATTTTCTCTCATTTCATAGGTTGTCTCTTCACTCTATCAATTGTTTCTTTGCCTGTGCAGAAGCCTTTTAGTTGATATAATCTCATTTATCTATTTTTGCTTTCCTTGACTGTGGTTTTGGGTTCATATCCAAAAAATCATTGCCTATATCAATGTCATGGAGATTTTCCCCTAGGATTTCTTCTAGCAGTTTTACAGTTTTAGTTCTTATATTTAAACCTTTTATCCAGTTGAGTTGATTTTGGAATATGGTGTGAGATAAGGGTCTAATTTCATTCTTCTGCATGTGGATATCCAGTCGTTCCAATGCTTTTCTTTCCCTATTGTGTGTTCTTGATACTTTTGTCAAAAATCAATTGACTGTAAATGAGAGGATTTATTCCTGGGGCTCTCTCTTCTGTTCTATTGGTCTATATGTCTGTTTTAATGCCAGTACCATGCCTTTTGATTACTATCACTTTGTAATATATTTTGAAGTCACGTATTGTGATGCCTTCAGCTTTGTTCTTTTTGCTCAAGATTGCTTTGGCTATTTGAGGTCTTTTGTAGGTTCCATACAAATTTTGGGATTGTTTTTCTATTTCTATGAAAAACGTCATTGAAATTTTTCCTTCCCTTTTTTTTTTTTTTTGATGTCATGGAGGACTGTAAGTCATTGAAATTTTTATCAGGATAGCATTGAGTCTATAGATTGCTTTAAGTGGAATGGACATTTTAACAATATTAACTTTTCTAATCCATGAACATAAGATATCTTTTCATTTATTTATGTCTTCATCAGTTTCTTTCATCAATGTTTTATAGTTTTCAGTGTACAACTCTTTCATTTCCTTAGTTAAATGTATTCCTAAGTATTTTTTGATACTATGATAAATGTGATTGTTTCTTGATTTCTTTTTTGGATAGTTCATTATTAATGTATAGAAACACTTCTGCTTTTGTATGTTGGTTTTATATCCTGTAGCTTTACTGAATTCATTTATTAGTTCTAACAGTTTTCTATGGGTTTTCTATAAATAAGACCATGTTGTCTGCAAACAGGGACAATTTAACTTCCTACTTTCTAATTTAGATGCATTCCTTTCTCTTGCCTAATTGTTCTGGCTAGGACTTCCAGTACTATGTTGAACAGAAGTGGCAAGAGTGGCCATCTTTGCTGTCCTTAAGTGCCATCAACTCTCAGCTGCCTTGCAGCTTTTGTGGGATTTAACAAGTAACAAATTCTGTTGGGTTTTCCTGGTATACATCTTTCTAGGAAAAAAAAAGAGAGCTGTATAATGATTTTTCGTTTACATGTTGAAAAGTAATTATCAGTTCTACATAGCAGCAGATGCAGGTTTTTCAAAGATGCAGTTTGATTTATCAAACTAATGTGCAGACGACAATACTGGCTTTGTTACTCTATGTTCAGCTAATTTAGGTTTGTGAGATTAATTTGGGATTTTTTTGTTTTGTTTTGCAAGACAAAGAAAACTATTATTTGTGCAAGCATTACTCTTTGAAATAAAAATTGGCATGTAGCCAATGTTTCCTGCCCACACTTATTTTTTCTACAGACCTTTAACATAATTTGACTTGGAACTAATGGTTTCTTTATTGGATTTCTTATTTATTTCTTTATAGATCATTCTACTTCAAAATATGGATCACATTAATATATTGGCAAAGTGTCATTGTGGAACAAATACAACCATATTGAACTATTTCACATTTGAAGATGTTTATATATCAGATATATAATCACTGGGAGAAATCTGAGAAAGCTATATTGACGTTACTTCCTTTTTTTTTTTTTTTTTTTTTTTTGAGTCAGAGTCTCGCTCTGTCACCCAGGCTGGAGTGCAGTGGCGCGATCTCGGCTCACTGCAAGCTCCACCTCCCGGGTTCACGCCATTCTCCTGCCTCAGCCTCCAGGCGTCCGCCACCGTTCCCGGCTAATTTTTTTTTTGTGTTTTTAGTAGAGACGGGGTTTCACTGTGGTTTCGATCTCCTGACCCGTGATCCGCCCGCCTCCACTACCCAAAGTGCTGGGATTACAGGCATGAGCCACCGCGTCCAGCCTTGCCTTTACTTCTAACATTTAACTATAGTTTCTTATAGCTCTTATCATGTCTCTTACATTACACAGTGTAGGCAGGGCCATCTAACTTACCAACTATTTCCCCTTTTGATGACCGATACCTTCCTTCATTTTCAAAGGAATTTACTGATCATGAGGTTGGAAAATCTGTACTTCTCTTGCTTATTATGTATTAATGATCATAAATGTCTAGATTCACCAGAATATCTGTCTCAGTGAGGAAAACATATAAAGCCACTTTATTGCATTTTGTCTTTTAATGTTACAATTTGAGATCTGTATATTTGTACACAGCAATGTGTTTTTTATTAAAATAATGTACAAATAAAAGAGTGGCCATCTTTGTCTTGTTACTGAGCTAGAGGAAAGGCTTTCAACTTATTACCATTGAGTATTATGTTATCTCTGGGTTTGTTACATATGGTCTTTATTATGTTGAGGTACATTCCTTCTACACCTGATTTGTTGATAATTTTTTATCATGAAGGAATGCCGAATTTTGTCAAATGCTTGTTCTGCATTTGTTGAGACGATCATATGGTTTTTGTTCATCATTCTGTTAATGTGCTATATCACATTTATAGATTTGTGTATGTTGAACCATCCTTGGGATAAATCCCACTTGAATATCATATATTATCCTTTTAATGTGCTGTTGAATTTAGTTTGCTAGTTTTGTTTGAGATTTTTGCATCTATATTCATCAGGGATGCTGGCCTGTAATTTTCTTTCTCCTTTTCTTTCTTTTTTATTTGAAAGAGGGTCTCACTCTGTCACGCAGGCTAGAGTGCAGTAGCACAATCACATCTCACTGCAGCCTCAACCTCCCCAGGCTCAGGTGATCCTCCCACCTCAGCATCCCGAGTAGCTGGGACTACAGGTGTGTACACTACAGGTGTTTTTGTGTTTTTTTTGTAGGGATGGGTTTTTGCCATGTTGCCCAGGCTGGTCTCAAACACCTGGGCTCAAAAAATCTTCCTGCCTCAGCCTCCCAAAGTGCTGAAATTACAGGTGTGAGTGACTGTGCCCAGTCATCCCATAATTTTCTTTTTGTGTAGTGTCCTCTGGCTTTTATACCGGGGGCCTTATAAAATGAGTTTGGAAGTGTTCCCTCTTTTTCATTTTTTCTTGGAAGCATTTGAGAAGAATTATTAGTTCTTTAAATGTTTGGTAGAGTTCCTCAGTGAAGCCATTAGGTCTTGGGCTTTTCTTTGATGGGAGATTTTTATTACTGGTTCAATCTCCTTACTCATTATTGGTGTCTTCAGATTTTTTTATTTCTTCATGATACAGTCTTGGTAGGTTGCCTGTGTCTGGCAATTGATCTGTTTCTTCTAGGTTATCCAATTTGTTGGCATATCATTGTTCATAGATGTCTCCTTTGTATTTCTGTGGTATCATTTATAATATCTCCTCTTGCATTTCTGATTTAACTTAGTTAAGTCCTCATTTTTTCTCTTAGTCTAGCTAAAAATTTGTTGATTTTGGGCTGGGCGTGGTGGCTCATGCCTGTAATCCCAGCACTTTGGGAGGTCAAGGCGGGTGGATCACCTGAGGTCGTGAGTTCTTGACCAGCCTGACCAACATGGAGAAACCCCATCTCTACCAAAAATACAAAATTAGCTGGGCGTGGTGATGCATGCTTGTAATCCCAGCTACTAGGGAGGCTGAGGTAGGAGAATCGCTTGAACTCGGGAGGCAGAGGTTGTGGTGAGCCAAGATCGCACCGTTGCACTCCAGCCTGGGAAACAAGAGCGAAACTCCATTTCAAAAAAAAAAAAAAAATTGGTGATTTTATCTTCTCAAAACACAAACTCTTAGTTTTGTTGATCTTTTCTATTGTTTTTATAGTCTCTATTTCATTTATTTCTGCACTGTTATTTATATGTCCTTCCTCCAGCAAACTTTGGGCTTAGTTTATACTTTTTCTTTTCTAGTTTGTTGATGAGCAATGTTAGGTTGTTTTGCTTTCTTCTTTTTTGATGTAGGTGTTTATAGCTATAAACTTCCCTCTTAGAACTACATCTTTTGAGAATGGCGATCATTAAAAAGTCAGGAAACAACAGCTGCTGGAGAGGATGTGGAGAAATAGGAATGCCTTTACACTGTTGGTGGGAGTATAAATTAGTTCAACCATTGTGGAAGACAGTGTGGCAATTCCTCAGGGATCTAGAACTAGAAATACCATTTGACCCAGCAATCCCATTACTGGGTATATACCCAAAGCATTATAAATCATGCTACTATAAGGACACATGCACACATATATTTATTGTGGCCCTATTCACAATAGCAAAGACTTGGAACCAACCCAAATGTCCATCAATGGTAGACTGGATTAAGAAAATGTGGCACATATACACCATGGAATACTATGCAGCCATAAAAAAGGATGAGTTCATGTCTTTTGCAGGGACATGGATGAAGCTGGAAACCATCATTCTCAGCAAAGTATCACAAGGACAGAAAACTAAACACTGCATGTTCTCACTCATAGGCGGGAATTGAACAATGAGAACACTTGGACACAGGGCGGGAGACATCACACACCAGGGCCTGTTGGGGGGTGGGGGGCTGGGGGAGGGATAACATTAGGGGGAATACCTAATGTAAATGATGAGTTGATGGGTACAGCAAACCCACATGGCACATGTATACCTATGTAACAAACCTGCACGTTGTGCACACATACCCTAGAACTTAAAGTACAATTAAAAAAAAAGAACTACATCTTTGGGTTGTTTGTTTTGTTTTGTTTTTATGTATTTCTTTCTTTTTGTGAGACAGGGTCTCACTCTATTGCCAAGATTGGAGTACAGTGGCATGATCATGGCTCACTGCAGCCTTAACCTGCTGGGCTCAAGCAATCCTCCTGAGTAGCTGGGATGACCATGTGTGCCACCATGCCCGGCTAATGTTTTATGTTTTGTTGAGATGGGGTCTCACTAGGTAGCCCAGGCTGGAGTCATACTTTTGGACTCAAGCAACCCTCCTGCCTCAGTCTCCCAAGTAGCTGGGACTATAGGCATGCACCATCTCACCTGGTTTTTGTAAAAAATTCATTTGGCCGCTCTATGTCTTGTGACAGGAAAATTTAATCCTATTACATTCAAGGTAACTATTGATAGCTAAGGACTTACTACTGCCATTTTGTTCATTGTTTTCTGATTGTTTAGTAGATTTTTCCCTTTTATTTCTCTCTTGTTTTTTTCTGTGATTATGTATTTCCTCTAGTAGTAGTATTTTTTTTTTTTTGAGACAGAGTCTTGCTCTGTCGCCCAGGCTGGAGGGCAGTGGTGCAAACTCGGCTCACTGCAACCTCTGCCTCCTGGGTTCAAGCGATTCTCCTGTCTCAGCCTCCCGAGTAGCTGGGATTACAGGCATGGGCCACCACACCCTGCTAAATTTTTGTATTTTTAGTAGAGACGGGGTTTCACTATGTTGGCCAGGCTGATCTCGAACTCCTGACCTCAGTGGATCCGCCTGCTTCAGCCTCCCAAACTGCTAGGATTACAAGCGTGAGCCACCATGCCTGGCCAGTAGTATGTTTTGATTCCTTACTTTTTATCTTTTGTGTATCTGCTATAGGTTTTTGCTTTGTTGTTACCATGAGGCTTACAAAAAGCATCTTATAGTTATAACAGGCTAATTGAAGTTGATAACAACATTACTGTGATTGCATAAAAGAACTCTACAATTTTACTCCACCCTTCCCGACATCTAAAATTTTTGACATCACAATTTCCTTTTTTTGTATTTCGTATCTCATAAAAATTATTGTAGCTATTGTTATTTTAATAGTTTTGAATGTTAAACTTCATACTAAAGATTTAAATGATTTACACATTGCCATTACAGTATTAGAGTATTCTGAATATGATCATGTACTTACTTTCACCAGTGAATTGTATACTTTCATATGCTTTTGTGTTACACTACTAGCAGGATTTTTTCTTCAGTACTTTGAATATATTATCTCATTCTCTCCTGGCCTGCAAGGTCTCTGCTAAGAAATCTCCTACTAGCTTTATGGAAAGTCCCTTATACTTTATTTGCTTCTTTTCTCTTGTTGCTTTTAGGATTCTCCTTTTGTCCTTAATTATTGACAGTTTTATTATAAGATGTCTTGGTGTAGTCTTGTTTGGATTGAAGAACTTTGCCTTTCCTGTACCTGGATATTCACATCTTTCTCCAAATTTGGAATGTTTTCTGCTATTATTTCATTAAACAAGATTTTGACCCCTGTGTCTCTTATTTAAGAACTCTTAGCTCCAATATTTGCTCTTTAATGCTGTCCCATAAATCCTATATACTTTCCTTATTCTGTTTCATTCATTTTTTTCTCCTCTGATTGTATATTTTCAAATAAACTGATTTTCTACAGCCATACCATCCTGAACAAGCCCAATCTCATCAAATAACCTGATTTCTAGTTCATGGATTCGTTCTTCTGCTTGATCTATTCTGCTGTTGATGTTCTTTTACATTTTTCATGTCGTTTATTGTATTTTTTTAGCACTAGAATTTCTGGGTTTTTAAATATAATTTTAATCTCTCTGTTAAATTTCTCCTTCTTGTCATTTATTATTTTCCTGACTTCATTGAATTGTTCCCCTGGATTTTCTGGATTTTCTGGGTTTTCACTGAGCTTTCATAAAACAATTATTTTGAATTCTTTATCTGGCAATTTGTATATCTACATTTCTTTGAGGTCAGCTACTGGGAGATTATTGTGTCCTTTTGGTTGTATTATGTCTCCTTGGTTTTTCATGTTCTTATTGATTTACATTGGTGTCTGTGCATTTAAGGAAGTAGGGGCTTATTTCAGTCTTTTCAGACTGCCTTTATCTTGGGAGGCCCTTCACTATTCAGCCCACCCAGAGATTCTGGGCTGGCCGTCTGGCACGATCCAATGGCAAGATTGCCATCAGAGTCCTTGGGCAGGCTGGCCAGGCACCTGGGACAGTAGGTAGGTGGGCCTGACACCTGGGCCCACAGGGTTGAGTCTGAAGCCTCAATCCCCTGGTGTGGAACTGTTGGTTGGTTGTGCATGGATGACCAGGGGCCTGGGTTCATGTCAGTGAGCCTGGAGCCTATATCTATGGGAGCCAGCTTGAAGCCTGGGTCCACAGGTGCTGACCTGGTGCTGGAGTGGTGGGCCTGCAGCCTGAATCTATGGGGCTGGCCTGGCACTAGGACAGTCCTGGAGCCTCAATCAATGGGGCAAGTCTGGATCCTAGGTCTGTGGGGGCTGGCCTGGAGTCTGGGTCTGCAAGGGGTCTTGGAGCCTTCATTCATAAGGTTCAGCCTGGCACTCAGGTCTGCTGTGTTGGATCTGGAACCTGGGTATGCTGGAGCAGGCCTGGACCCTGGGTCCTCTGGGGCCTGGGGCCCCAGTAACATGACTGGAGCCTGGGACTGGCCTGGTGCTGGGCCAGTGTGAAGTCTGGGCCTGTGGGGGGGTAGTCTGGTGTTTGGAGCTTGCTAAGGCTAGCCTGGAACCGGGGGCTATGGGAACCAACCTGGAATTTATCTGCTGGTCCCAGCCTGGATGCTGAGTATACAGATTCCGGTCTATAGGGTAGGTCTCCGAGGGCTAGCCTCAGTCCTTAGGCCTTGGGAACCTAGATACATAGGGTCAGCCCTGGAGCCTGGGTCATGGAGACCATGCTAGTGCAGGGGTCTACTGGGATAGGCCTGAATCCTGGGTCTGCTAGAGCATGGGGCTGCAGGGGCCAGCATGGAGGGTGGAGTCAAGGTGACCTGCCTGGTACTGGACAAGCCTGGAGCCTGTGTCCACAGGTACCCACCTGGTTTTTGAGGCCAGAGGTGCTGACCTGGTGCTGTGGCAGGCCTGAAGCCTGGGGCTTCAGGAGCTGGCTTGACACTGGGTAGACCTGGATTTTATATCTGCAGGGGCCATCCTAGAGGCTGAGTCTACAGGTGCTGGTCTGATGACTAGAGCTGCAGGGGCCAGCCTGGTGGTGTGGTGGGCTTGAAACCTAGGGCCATAGAGGTCAGTCTGGTGCTAGGGATGGTCTGGAGTTTAGGGCTACTGCAGGCATGAAGATCAAGTTCACTGGGCAGGCCTGGAGCCTCAGGCTGCAGGATCCTGGCTGGTGCTGGGGTGGGCTTAGAGGCTCAATGAGTGGGTACCAGCATTGAGCCTGGGGCTGCAGGAGCTGGCCTGGTGCTGGGTGGTCTTGGAGCCTGTCCATAGGGGCCAGGCAGGAGGCAGGGCACCACAGGTGTTTGCCTGATGACTAATGCTGTAGGGGTCAGCCTGGTGTTGGGGTAGCTTTGAAGCCTGTGGCATGGGGACTAGCCCAGTGCTGTAGGGGCAGGGGGTCCAAAGCCTGGGGCCACTGGGGTGGGCCTGATGCCCGAGGCCACAGTGGCTGGCTTGGTGCTGGGTGGGCCTGGATCCTGTATCCACAAAGTCTGGCCTGATGAACTAACTAGGGCTGTGGTGACCAGTTGGTGCTGGGGTGGGCCTGAAGCCTGTGGCCATGGAGGCCAGCTGGGTTCTGGGGGCAGTTCAGAGCCTGGGACTGCTGAGGTTATCCTAGTGGTGGAACAGCCTGGAGACTGAGTCCACCATGCAGGCCTGGAGCCTGATGTTGTTGGATTTTGCCTGGTATCAGGCCAGGCTGGAGGCTCAATCCGTAGGTACCAGCCTGAAGTCTGGATCTGTGGAAGCCTGCCTGGTACTGAGTTTTACAGAGGCCCTCTCTCCTTCCCCCAAGCAGAGGGTATCTCCATGTTGTGCTGTCTAGAGCTAGGGGAGAGGTAACATGGGTAATGTAAACTGGTTCTTCAATGTATCTTTTCTTATTTTTGTGCTACACCCAGGTACTGTAATCTCTCACCTGGTTTTCTTAGCTCTTCTGAAGGTATTTTTATGTGTGGATAGTTTTTTTAATTGATGTTTCTGCCAGGGGACAAGCACTGGAGAGTCCTATTCCACTATCTTGCTGATGTCCATCCAAAAGTCCACTGATTTAACTATTAACCTCATCCAAAAAACATACCTGCACAGAAACACCATCAGAGAAATATTCAGAATAATGTTTGACCAAATATCTAGGCACCATGGCCCAGCCAAACTGATACATAAAATTAACCATCACAGAGGAGGTTCATGGTAAAGTGCCAATTTCTTTCCACCCCAATAAATGGGGCTTGTACTGGAGGAGGAGAAAGATCATAATAATGAATAGAAAAACTGGCCGGGCGTGGTGGCTCATGCCTGTAATCCCAGCACTTTGGGAGGCCAAGGCAGGTGGATCACGAGGTCAGGAGATTGAGACCATCCTGGCTAACACGGTGAAACCCCATCTCTACTAAAAATACAAAAACTTAGCCGGGTGTGGTGGCAGGCGCCTGTAGTCCCAGCTACTCAGGAGGCTGAGGCAGGAGAATGGCGTGAACCCGGGAGGCGGAGCTTGCAGTGAGCCGAGATCACGCCACTGCACTCCAGCCTGGGCAACAGAGCAAGACTCCCTCTCAAAAAAAATAAGAATAATAATTAATAGAAAAACAGGCCAATAGTTGTTAGGGCATACATTGTTGGTAGGGTTTACATTTATCATCATCCCGGGATTAGGAATTATAATTACCTCTGTAATCCCAGATAGTTTGTTGGTATTTCTTGTGGATTACAGTGTTTTTAATTTGATTGCAACAATCATGAACCTCCTAGTTGCAATATTGGGTGCATACTATCATAAGGAATTTCTTTTTTTAATTAATTCATTTATTTATTTATTTTTATTTTTATTTATTTATTTATTTATTTATTTATTTATTTATTTTTTGAGACAGAGTCTCGCTCTTTCGCCCAGGCCTGAGTGCAGTGGCGCTATCTAGGCTCACTGCAAGCTCCGCCTCCCGGGTTCACGCCATTCTCCTGCCTCAGCCTCCCAAGTAGCTGGGAATACAGGCGCCCGCCACTATGCCCAGTTAATTTTTTTGTATTTTTAGTAGAGACGGGGTTTCACCGTGTTAGCCAGGATCGTCTCGATCTCCTGACCTATCATGAGGAATTTCTTAAATGAGATTTGATAGACAGTGGACAGTAGTTCCAATTGCTTGATTACACTAATTAATAACAGTGGGTTTCATTTTATTTGAAGTAAAAATTGGTTCACAGGGCTTAGAAGGCACCTATGGGTCACCAGCAATATTATAGACTCTGGCTTGGCTGGGATAAGTGTTGCTAGCAATAGTAGAGATAGGAGGTAGAATGCTAGCTGGAGTGTTGATATCTGTGATCATGTTAGTAGAATTAACAAATCTGAATAACCAACGGAGTGGTTTTCATTGTCCCTAATCTGAGCAGTGTTGTGTATCTCCCTTTGGTATACACGTGGCATGCTAAGGTGATCCACCAATGGACATGTAGTTAACACTTGAGAATAGGAAAAAGTTAGGAGTCGTCTATGGCCAGCAGTAATGAATCTGTTTTTCCCCTTTGTATTGCCCAAGGGCAATTAATTTCACCTCCGAGGAAGCAGATCCAGATTTGTTCCACAGTGTCTTTAGAGGAGCAAAGTATGTGAGTCACAGATAAGTATGTCTGTCTTTCTCCAGATAGTAGTGGGTGGTTTTCTCCACTTATGCTAGATGATGAGCAGGCGCAGGCTGAGGATTATTCCAGAGTTGATGGTTTACTTCAGGTCCTCATTGGGATTGAGGAGGAAGTGGCTAGGCTCTGTATTTTCTATGAAGAGAAAAGGAAAAGTGAAAGTATCAGGTGAATGTTCCTGTGCTGTGGGTGGTAATGTCGGGGCTCCCATGTCTGTAAAAACTGGTAATTGTGTTGCATTAAGTGTGGGTATATACAGCAACAGAAGTTACAACATCTCTGTTGGTGGTCTCCCGGTTTGTTGTAAATTTAAGTATGATATAGTTGTGCCATAGGGGTGTGAATTTAATGTAATCAAGACTATGAATAGTATTTTTAACTATTTACAGGACCACTGTCCTCAAAGTTCTCTCAATAGCCATTGCTTCTTTAAAAATTAGCATAGAAATTTATTTGAATCCAAAATAATATGGTTATATCTCAGTTATCCTTGTTTTAAAAGCCCATTACATCTTTTTTTTTTCTTGAGATAGGGTCTCACTCTGTTGCCTAGGCTGCAGTGCAGTGGCACAATCGGGGTTCACTGCAGCTTCACCTACCAGGCTCAAGTGATCGTCCTACCTCAGCCTTCTTAGTAGTTGGGACCACAGGTACATGGTACCATGCCCAGCTAATTTGTGGACTTTTTTGTAGAGACAAGGTCTCAGTATGTTGCTCAGGATGGCCTTAAACTTCTGGGCTCAAGCACTCTTCCTGTCTCAGCCTTCCAAAAATTTTGGGATTACAAGTGTGAGCCGCCATATCTGGCCCCATTACAACTTTCTTTTTTTTTCTTTTTTTTGAGACGGAGTCTCAATCTGTCACCCAGGCTGGAGTACAGTGGCGTGATCTCGGCTCACTGCAACCTCCACCTCCAGGGGTCAAGCAATTCTCTGCCTCAGCCTCCCGAGTAGCTGGGATTATTTTTTTGTGTGTATTTTTAGTAGAGATGGGGTTTCACCATCTTGGCCAGGCTGGTCTTGAACTCTGAACCTCGTGATCCACTGCCTCGGCCTCCCAAAGTGCTGGTATTACAGGCGTGAGCCACTGCGCCCAGCCACAACTTTCTATATCTCTTGCTCTAGGATGATAGGGCAGGTGAAAAACCTCAGCAATATTCTTTCATAAAGCCCACTGTTGCATTTGCTTTGCAGTGAAGTGGGAGCTCTGATCTGATTGTATAACTTGTGGTACTCCCAAAATCTGTAAAAACTGTTTTGTTAACTACTCAATAACATTAGGAGAGGTTGGTGCCTTACATAAGTAAGCCAATAGAAGGCCTTATCTGCATTGTTAAGGCATATCTATTGGCTCCTACTATTGCAGGGAAAGGCCCAATGAAGTTGATTAGCCAGTTCTGATGTGGCTCTCCTCCTCTGTAAATTTCTCCAATGTCTACATTTCTGGCATGTGGTATAGTCCCTAGTGACTTTTTGTAAATGTCTCTGTACTCCATCAGCTCCTATATTAACAATCCATTTTCATAACCCCATGATGTCCAAATGCCCTGACCTCTAGGGTACCCACCAAAAGAAGGGGTAGGAGTGGCTCATCTCAAAATTCTGGGAACTCTCCCTTCTTTAAGAGACCTACCTGTTTTGATTATCTGGTTAGTTCATTGGCTTTAGGGTTTTATCATCACTTCTCTGTGTCTTGTTTGGTATTAACAAAGATATGGTGCACTAAGATGGGCAAAACAGAAACTAACATGACTGCTTTTTTCTTGTATCCCTTGACCTCAAATGTCTTGGCCTTGTGTTTTCCAGCTGTGATTTTTGCCAAAGTTCTGACCAAGTAGTTAGCCCATTAGCCACCAACTAAGTGTCAGTGAAAATAAAAACCTTAGGAAAATGTTTGTCCAGGACATTGCCTATTGCTAGGAGTATTGCACATGGCTCAGCTCATTGGGCACTTTGTCTGTCCCCCTTATGAAAATTAGGGTATTTGCATAGGTGTGATAGGCTGTGGCTGTCCATTATCTGGCTCCCTTATACCCCGTGCTAACTTCATTGGAAGACAAGCCATTGTTCTTGGTTTGAAAGTGTTAACCATCCTCTTTATTCCATATTGAGCAAAAGGTGAAGGCATTTCTGGAGGTTATGGCAAGTTAACCTCTGAGGCGGGGTATGTGGTTATTTCCTCATGGAGTTGTTACACTCCAATAAGGACAGGTTTAGCTCTATCCTGTAGATACCATATCCACTTTAATAGGAAGTGCTCTGTTACTGATACAATTTTACAGGGAGATTTTTCCATTACCCAGGGAAAAATAGGAATCTCAATCCATACGGTAATTGACTCTGTTTCAGTAAGGGCTTCGGTTTCAGTAAGTGCTCAATACACTGCCAGGAGTTGCCTCTCTAGTGGTGAATACCTTTGGGCTGAGTCAGGAAGTCTCATACATCAAAAGACCATGTGTATATAAGCATTTACTTGTTATTTGGTTCAGAGCCTCCAGAAGGCAAATCTTTAAGTAGTCTGCTATGATTTGAATGTGTTCCCCAAAGTTTTTTGTGTCGGAAACTTAATCCCCAATGCAACAGTATTGAGAAGTGGGACCTTTAAGAGGTGATTAAGTCATGGGGGCTCTGCCTTCATGAATGGATTGATGTCATTATAGAGTGACTGTGTTCCTTATAAAAGGATAAATTTTGCCTAATTCCCTCTCTCTTTCTCACCTATGTGATGCCTTTTGCCATAACAGCAATAAGGCCCTCATCTGATGCTGGCACCTTGATCTTGACTTCTCAGCCTCCAGAACTATGAGAAATAAATTTCTTTTCTTTATAAATCACCCATTCTCTGTTATTGTGTTATAGCAGCACAAAATGAACTAAGACATGGTTGAAATTCATTGTTAAGTCCTGTTCTCAAAGCACTGGTGGAACTTTCAAAGCAATAGCCTCCTTTAGTTTAGCATTTGTTGTTGGTCAGAGCCCTACTGGAAAATGAAAGACTATGGGCTTTTCAATATATAGGAACTAGCAAATATTGGAGGTAAGGAACGTGTTGGCACCAAAATCCAAACATTGGTACCAAATGTTAAGCCTTCTTTACCAATGGGGGAGGTTGGAGTGCTAGGAGCTTATCCTTTACCAGATCAGGAATAGTTTGCCCTCCTAAATTCCAGATATAGCCCCAAATTTAACAGACTGTGATGGCCTTGTATCTTATGCAGGACAATTGCCCATCCTTTCTCAGTGAGGTGTTTACTCACAGTTATGATGGACTGTGAGACAGTCTTAATCAAGTACAGTGAGGAGGATGTCATATATGTAACTCAGCCAAAGCCAAGTTTCTGGTGGAAACGCAGGGTACACATTTAGGTCCTGTTTGCAAAAACTGTGCAATTCCAGAGCTATTTAAATTTCCGATAGGTAACTGGGAAAAGGCATACTGTTGACCACCAAAGGCAAAGGTACATTGTGATTGACTTTCCTGTGAAATTTTTACTGAATTGAACATGTTAGCCAAGTCTGTAACTACAAACGATTTACCCTTGTTGTTTTGAATGTTGTTTACTAAGGCAACAATATCTGGTGGGGATGCTCTAATAAAGAGAACAGCCTTGTTAACTCTCTTTAGGCTAAGTTGGCCACCATTTGTTAGTAGTGGTTTTAAGCACAGACCATATTGGAGAATTTAAAGGCGAGCTGGTAGGAATCAGTGCCTTTCTTTAACTAAGGCAGCTATGAGAAGTCATAATCCTTCAGTGTCTTGCCTTAGCCAGTACTGTGGTATATTTACCTTCCACACCAATAGGGGAAGGTTAACTGATTCCCACTGGGCAGCACCCATCAATAGTGTAAAAGCCTTAAGTTTGTTCCATGAAGTTACCTGCTAACTGAGGAGGTCCATTCTATTAATGGGAAAAGGGGGTGAGGGTGGAGAAGAACTAGGACAAAAGCATCTTTGAGCAGAAAGTGGGCCAATTTTAATAGTTAAGCAAGTAATTTCCCACTTAATTAGTCCTCTTTGGAGAGGTCGGGTAAGTGGTCTCTTTAAAACATGAGTGATTTGGGGGATTGGGGAGATTTGGGTACCCATGTACAACAAAACCAGTCAGCATTATTTCTTTTTTGGAGCCCAAACCACAGTTAATGTGGTAAATGGTGATATTCTACCAGAAGAGGTTCACTTCCATGACCATTGGATCCCTATGTGGAAGTGAGCTTCTGTTACTGACAGAGATCAAGAACAAGTACAGAAGGTAAAAGGGCTTTGAAATGAGAAGACTGGCTGAGTGTGGTGGCTCACGTCTGTAACCCCACCATTTTGGGAGGTTGAGGCTGGCGGATCACTTAAGCTCAGGAGTTCAAGACCAGCCTGGGCAACATGACAAAACCCCACCTCTACAAAAAATACAAAAATTAGCCGGGCATGGTGGTGTGCATCTGCAGTTCCAGGTACTCAGGAGGCTGAGGTGGGAGGATGGCTTAAGTCCGGGAGGTGGAGGTTGCAGTGAGCTGAGATTCTGCCACTGCATTCCAGCCTGGGTGACAGAGCCATACTCTGTTTCAAAAAAGAAAAAAAAAAAAGGCTGGAGCCGGGCACGGTGGCTCACACCTGTAATCCCAGCACTTTGGGAGGCCGAGGCGGGCAGATTGCCTGAGCTCAGGAGTTCACGACCAGCCTGGGCAACACGGTGAAACCCCGTCTCTACTAAAATACAAAACATTAACCAGACATGGCAGCGTGCACCTGTAGTCCCAGCTACTTGGGAGGATGAGGCAGGAGAATTGCTTGAACCCAGGAGGCGGAGGTTGCAGTAAGCCGAGATTGCACCATTGGACTGCAGCCTGGACGACAGAGTGAGACTCCATCTCAGAAAAAAAAGGCCGGGCGTGGTGGCTCACTCGTGTAATCCCAGCACTTTGGGAGGCCGAGGCGGGCAGATCACAAGGTCAGGAGATTGAGACCATCCTGGCCAACATGGTGAAACCCTGTCTCTACTAAAAATACAAAAATTAGCTGGGTGTGGTGGCACATGCCTGTAATCCCAGCTACTCGGAAGGCTGAGGCAGGAGAATCGCTTGAACCCGGGAGGCGGAGATTGCAGTGAGCCGAGATCACGCCACTGCTCTCCAGCCTGGTGACAGGGCAAGACTCCGTCTCAAGAAAAAAAAAAAAAAAAAAAAAGAAATGGGAAGTCTGCAACCGGTTGTAATCTAACTGTAGTAAGTATTATGATTGTTGCACTGATTTACCAGAGATCATCCAATTTGGGGCCTTCTTCCCCTTTAGGGTGCAATAATCCCTCTTGTTCATCTCAGGGTTCTTGCTTAACCAGGGCCCTGACTGTAGGTGGTTTGTTTGGCCTAGGAGGGAGGTGACCTTACTGTTGATAGTTATTTTAATTTAGGCCAGGTGGGGTATTGTTTGTAGAATTAACAGGCAACACTTGGCTTTGAATTTGTGTTTCATGAGTTTCTACTAAATCTAGGGCATCTATGGCCTCTTTACTGTTTTAGTATTAGCCATCATTGCCAGTAAAGAGGACATAACATATATTTGTTGAGAGCCCTCCTGAAAAACAACTAGATGGATTCAGGATTTAATTCAACATCCTCTGGACTTGCCAAGTCATCATACCACAAAATATGTGTTGCCTGATAAGCCCACTCCAACATCCCCAAATAGCGGAGGAGATCATTGGCCTTGACTAACATTTTCCATTGACAGTTGGCTTAGGCTGTTAAAAGGCCTACGATAGCCTGTGCAGCCTGTAAAGCCATAAAAAATCCATATCAACAAGATATATTTGGGCCAACATCCAAAGTCTGTTCTGGGGATCATTACAACCTTCTGTACAAATTGTGCAGGATCCTTTAATAGAGACACCATTTTTTCATCTCATACTATGGCAGCCAACTGTTTAATGTCAGTGCCCTTTAGGTGGAGCTAGCTCTTTGCCAGGTTCCTTCTATATAGCTAGGCAGACCCTTTATCATTCAGTTTCTGGGCTAGGTCTTTAAGGAGAGAAGCAGCCTCAAGGTGAGAGAGAGGATATATCTCCTCCACCAAGTAAAAATTAGCACCTCTTTTTTGGTCCTCCCCTTTTGTCTTTTCTGTCTTTATTACTTTGCAGGTGGTTACCAGCAAAGCAGAGGGCAAGTCATCCCAGTCACTACTGTGGTGACACCATGCTGCTTTTTTTTTTTTCTAGTGAGCACCAGTCCTCCTCTACAGGTAGTTTGGGGGGGGGGGGGTCCTACTTCCTCTTCAGGTGGCATGCTGATGAGAAGCTGCCTAGAGCAAGGTCCAGCTTATATCTTGTGATTTGGAGCACATGTATAGCAGGACAGTGACTTCTTTTAGAGTCCTGGGAGGAGCAGGGGTATAAATTTCCTTAACTTTAGTCACTTTGAGCAATGCAGCTGGGTGCGGTGGCTTGTGCCTATAATCCCAGCACTTTGAGAGGCAAAGGCAGGCAGAACACTTAGGGCCAGGAGTTCAAGACCAGCCTGGCCAACATGGCGAAACCCCATCTCTACTAAAAATACAAAAATTAACTGGGTGTGGTGGTGCACGCCTGTAATCCCAGCTACTCAGGAGACACAAGAATCGCTTGAATTCGGGAGGTGGAGGTTGCAGTGAGCTGAGATGGAACCACTGCATTCCAGCCTGGGGAACAGAACAAGACCCTGTCACCAAAAAAAAAAAAAAAAAAAAAAAAAAAAAAAGGATGGGCGCAGTGGCTCACGCCTGTAATCCCAGCACTTTGGGAGGCCAAGGCAGGCGGATCACGAGGTCAGGAGATGGAGACCATCCTGGCTAGCACGGTGAAACCCCATCTCTACCAAAAATACAAAAAATTAGCCGAGTGTGGTGGCAGGCGCCTGTAATCCCAGCTACTCGGGAGGCTGAGGCAGGAGAATGGCATGAACCTGGGAGGCGGAGCTTGCAGTGAGCCGAGATCGCGCCACTGCACTCCAGCCTGGGAGACAGAGCAAGACTCCGTCTCAAAAAAAAAAAAAAAAAAAAAAAACCCAGAAAAAAAAGAAAATGCTTTAGCCAGCTCAGCCCAAGAATTGGGATCTCAACATCCTTCCAAGGAAGGGATAGAGTGACAACATTCTCAACAACATAATTGTGTCACATCAGCAGAAGCATACTAACTGCTTGCAAAGGCATCTTTCCCACCTGCATTTAGGTGACCTACCCTAATCTGACGCATCTGCCTTATTAATTAGCTCCTTTGCCTACTATAGTGGTCCCCAAGGACAAAGATGTCCTCTCATCTCAGAGTACTTCAAATCCTTAGCTGAGCTAAGGGAGCTCCTTTCACTGTAGCTGTTATGGGATCAGGGGCAGCCCACTCTTGGTCCAGAAGCATGAACTCTTCTCCTTTTCCTGTTTGGGACCGTGGATCTTACAACTTCTAGCACCTGCCTAGCGAGGGACCCAGGTGGGCTGGCTGATCTTTCCTGGGCAGCTTAGCATTTCTGACCATAAAAGTTCTAATGATGTGAGTTCACTAAAATACTGGTGCTACAACTTGGCCAGGCGAATGAGGTATATAGGGAGACCACAAAAACTATAGAATGAAGTACAGCAAAGAGTGATGCCATGCCAAACTGATGCAGAGGTATTCCAAATATTGAATTCCAATCACTTAAAGGCCTTCCAAGATCAATTTGCCTATTTATTGTCCTACCGATGGGAATAGACCTCTTCCCAATTGCTTGATCACCAGGATCCTATAGAACTCACTTGTAGGATTTTGAGGCTGAGCCAAAAAAGATAACCACAAGGTGGCAGTAGCACATAACAAGCTTTGTTTGGGTGGCACTTGGAGAGGTTGCTTGAGAGAGGAAGTCCTTCACAGCAGGAGACTATCCAGAGGCAACTGTACCGGGTCATTACTCAGAAGGGGAAAGGGCAAGGGAACTCCCAGGGGAAAGCTGAGGGCTGAATCAGAGATAGAGTTTATTTGTGTAGGTTATATTACTCAGCAGCAAGATGGGGAGTGTATTAGTCCATTCTCACACTGCTATAAAGAAATACCTGAGACTGGGCAATTTATAAAGTAAAGAGGTTTAATTGACTCATGGTTCTGCAGGCTGCATAGGAAGCATGGCTGGGGAGGGCTCAGGAGACTTTCAATTATGGCATAAAGAGAAGGGGAAGCAAGCACGTCTTGCATGGCTGGAGCAGGAGGAAGAGGGGTTGGGGAAGTGCCACACACTTTTAAACAACTGGATCTTGTGAAAACTCTATAACAAGACAGCACTAGGAGGATGGTGCTAAACCACTGGAAACCACCTCCATGATCCAATCACCTGCAACCAGGCCCCACCTCCAGAATTGGGGATTACAATTGAACATGAGATTTGGGCAGGGACGCTGATCCAAACCATATCAGGGAGTTTCTGGGTTAGAGAGCATCAAAGGTCAGCATTAGCTTGGTTTTTTATAGATACAGGGTTTGTCTTATCAATGTCTAGCAGATGTTAGGTATAGTGTTGTGGAGTATGTAAAGCAGGCTGGCTGTAACTGGCCAATCTGCCAGAATCTGCTTAGTTGATTTATATTTAAAACAACTGGATGTGTAAAAATTTTAGGCTTTTGAGCTACAGGTACTAGCCTGCTGTGAAGAAGTAACAATATGGGGGCAATCTTTAGCTTAATTATATAACAGTAGTAGCCATACAGTTTATAATTGAAACACTTTGATATAGACTTTATTTCCTGGTCATTGGAACACTTTGATTGTAGACATTGTTTCCTGGTGGATATCAATGACACATCTCCTCAGAGGGATTGTTTCAGATCTGGCCATGCGATGGTGTAATGAGGCCAAAGAACCAGCAAACCCTCTGAGTACTGTATCTGATATCATAAGTGTTTTCCATTGTATCTAATAAGGAGTTAGAATTAAACCCTGAGTTTATAAATCTTCCAAACAAAAACTCAAAGGGAGAAATAACACACTTGCTGAAACAGGTGACCTTATTTTTAATAAAATCAATGGTAAAGTGTGATAAGATTCTGGGCTATCACAAGCCAGTGGTTTGATATTATTTAGCCAAAAAATTCTTTAGAGTATGGCCTTACTCTTCCATCACGGTATATGCAGTCAACTCTATTCCTTTCCTTGTCGTCTCACAAGACACTTAGGATCAAGTGATTCCTAGCTAAGAAACAAGTATGAAATCATCCCATTCTGGATTTGGATGAAAACTGGTAATAAAATCAAGTAAAACTCCTGGAGGATGCATTGGTTAAGAACCAAGCTTAGTCTATAAGTGTAGCAGGACAAGCCGCAGACAAAACTCCTCAGACGCCGGGTTAAAGAAGGAAGGAGCTTTATTCGGCCGGGAGCGTCAGCAGACTCACGGCTCAAAAACTGAGCTCCCTGAGTGAGCAATTCCTGTCCCTTTTAAGGGCTTATAACTCTAAGAGGGGTCCGCATGAGAGGGTTGTGATCGATTGAGCAAGCAGGGCATACGGGACTGGGGGCTGCATGCACCGGTAATCAGAATGGAACAGAACAGGACAGGGATTTTCACAATGCTTTTCCATACAATGTCTGGAATCTATAGATAACATAACCAGTTAGGTCAGAGGTCGATGTTTAACTACCAGGCCTGGAATGCAGCACCAGGCTGTCTGACTACTGATTTCACTTCTGTCTTTTCTTTAACTCCTACTTTTTCTTTGAGGCAGAAATTGGGCATAAGACAATATGAGGGGTGGTCTCCTCCCTTATTAGGAATTGAACATGAGATGGCACACATATTTATGCTGTATCAAGGTCACAATTATCTTACTGTATAAAACTGAAAACATCACTATCTGGACAGTTGGACATGTTTATGGGGAAAATTATGTTTATCTTTATTTCTATGCTCTGTACTAGTAGGTTGGTTCATTAATAAATATGTGAAAACTTTTGTTTAAAAAAATTATTTAGAATATGCTTCATTCATTCTTCTTGTCCATAAGACTGGGAATAATAAGGAGTATTGTAAATTACTGGCAATTTTTTTTTTTACAGAGCTCTTAAGTTACCATAGAAATGAAATAGCTTTTCCCAACAGATTCCAGATATTTAGAATTCCAAAGGTTGAGATGATAAAATTCAGTAAGGCCTTGATCACTGTTTGAGCATCTGCTTTAGCTGATAGGAGCACTTCCAGTAATTCAGACATCATATACAATTATTCTAATCAATATCTCTTACCTTCTGAGGACGGAAACTCTATAAAATCCGTTTGCTACCAGATTCCAGGTAATAATGCCTTCAGTAGGCTTCCTTAGCTTCCTTATGTGCCCCCTGTAAACAATTTTTCTGACAAGCAACATACCTTTGTATTATATCCTGAATTATTTGATCTTTATTCCAAGTGTGATAAGATTCCAAGGTGTTCAGTATATTTCTTTTGTTTAAATTAGTTTGTTGACAATATGAAAAAGGCATCCAAGGTACAACAATTGAAGTGCAGGAATAATTTTATTGTATAATTCCCAAAGCCCTATGGTGTTCTTAGATACCCTTGGTTTCCAATTTTCTAAATCTTGTGAAGTTGCACGTTTCTGAAATTGTGAATAGGAATCCCCGGATATAAGTAATGGTGATTAAATTTCTCCAGTCAAAACTTTAGTAGCCTTTTTCACAGCTTGGTGTGCAAATTAAATTTCTTTAGACGTTTTACTGTGTCTGGTATGCACACCACAATGAATTACAGAAATCTGTTGGAGAAGCTGGGATAACTCTAAAAGATTGAGAATTAGTTTACAATGTGATATTTTAGTTCACATGGATGTTAGAAAGCCTCTATTCTTCCATATTTGTTTCATAGCATGATAGACTCCAAATGCATATTTGCTATCAGTATAGATATTTACTTCAAGATTGGTGGCTAATTTAAAAGTTTGTGCAAGAACTATGAGTTCTACTTCTTGGGCTGATTTTATGTTTGCAGAGGATAAGCCTCTAAAACCTCATAAGGAGATTCTGGGAATATGGGAGAATAGAAAGTCCCAGGAACCGGCCGGGTGCAGTGGCTCACGTCTGTAATCCCAGCACTTTGGGAGGCCAAGGCGGGCAGATCACAAGGTCAGGAGATCGAGACCATCCTGGCTAGCACGGTGAAACCCCGTCTCTACTAAAAATACAAAAAAATTAGCCAGGCGTGGTGGCGGGCACCTGTAGTCCCAGTTACTCGGGAGGCTGAGGCAGGAGAATGGCATGAACTCGGAAGGTGGAGCTTGCAGTGAGCCAAGATTGGGCCACTGCAGTCAAGCCCAGGCGACAGAGCAAGACTCTGTCTCAAAAAAAAAAAAGAAAGTCCCAGGAACCTATCTCCCCACATAGACAATAATCACACTGGAAGAATCTGTCTGATGTAACTCTTTGGAACTCTGGAGACTCCAAAGTCTGGAGACTTCTGAATGCTTGGAACTTCCTTGGAAAGGCTTAGATAGTAAATTGTGGTTAATTCCAATCAATTTCAGCTCTTAGTATAGTAGCAACTACCCATCCCCTACTCCCAGCCACGTGGCATGCAGGTGTGCACATATTTCTGGAGCAACCTACACACAGCTTGTAGGAGCCAGGGTAGGCAACAATGGACCCTGTCCTCCAAATATCAGGGATTCATGCTCTCTAATCACTAATTGCTGCTTTTAATCACAGAAGTGCAGACAAAGAGGTGGGTGGCCATTGCTGTTCTACTTCCCAGTATTGTTTCAAGTCCCTCCCACTCTGGCTAAAGTGACTTCCAGGGCATTTTAAGGTCTGGTTCTCTTTTCTCTCCCCTTCATTTTTCTCTTTTTCCTCTTTTTGGGGACTAGGACATTCAAAAGCAACTGCATACACAGGGAAAAGTAGAAAGTGACTGTGCACACCCAGGGAAAGTTACAGACTCAGAAAAGACCTATGAAGACCTTAAGTTTATACCTCAGGCTGCTCCTTGGTACAAAGATAGCCTACAACAATAAGAAACAAAAACAAAACCAATAAGCACTAACAAAAAAAGTAAACTCTGGGGGAAGGGGGATATCTGATATCCAGTATTACCACATATTAGATTCAAATGTCCAGTTTGCAACAACAAAAACAAAAAAACACAAGGCATACAAAGAAACAAGAAGGTATGGCCCATTCAAAGGAAAAATAAACAGAAACTGTCTCTGAATAAAACCTGATAGCACATCTACTAGAAAAAGACTTTAAAATAACTGTCTTAAAAATGCTTAAGGAACTAAAAGAAGATACGGAGAAAGTCAAGAAAACTGTATGAACATAATTGAAATATCAATAAAGAGATAGAAAAACTAAAAAGAGGCTGGGTATGGTGGCTTATGCCTGTAATCCCAGCACTTTGGGAGGCTGAGGTGGGCAGATCACCTGAGGTCAGGAGTTCAAGGCCAGCCTGACCAACATGGAGAAACCCCATCTCTACTAAAAATACAAAAAAAATTAGCCAGGCGTGGTGGCGCATGCCTGTAATCCCAGCTACTCGGGAGGCTGAGGCAGGAGAATTGCTTGAACCTGGGAGGCAGAGGTTGCGGTGAGCTGAGATCACACCATTGCACTTCAGCCTGGGCAACAAGAGTGCAATCCTGTCTCAAAAAAAAAAAAAAAGAAAAAAGAAAAACTAAAAAGAAACCAAAAAGAATTCTGGAGCCAAAATGTATAATAATTGAAATGAAAAGTTCTCTAGAGGTGTTTAGAGGCAGATTGGAGCAGGCAGAAAAGAATCAGCAAACTTGAAGATATGACAATGGAAATCACCAAGTCTGAAGAACAGAAAGAAAAAAGGTTGAAAAAAGTGAACAGAGCCTAGGGACCTATGGAACACCATCAGACAGACTAAAATATGCATTGTGGGAGTCTCAGAGGAAGTACACAGAAAGAAAGGAACAGAGAAAATATTTGAAGAAATAATGGCTGTAAACTTCCAAAATTTGATGAAAGACATGAATATAAACATCCAAGAAGCTCAAAAATAAAATCCAAGTAAGATTAATTCAAAGAGATTTACACTGGCTGGATGCAATGACTCATACCTGTAATCTGAATACTTTAGGAGGCTGAGATGGAAGGATGGCTTGAGCTCAGGAGTTCAGGACCAGCCTGGGTAACACAGTGAGACCTCATCTCTACTAAAAATAATTTAAAAATTAGTTGGGTATGGTGGCACATGCCTGTACTCCCAGCTACTTAGGAGGCTGAGGCAGGAGGATCACTTGAACCTGGGAGATGGAGGCTATGTTGAGCTATGATCATACCACTTTACTCCAGCCTGGGTGACAGAGTGAGACCCTGTCTCAAAAAAGTGAACCAAAACAAGCCAAAGAGATTTACACTGAGATACATAATAATCAAATATTCAAAAGACAAATATAAGAAGAGAATCTCAAAAGCATCAAGAGAAAAGCAACTTATCACATACAAGGAAATCATCAATAAGATTATCAAGGGATTTCTCATCAGAAACCTTGGAGACTAGAAGGCAGTCAGCTGATATATTCTAAGTGCTAAAAGAAAAAAAAAAACCCTGTCAATCAGGAATCCTATATCTGGCAAAAACAGTCTTTCGAGAGTGAGGGACAGCCAGGTGTAGTGGCTCACGCCTGTAATCCCAGCACTTTGGGAGGCAGAGGCGGGAGGATCATGAGGTCAGGAGTTCAAGACCAGCCTGACCAACATGGCGAAACCCTGTCTCTACTAAAAATACAAAAATTAGCTGGGCATGGTGGCACACGCCTGTAATCCCAGCTACTTGGGAGACTGGGGCAGGAGAATCGCTTGAACCCAGGAGGCAGAGGTTGCAGTGAGCTGAGATCACGCCACTGCACTCCAGCCTGGGCGACAGAGCGAGACTCTGTCTAAAAAAAAAAAAAAAAAAAAAAAAGGAGTGAGGGAGAAATTAAGATGTTTCTAGATAAGCAAAAGCTGAGGTCATTTATTATCGCAAGACATACTATGCAAGAAATGCTCAACGGATTCTTCTACACAGCAAAGGAAATAGTCAAAAGCATGAAGAGACAACCTGCAGAATGAGAGGATATATTTGTAAACTATTCAGCTAACAGGGGGTTAATATCCAGAATATACAAGGAACTCAAGTGACTCAACAGCAATAAATAAATAAATAAATAAATCTCTGATTTTAAAAATGGCAAATAATCTGAATAGACATTTCTCAAAAGAAGACATGCAAATGACCAACAAGTACATGAAAAAATGTTCAACATCACTAATCAACAGGGAAATGGAGATCAAAACTACAATGAGTTATCATCTCACCCTAGTTAGAATGGCTATTATCAAAAAGAAAAAAAGAATAACAAATGTCGATGAGGATGCAGAGAAAAGGGAACTCATACATTGTTGGTGGGAATATAAATTAGCACAACCATTATGGAAAACAGTTTGGAGGTTCCTCAAAGAACTAAAAATAGAACTAACATATGATCCAGTAATGCCACTATTGGGTATATATCCAAAGGAAAGGAATATCAAAGAAATATCTGTATTCCCATATTTATTGCAGCCAAGATTGTTTATTCACAGTGGCCAAGATATGGAATCAACCAAAGTGTCCATCAATAGCTGAATGGATAAACATAATGTGGTATGTAAACACAATGGTGTGAAGCCCCATCTCTACTAAAAACACAAAATTAGCCAGCTGTGGTGGCACATGCCTGTAGTCCCAGCTACTCAGGAGGCTGAGACAGGAAAATCGCTTGAACCCGGGAGGCAGAGGCTGCAGTAAGCTGAGATCATGCCACTGCACTCCAGCCTGGGCGAGACAGAATGAGACTCTGTCTCAAAAAAAGAAAAAAAATTGCATTTACAATAACACCAAAAAGAATGAAATACTTAGAAATTAAGTAAGGAGGTAAAAGACTTGTATGATGAAAACTATGAAACATTGCTGGAAGAAATTAAAGACATAAACAAATGGAAACACATCCCACGTTCATGGGTTAGAAGATAGGCTTTTTTTTTTTTTTTTTTGACAGAGTCTCGCTCCTTCTCCCAGAGCAAGAGGAGCATGATCATGGTTTACTGCAGCCTTGACCTCCCAGGTTCAAGTGATCCTCTCACCTCAGCTTCTTGAGTAGCTGGAACTACAGGAGTGCACCACTATGCCTGGCTAATTTTTGTATGTTTTGTAGAGATAGATCTCCCTATGTTGCCCAGGCTGGTCACAAACTCCTGGACTCAAGCGATCTTCCTGCCTCAGCCTCCCAAAGTGCTGGGATTACAGGCCTGAGCTACCATGCCCAGCGTATAAGAAGATTTAATACTGTTACAATTTTAATACAATCCAAAGAAATCTATAGATTCAATGCAATCTATAGCAAAATTGCAAAGACAGTTGTTGCAGAAATAGAAAAACCCATCCTAAATTTACATGGAATCTCAAGGGACCTCAAATAGCCAAAACAATCTTGAAAAAGAACAAAGCTAGAGGACTCACACTTTCTGATGTCAAAACTTACTACAAAGCTACAGTAATCAAAACAGTGTGGTACTGGCATAAAGACAGACATATAGACCAACGGAGTAGAATAGAGAGCCCAAAAGTAGCCCTTATACTTACAGTAAAATGATTTGTATGGTCAGAAGTTGGCCTAATTGGAAACTTACATTTTGAGCCTGTTAGGAGCTGTTTTTTTTTAAGTTCTCTATGTTCTATTTGATCCTATTCTTCCCATGGGAACTTCTTAGTTGGCTGAAACCCCCTTCTTGAACTCCTACTGACTGTATGCTTCACCAACTCTGTCCACCTGTTTTTCTTGTGGGTTTGATTTTACTGAGGATAATTTGGAACTTCATTGGCCTTTTGGAAAACTTAGGATCTCTCCAAACTAGTCATTTAAGACCTCTTCTTTCCTATTGCTTTTCCTTCTTCATCCTCCTTTTGCCACCTTTGAACTTCCATTCAGCTCCCTTCAGTTTTTTAATATATCCCCCTTCAAACTCCTATCTCACCTTGTTCTCTGTCTACCTCTGCCAGAACTTTCTCCTAGCTGCTCAGTCACCTGAACTTTACCTCCCCGCCCTGTCCCTGCTCTTAGTCAACCCAGGGTCCTCAAAAAGCAACTTCATAAAGCTAAAAAGAAAAAACCTTAATTGGAAATAAACTTGAAATTTTATCTATTCAGATGGACTTTGGAAACATCCTGACAGCTGCTAGATGCCTCTTCATTCACTCACCTAAAATTTAGTCCACAGCCTCCATAAGATGACTTATTGAGGAAGATGGAAATCTTAAAAATCTTCCCCACAAATATTGGTAAACAGGTAATCTTAATTTGTCCCACTTGCCAAAAAAAAAACATAATTCAGATAAAAATATAAAGTGGAGAAAAAAATGAATACTAGCTATTTTATATAAACTAGTGAATTTATATTAATATGCTTTACTGATTTATGACTAAAATTTTAAAATGAAAATCACAGAGATCTCTGTGTCTACATATATGTTTTTGTGTATCGGTATATGTATATTATACATGTGTGATTTTTTTTTTTTTGAGACAGAGTTTCGCTCTTGTTGCCCAGGCTGGAGTACAATGGCACGATCTCCACTCATGCAACCTCTGCCTCCCGGTTTCAAGTGATTCTCCTGCCTCAGCCTCCCGAGTAGCTGGGATTATAGGCATGTGCCACCACGCCCAGCTAGTTTTTGTATTTTTAGTAGAAACGGGGTTTCACCATGTTGGCCAGGCTGGTCTCGAGCTCCTGACCTCAGGTGATCCACCCACCTCGGCCTCCCAAAGTGCTGGAATTACAGGCGTGAGCCACAGCGCCTGGCCCTTTAAAATATTTTTTGACACTCAAATAGATAACTAGGTATTGTTTTATAGTGATCTGTGATCCTATTTAATCAAGCATTCAAACCTTTTAATATTTTTGACAAACTTCCAAAAATCAAATTTTAAATGAAGTCTTTTTGACCTCCAACTAAATTTGGTATATTCCAGAGGGCCTCTGAAAAATCTCTAAAGACTTACTCTCTCTCCTTATAAAAAGAGAGATATTGGCTGGGCACGGTGGCTCATGCCTGTAATCCCCAGCACTTTGGGTGGCCAAGGCAGGAGGATCTCTTGAGCCCAGGAGTTTGAGACCAGCCTGGGTAACATAGGGAGACCCTGTCTCCACAAACATTTAAAAAATTAGCCAAGTATGGTGGCGAATGCCTGTAGTCACAGCTACTCAGGAGACTGAGGTGGGACGATCACTTGAGCCCAGGAGGTTGAGGCTACAGTGAGCCATGATCATACCACTGCACTCCAGCTTGAGCAACATAGTGAGACCCTGTCTCAAAAATAATAAAAATAAGGGCAGGCGCAGTGGCTCACGTCTGTAATCCCAGCACTTTGGGAGGCTGAGGAGGGCGGACCACAAGGTCAGGAGATGGAGACCATCCTGGCTAACACGGTGAAACCCCATCTCTACTAAAAATACAAAAACAAAATTAGCCTGGCGTGGTGGCAGGCACCTGCAGTCCCAGCTACTCGGGAGGCTAAGGCAGAAGAATGACATGAACGCAGGAGGCGGAGCTTGCAGTGAGGCAAGATGGCACCACTGCACTCCAGCCTGGGCGACAGAGCGAGGCTCGGTCTCAAAAAATAAATAAATAAATAAAAATAAAAAGTCATTCTCATAAAAAATAAAAATAAAAAGAATATTAAACTAATTAGGCTATTGATATGTTAAATTACATGGAAAGCATTGTCAAATAAAAATATTTAAAAATTTTTTAATGGTGTTTAACCTTCTTTATATTATATTTGTATGGGTACCTGTTAGTAATATAAATGTTTCAGAAATTGTATGAAGTTCATAGAAATTTGTCAATACCCTTGCTCTTTATTATATGTCCAGCATAATTATGTTATCAGTCACAATTCCAGTTTTTATGTTAAAATGTTGTATGCCACAGAAATAACTAAATTTGCTTATCAAGTGAACTCTCATCAGATCTTTAACTTTGACTATTTTAAGTCTTTTGTCATCACAGATAGTTTTTACTTTACTTTGATTCTTCTGTGAATGCATTATAGAACAAATGCTTCATCTTCAAAGAAGCTCATGAGAAAGACAGGTACTCTGAAATATAAACCTCTGATAATTTGAGACCATGCCATTCCATTGAGTAAGAATTTCCAGAACGAATGAAGAACTTGATGGATTTGTAAAACTGCTAACCCAAGATTAAGCAGAACAATAATTAATTACATGAAACTGAATTAGCTGATGAGGGTGATTATCTTTTTTTTTTTTTTTTGAGACGGAGTCTCACTCTGTCACCAGGCTGGAGTGCAGTGGTGCCATCTCAGCTCACTGCAACCTCCGCCTCCCGGTT
The DNA here is from genome assembly GCF_000001405.40 of Homo sapiens. NCBI lineage: Eukaryota > Metazoa > Chordata > Mammalia > Primates > Hominidae > Homo > Homo sapiens. Next base: position 74,333,622 of record NC_000023.11, on the reverse strand, counting down.
TCAAGCGATTCTCCTGCCTCAGCCTCCCAAGTAGCTGAGACTACAGGCATGCGCCACCATGCCCAGCTAATTTTTGTATTTTTAGTAGAGACGGGGTTTCACCATGTTGGCCAGGATGGTCTTGATCTCTTGACCTTGTGATCCGCCCGCCTTGGCCTCCCAAAGTGCTGGGATTACAGGCGTGAGCCACAGCGCCTGGCCGATGATTATCATTTTTAATGACTTTTTGTTTGAAACATTGCCAGTTGAATGTTTTGTTTTCCAGATTTAAAGAAAGTCTTTTCTTTTAAGCTATCTATAACTTACAGCAATTTGGTAAAGTATACCTTTGTGAACAAAGATGAAACAATTACTTCTCCCTACCTGATCCCCCAGAATTCAGAAACTCTTAGTGAATGTTTTTATGTTCATGGCAATATAGTTATTCGCATAAATTCAGCAAGAATCTGTTCTCCTTGTAACAAGACACAATTGGAAACATTGGTTATATTATCAAAACTTTTATTGGAATCTCATATTTGAGAATGATGTGCATAGAATTAACTTATGGTCAAGTTGTTTTAAGGAACTAAGGTTGACTTTATGAAACCAATGCCTACAAAGCCCTCTTGGAAAAATCAGCATGCTACCTGGCTTACAAGGTTCCCAGACTTTCAGGTGAGTAAGGAAATTCACTTTCTGGCATGTCTAGGAACCTCAGGATATTTTGGAGACCTCAAGAAGGAAGAATTTACCCAAATCTGTAGGTATTGCAGGTGAAGTCTAATGGCAAGATCTTAGCTTGGCTTCATAGCCTTAAGAAGCTTTTAAAAGTCCATTCCAAGATTTCTTATTAAAAGTTTCAGCAAGACAAACCAAAAAAGACCTATGTGGTGAGTTACAATTCTTGCTTCATTTATGTGAATAATATGGCCAAATCTCATGAGATCAGACTTATTTTGTAAACAAGAAACAGAAGTGGGGTGACTATAGAGGGAAATTTTATGTTTCAATGGAAAACTATAGCACACTCTTGTGGGTTATTATAGTCCTGTTCATTGTCCTTGAGCTATGTTTTTTTTTTTAACCTCTTGTTAAACTCCATTTTACTTTCTACATTTTTATCTTCCATAAATTAGACTGGATCCTACCATTATCACACATTTTGTTAGTTGTTACCAAATTATCAATTCCAGTTTTCACCAACATCTGATTACAATTCTCCAAATTAACATGTCCATTTTTTCCCCTATTCTCCTGATTTGGCATGACTGAGAACTAAAACTTGAATGCCTAGATCTTCATTGAGACTATTTAAAGAAGCCTCGCAAGCTAAAGCTGGATGCATCCATGCTCTTTTCTAGGAAATAACCATGACTGTGACACTGATATGTATGCTATCACCAAAGACATTCAAACTGCAAACCAGGAAATTCATCAAATTGCCACTGCTATCCTCACTCCATAATCTAAAGATGTTTTGAGACCAACATCTAGAAATCTTAACTTGCTGTACTCTGGACGCAGAAACTGGGTTTAGTATCTGTTCCAACCATTAGTCTTTGTTTTCCTTCTTCTTCTTCTTCTTTTTTTTTTTTTTTTTTTGAGATGGAGTTCTCCTGTTGTTGCCCAGGCTGGAGTGCAATGGCGAGATCTCAGCTCACTGCAACCTCTGCCTCCTGGGTTCAAGCGATTCTCCTGCCTCAGTCCCCCTAGTAGCTCGGATTACAGGCGGATGCCAGACGCCCAACTAATTTTTGTATTTTTAGTAGAGACGGGGTTTCACCACGTTGGTCAAGGCTGGTTTCAAACTCCTGTCCTCAGGTGATCTGCCTGCCTCAGCCTCCCAAAGTGATGGGATGACAGGCGTGAGCCACTGCTCCTGCCCTGTTTTCCTTCTTTTTCCCGGAGAAATCCCCCTTGTTTGAATGATGATTTAGACCACCCAGCAAATACCCTCTACTACCAGTTCTGAGCAGATGGTTCAGCTAGTCCTGAATGAACAAAATGGATTTATATTATTCAAAGTAAAGAAAATGTATCTTATTTATTTAAACAAGAGGAGGGAATGACAATGAAACTCTCCTTGACCAAACTTTAGTTGGTCTCCTCTAAGCCCTCTTGTCAAGTAGTCCTTGACCTTGGACTTCAGTGTCTATCCTTTTTGGGCCTGCATTGCCCAATTTTAGCAAGAATCCTGCTTATTCAATTTAAAGAGAATCCCCCCAACACATACACCTTGATATCTGATCGCCATGGCCTACCTTCAACAAGAAATGTGTTAGGTTAGTTTAGCAAGAATTCCCTCTACCCTTGATGTCTCCACTTAGTAATTTTACAGGCTCAACGTGGTGGCTCACGCCTGTAATCCCAGCACTTTGGGAGGCCAAGGCGGGCGGATCACAAGGTCAGGAGTTCAAGAACAGCCTGGCCAATGTGGTGAAACCCTATCTCTACTAAAAATACAAAAAGTTAGCCGGGCATGGTGGCAGGCACCTGTAGTCCCAGCTACTCAGGAGGCTGCGGCAGGAGAATAGCTTGAACCTGGGAGGTGGAGGTTGCAGTGAGGTGAGATCATGCCACTGCACTCTAGCCTGGGCAACAGAGCGAGACTCCGTTTCAAAAAAAAAAAATATTTACAAATACCAAGTGACTCCCCCTACCCTGCATGTTGGTTATAAACCCTACTTTTTCTTTATTCAGAACTGAGCCCAGTTCTATATCAAGGTCTTATTTTCCTACTGCAGTAACTTCTGAATAAAATCTGTTTTTACTACTTTACTGTTTGGCTCTGCTTTTCTTTAATAGTGCATATGCTTAACCACATCCTTCAACATTCCTCAGTAAGGTTAGCTTAAATTCAGTTTCCCACAAAAGTTGATTTTTTTTCTAATGGCTCCATGATAGAATATCATGTCACAATTTATTTTAAAACTATTTTCCTCTTGTTAGACATTTACATGATTTCAAATATTTTCCCATTATAAGCAACACCATGATAAATATCTTTCTTTTTTTTTTTTTTTTTTGAGATGGAATCTCACTGTGTCGCCCAGGCTGGAGTGCAGTGGTGCCATCTCAGCTTACTGCAACTTCCGCCTCCTGGGTTCAAGCAATTCTCCTGTCTCAGTCTCCCAAGTAGCTGGGACTACAGTCGCACACCACCACACCTGGCTAATTTTTGTATTTTTAGTAGAGACAGGGTTTCATCATATTGATCAGGCTGGTCTCAAACTCTTGACCTCAGGTGATCCACCTGCCTCGGCCTCCCAAAGTGCTGGGTTTACAGGCGTGAGCCACCATGCACGGCCCATGACAAATATCTTTATGCATAAAACATGATGCACATTTCTAATATTTTCTTTAGGCTATCTAGAAGTGGATGCTCATGAAGATGAATATTTTTAAGCTTTAGTACATATTGATACACCATCTTCTGAAAAAACTTTACTAATTTACACTCCCGAGAGCAGTGAATGAGAGGACTTATCTCACCAAAGATAGACATATCTTGTTGATAGACACGAAGATAGACATATCATGTTGCAGACGGGGAAAAGGTTATTAAGCTTTTTATAAGAAAGAATGATGGAATGAGGTCTTGCTGATTGAAACTAATGTGGCTGGACATGTTTTGCATATAATGTGAACTTGTCTGTTTTAGCATAACAACTTGATAGTAGTGGCAAGTTATAAGTTATCAGTGATAATTAAATATAGGCTGCCTAGAAGAATGGCAGTTGAGGGGGCATATAACATAGGTCCATATGACTAGTGTCTGAGAAGCAGATTCACAAATAGTAGTGCCTGGAGTTTCTGGAGATGATACAGTGAGTTGCCTTTTATTTCTGCAGTTTTTCAGTTCTTTCTAAGCCTTACATTTTTAATAAAAATGTTTTTAAAAGTAATACATGATAATGGTACAAAATTCAAAAGGCAACAAAAGGTACATCATGAAAAGTATGTATTCTATGCCTGTCCTTCAGCCATCTAACTTTCCTTCCTTGAGTCAACCATTATTATCAGTTTCTGGTTTATCTTCCCAATGATATCCTGTGCAGTTACAAAAATAAATCTCTCTCTTATATAGTTCTCTTTTGTCCTCTCACCCAAAAGGTACCATATAATACATACTGTTTTGTACCTTGTTTCTTTCAGTCAGAAATTTGGCCTGGATATCATGCCATATAAGTATACTGCAGGAGCAGAAAGGGTGTGATACCTTTAATCCCCATCGTAAGGGTCACAGCAGACACTTCTATAACAAAAGACAGGTTAACAAGAGAAAAGCATAACAAGTTTATTTGATTACAGTTTTATGTGACACAGGAGCCATCAGCTTGCAGATCCAAAGACCCAGGGTAAACAGTATATTTTTATCCTTAGGTATAATGAAGCATGGACAGCCATGTAGAAATATGATTGGCCAAAATGATGTGAGCTAATAGTAATAGACTGAGGAGAGGCAGGGGACACCAAGCAAGCCCTGTCCATTCAGCTTATTCTTGGCCTCTTTATGCAGCATACCTTCTTTATGGGTATAGGACAGGACCCTCTCTGGAATGGGGGTCTTGTCACCTACACTCAAAAAGGTAGATCGGGCCGGAGATGGTGGCTCACATCTGTAATCCCAACACTTTGGGAGGCTGAGGTGGGTGGATCACCTGAGGTCAGGAGTTCAAGACCAGCTGGCCAACAACAACAAAACAAAAAAAATTAGCGGCCGGGCACGTGGCTCACGCCTGCAATCTTGCACTTTGGGAGGGCGAGGCGGTCAGATCACTTGAGGTCAGGAGTTTGAGACAAGCCTGACCAACATGGTGAAACCCTGTCTCTACTAAAATACAAAAAAATTAGCCGGGCGTAGTGGCTCTTGCCTATAATCCCAGCTACTCAGGAGGCTGAGGCAGGAGAATCGCTTCAACCTGGGAGGTGGAGGTTGCAGTGAGCCAAGATCGTGCCATTGCATTCCAGCCTGGGCAACACAGTGAGAGTCAGTCTCAAAAAAAAAAAAAAAAAATTAGCTTGGCGTGGTGGCTCATGCCTGTAGTCCCAGTTACCCAGGAGACTGAGGCATGAGAATTGCTTGAACCTGGGAGGCAGAGGTTGCAGTGAGCCGAGATCATGCCACTGCACGCCAGCCTGGGCAACAGAGTGAGAGTCAGTCTCAAAATAAATAAATAAATAAATAAAGACAGGTCAGATAATTTCTTTATGACCAGTCTTTACAAAACAAGATAGATGAAAAGGTTTTATGGCTGGCACTGGGGAAAAGGGGTTCTGGTTTCTATGACCCCCCATGGGGAACAGGGATTTTAGTTTCTGTGGCTAGCCGTGGGGGAGAATGAGAGGTGAGAGACAAGAGAGCAGGAGAAGGTCAGAGAGAAACTTTGTTTCTGAGGCTCTTTCTGAGGCTTTCATTTTGTTTGCTTGTTTTTTTTTTTAATTTTTAATTTTTGCGGGTACATAGTAGGTGTGTATATTTATGAGGTACATGAGATATTTTGATACAGGCATACAATATATAATAGTCATATCAGGATAAATGTGGTGTCTATCACGTCAAGCATTATCCTTTGTGTTAGAAACAATGCAATTATACTCTTTTAATTGTTTTAAAATGTACAATGAAATTATTGTTGACTACAGTCACCCTGTTGTGCTATCAAATATTAGACCTTCCTGGCTAATAAGGTGAAACCCCGTCTCTACTAAAAATACAAAAAATTAGCCAGATGTGGTGGCATGCGCCTGAACTCCCAGCTACTCGGGAGGCTGAGGCAGGAGAAACGCTTGAACCCGGGAGGCGGAGGTTGCAGTGAGCCGAGATCCTGCCACTGCACTCCAGCCTGGGCGACAGAGCGAGATTCCGTTTCAAACAAAAACAGAAAAGAAATCTTTACCCAGTCCAATGTTCCAGAGAGTTCTCCAATGGTTTTTTGTTGGTTTGTTTGTGTTTGTTTTGTTTTGTTTTTGAGAAGGAGTCTCGCTCATGTCGCCCAGGCTGGAGTGCAATGGTGCAATCTCTGCTCATTGAGATCTCCGTCTCCCAGATTCAGGTGATTCTCCTGCCTCAGCCTCCGGAGTAGCTGGGATTACAGGTGTCTGCCACCACACATACCCAGCTAATTTTTGGATTTTTGGTAGAGATGTGATCGCACCATATTGGCCAGGCTGATCTTGAACTCCTGATCTCAGATGATCCACCCGCCTTGGCCTCCAAAGTGCTGGGATTACAGGCGTGAGCCATCGTGCCCGGCCCCAGTGGCTTTTTTTTTTAAGTAGTTTCATAGTTTGAGGTCTTACAGTTAAGTCTTTAATCCATTTTGATTTGATTTTTGTATATGGCGAGAGATAGAGGTTCAGTTTCATTCTTTTGCATATGGATAGCCAGTTTTCCCAGCACCTGAGGCCTTCATTTGGGGTAATTTTTTTCTGAGTCCCAACAATATAAAAAGCTTATTTACATATGTAAGCATATATTCATTATTCAACATATATTTCTTGAGCACCTACTAGGCGCCACACTTGTTCTACACACTGAAATACAGCAATTAACAAAACACAGAAATATCTCATCCCTCATGGACATTGTGTCATAGTTGGAAGGAAAAGAACCAAAACAAAAAGGTAAAACATATGTTAAATCATAGAAAGTGTTATAGAAAAATATAAAATGTTTGTTCAGCCAAACTGAATGTATCCTTGATCACTGTGGGGTACGTGCAGAGGGAAAGTGGTCTGCCACCTGGGCTGAGCTTGCCAAAGCCTAGACAGGCACAAGAGCAGGGAAGAGTCCTGCTCAGAAATCAGGATCCAAGACCTGAAGACCTTCAGGATCAAAGACCAATACTTAGCATGGAGAGGACCCCTTGCCTTCTCCTCCTGACCCAGCCGGTCCTCCTGAAAACAGAAACCCCACTAGAAGGAGAAACACCTGTCCACTGACATGGTCTTGAGCCAGGAGGTCCCTGTCTGAGCAGGGCAGTGAAAGAAGTCTGAGACAAGAATTGTGTCCTGGACTCTGCAAATTCATCAAAAGTAGCAGTTCACTCTTTAAGGAGATTACAATATATCCCTATGCACATAAAGACCAAGTGGAAAGTAGGGGATCAGAGGCCTGCAAACTGTGGTGAGGGCTGTCCCCTGAGAGGTGGCTAGTGATGGGGGTTAGGGGGTCACAGAAAGTAGAGGTTACAGATCTCTATAGCAAAGCAGATTGGAGTAGCTGCCCTCCTCCCCTTACTCGCTCCTTCCTCCCTATGCCCCTTGCAGGAAGGAGCCACAAGGAGACTGACTTGGATTCCACAGAAAAAAGTACTTTCTACTGATAAGAAACAGAAAGGGGCTGGGCGCAGTGGCTTACGCCTGTAACCCATCACTTTGGGAGGCCAAGGCGGGCGGATCACGAGGTAAGAAGCTCGAGACCAGCCTGGCCAACATGGTGAAACCCCATTTCTACTAAAAGTACAAAAATTAGCTGGGTTCGTGCCTGTAATCCCAGCTACTTGGGAGGCTGAGGCAGGAGAATTGCTTGAACCCGGGAGGCGGAGGTTGCAGTGAGCCAAGATCACGCCACTGCACTCCAGTCTGGGTGACAAGAGCGAGACTCCGCCTGCTCAGGGGCCGGGGCGGGGCGGGGGGGTTTGGGGGGGGAGGGGTGCGGGGCGGAGATACAGAAAGGCCTGCCTCAGGAGGAAGTAAGCACCCGGTCATCAAAGAGAATATCTAAGCAGAGACGGAGGGTCCTTTGTCATTCAGCCAGTGGTTAAACTCCAGGACACTTGGGGGCCCATTGACCCTAAAATGCATTGATCCTCTGTATTTGGAGAAGGAACTCTGCTCAGTTTTGTCTAGCCAAGTCAGGTGATTCCTAGGATTTTTGACATAATAAGAGTTCAGAAACACCCCCAGGGACCAGAGGCCTTTCCTGGGGTTTTGCAAAGGAGCAGCATTAGCATTCTTTACTGCTCTAATCAGCATCTTAATTGCCAGTCTGTCTCTCAGTCTTTATACTAAGTACCTGGTGCATATTCACCCTCCACCCCCAACCTCCAGTTAAGCTTGAGGGCAAACCTGATATTCCCTAGACCATCTGTATTCCACCTCCTCTCCCTCCCCCTTTTAGAGAGCTCAGGAAATTGGTTTTCATCCAACAGGCTCCTGTTGCTTAGTAACAGAAGCACCTGCTCCTAGCAACCAGGAGCCACAAAGATGCTGCAGAAAGAGGGGGCTGTCTGGACCCTGCTCTTGCTCAGCTATAGACAGCTGGCCTTCCCAATATTTTCCTCATCCAGCACAGACACTCTGTCTCAGATGCCTGTTCTTGAAAAGCTGATCTCTGGGGCAGCTGCTGACCTCACCCCCAACCTGCCTGCCTGGAGCCCCTCTGAATCTCACCTCCCAGGCCACCAGGAGGCAGCTCATGATCACAACTTGGTGGCTCTGGGAAGTGCCCCCACTTAAGAGGGAGAGAGGTAACCAGCTATGTTGGTTTCTTCAGTCTGGCCTGGTGGGTGAGAGTAGGGTGTGCCACACAGGCTCCTATAACCCTGGGTGAGAGCGATTCCTGCCCAGGATGTAGGTGGGGGAGTGTGTCATAATCCAGTACATTTGAGAGTGAAGAGAGACCATATCATTCCCTCCTAGAGATCAGGAAACTGAGAGTAAGGACTGGCTCGGGCCCACACAGCCCTTCGGTGACAGCTGATTCTGAAGCAATGCCAGAACGTGGGGCTCCCCAACATAGTCAGCATCCATGAGACTGCCAGCCCACCGTGCAGTGCCAGAGGCTTCTGCTTCCCCTCCCCAAAGGACACCAAGAACACATTTCTCCACTGCCTAAGAAGACCCCAGCCATCTTGCCTTCTGGGATGGCCCGAGCTCAGGGTGATCGCCAATGCAGATTTTTCCATTTGACGAGCTGCTTTCCTAGAATTTTTGAAATAACAAGAGTTTAGAAGTACCCAGGAGAGGTCTGTCCAGAGCTCTAACTCTGTGGACTGGTGCTAATTGGCATCTTCCTTAGTCACAGATTTCTCTGACCTTCACAGGAGGTGCAGGTGCGTGCATTCCCTCTCCGTCTCTCTGGGGCTTCAAGCTCTGAAAGTGGGGCTGTCCACCAGGAGTAAACCACGGAAAGTAGGGGTTGTGAGGACTTTACCCCCATTCCCATTCCCCCAGCCCTGGGCCAGACTCTCAGGAGGGAGCAAGCCTTCGGGCTGTGAGCTTCTTTCTTGCTTCTCCCCTCCCTCTCCCCTTTCTTCCTCCCAAGAAAAGGTCTTCTGGTCTCTGCCTTCCATTGCCTGGCAACCAAACCAGCTGCCATAGGCTGAGAGGAGCAGCACAGACGCTGTTCAATGAGGGGCTGAAATGAGAGGGTGCAGTTGCTGTCTCCAGTCACAAGCACCCATCGGCAATACCACTGGTGCTCACACATTGCATACAAGGCTTTTCTTACATTTGCCAGCGTTATGTCTATTTGAAAAGTCTTCCAAAGGACAGATATGCCACAGTTAGGTAAACTGCTCCACACTTCACTATTTCATATTTAAAACTTGTCGTTATGGAAAATTTCAAGTCTATACACAAGTGGAAGGACATAGTGACCCCTCCTGTACACAGCATCCAGCTTCAGCGATTATCAGCACCTGGCCAGTCACACATCATTGGATGCATAAGTATTTCAATATGGAGCTCTGAAAGATAAGAACCCCTTTTAGCATAACTACAGTGTTATTATAACACTTAAAGTAATTAGTAATCATTCCATAATATCGTCAAATACCCAGGGAATGTCCAAACTTTAAATGTCTCATGTCTCATCAATGTTATGGAGGGTTTATGTTATGGTGTTTTTTCCACTTTTTGTAGTCAGGATGTAAATAAAGTCCACACATTAATCTATGAGTTCCTCTTCAGGAATATCATGAAATTACAAGGAACTAGGATTGTTCTGGAAACCATGGACCTGCAGACTCTTCCTGAGACCCCTGTGAGCTCCACTTAGAGTTACAGAAGGTATTGCTAGTTCCCAAATTTTGAGATGAGACTGAGATTCAAGACAGTGAAAAGAAGAACTCAGTGTCACCCAGCTACCGAGGGACTGGGTCAGGTTGTTAACTCATATCAGGAGTCCAAACTCCTATGTGTGCCATGATGACCACACTTTGACACCCTTACCTGCCCTACCTCCAGAAAGGTGAGGGAAGCCTTTAGGAAGGGGGCAGTAAAGGCCTCCACCACTGCTGCCCCCACCCTTGTACTAGTCCAGGTCCTACCCAGGATCTGTCAAAACCAGTGCAAGCCCACCTTCTGTGATCTCCCTGGCCCATTTCTCTCCTCCCAGGTGACTGCCCTTGGGTGCATGTACCTCAGTCTCCCCCTCACCCAGAAGAAACTTTTATTCCTAAATATCTGTGCCCCACACCCCCGGTGAGCCTCATCCAGAACTTTTGGAAGCAGCTCCCCAAAGAGGTGCTGACTGCCTGAGTGAGGGGCCTTCTGTGTGTGCGTGTGTGGCAGGGGAGGGTGCACTGCAAGTACAGGGAAGTCTCCGGGGAGAGATCACAGATCCTAGCCAGGGAGCCAGCCATCAGCAATGCCAGAGTGACAGTGTCCCTCTTGTCCTCAGCAGGGGCAAGGGAGTGTCCAGGCAACATCCTGGGCCTGAGCATCCTGAGGACAGGGGCTTTGGCCTCACCTCTCCCTCCCATAGGCCTTTTACCCTCTGGGGACAAGAAGTTCTCATCTGTACAGCAAAGATACTCGAGAAAATCAGCCAGGCTGTCCTGTGGTTGAAGGAGGCCTCTCAGCTTGGAGTAATGGAAACTGATCTGGCCAGAGAGTCCTAGCATCAGGTCTTGGTCTCTGCTCTTACATTATGCAGCTCTGTGACCCTGGGCAGGGACCTTCTTTTGTGGGACTCAGTTTTCTTATCTATACAATGAAGGGGCTGGACCAGCTGCTCTCTGGGGGCCCATTAGCTTCCAGGTTTCTATAATCTCCAGGAAAAGGAGACCCATACATTCCTTGGTAAATGGTTTCTGATCTTAATTACCTTTACTGTCAGGAAGATCTTCCTGCCTTTTTGCTTCTGTCTCTGAGCCTTGTTTCCTCTGGCCGAGGCCCTTGTCTAGATAAGCATGTTTATTGTCCCAGAAGTGCCTGGGCAGGCAACAGGCATTTTCATCACCACAACTCAAGCCACCATGGTGGGAGAGTGGGGTCTAGACCCCCGCCAAGTCCCTGCTCCCAATCTCCAAGGTGTTCAGGAGGGGGCAGTGTTTAGGCCACAGGTAGAAGAGAGATCATGGAACCGACGGGCTCCTTGCTCTTCAAGGAGCCCAACTGCCCGGTCTTCCAGATAAGGAAGCAGGAACTTTCCCCAGGAAACACAGAGCTAGGGAAGGGAACAACTGGGACCCCTCAGGAGGGATCTTTCCTGAGCAGGGGTGGGGATGGTGAAGAGGAGAGCCAGTCACCTAAGGAGCAGAGTTGGGGCATGAACTAAAACCAGTTTATGAAAGACATCCTCAGGGAGCTCCTGGGTCCTCCTCGGGGAAGACAGAAAACACACACAAAAACACACACACACGAACACACCCCAAAGAGAAGAGATTAGAAGCATATCTGACTACCAGGTACCTGAGATGGGACTCTAACCTGACCACCCCACCCAGGGGCCACGAGTCTCCCAGCAGCTTCATGTATTCAACAAATAGTGACTGAGTTACCGGGCATCAAACAGTAAACAAGAAGGACATGGTCCCAACCCTGTCTCTCAGGAACTTGCAGCCCAGCTAGGCAGGGGGCAGATGCTCAAGAGAGGATTCCAATCCAGGGAGCTACCCCAGGCTAAAGTAAGCCAGGGGACTGTGGGAACCCAGAACAGCCCATCTCATGGGCTCAGGAATGGTCCTGTGCTGCAGGCTGTGTCCTGGTGAAGCTCAATTAGATCCTCTACCTTGTCACAAGGACAGAGGACTCTCTGTATCCTGGGTTCTTGCCTTGGTGTATTGGAAGAATCGAATCACACCTGGGTTTGGAGAATGAGTGCAAAGTTTATTGAGTGGAGGTGGCTCTCAGCAGATGAGGGAAGCCAGAAGGGGATGGAGTGGGAGGGTTTTCCCCTGGAGTCGGGCCGCTCAGTGGCCTGGGCTCTCCTCTGAGTGTCCCGGCCAAACTCCGCGCGTTGCTCTGCTGGTCTGGGCTTGCGGCGCCGGTGCCTGTTGGTGCGTTCCTCTCGACGTCCAGCCGCCCGTGTGTTCCTCTCGACGTCCAGCCGCCCGTGTGTTCCTCTCGACGTCCAGCCGCCCATGTGTTCCTCCGCTGATGTGCTCCTCGTCCAGCCGCCTGTGTCTTCTGCGATTTGCTTCTCTGGACGTCCAGCAGCTTGTATGTGTGTGTGCTAGGATCTGGGGGTTCTTAAAGGCACAGGATGGGGGCGTGGCAGGCCAGGGGAGGTGTTGGGAAATTCAACATTTGGGCAGGAAAACAAAAATGCCTGTCCTCACATAGATCTGTGGGCACAGGCCCGGGGATGGAGTCCTAGCCAGAGACCCTGCCCTTACCCTCTTCTGTATCATTTAAAGGGACTACGATCTTCCCTTTCCAGCACTTCCCTTCCGTATCACTGGCTGTGTCCATTTCTGGAGGGGTCAGTTCTGGTTTCTTGGAGAAGGTAGCCTTAGGGAGAAATTGGTCTCCCTCTTCAGGACAGACAAGGAAGGTTGAGGATGTGGATGACCTTCAGGCACTTTTTGTCATCTCAGCGAGAATTGGGCAGCTTCTGGGGCTTGGAGGAGAGCTGAGGCTATCCTTCTTTAGGCTAGGGGTTCTCAAAGTTTTTTATTTTTGGTTCTCAAGGTTTTGGAGTTGGTACCCCAAAGGTCATGGTTGACGCTTTGGTGTTTTTTCCAAGCAGAAATTGCATATTGAAACTGGGTGCCCCTTCTCTTGCTGTCTGTGGGGATGTAAAGTGTGGGCTGTTGGGCCTCAGATAATGGCACAATTTTAATCAATTGTTCTGCAAAAAGTTTTCTTCTCTTCCTTGCTGATGCAGAGGGCCAAAATGTTACCTTCTTCAAACCAGTGTCTGTGATTTAGCTTCCATTGACCTTGACAATGAACATAAAGGTCCCTGAGCAAGGCTGCCCCTTTTGTACATCCTTGCTGGTCTTCTCCTATGTATGGGGGTGGTGGTGGGGGATGACACTGGACGGAAGGGGGAACGAATGAGAAAACGTCCTGTAGATTCTACATTTAATGTGTTCAGTGACATGCAGAGAAGTTTAAGTGGACTTTTTGAAACCACCTTTGCAAAAATGATGACAGTAAGAGAAATCTGACATAGTTGAGTCCATCTTGCTTCTAACCTCCAAGTAGTCCTTGGTCACTTCTGGGCATAGGCCAAGCTAACTTTGGGAGGAATTTAGTTTATGGTTTAACCTTAAAGCAAGGATGATAATAGCCTTTTCCAAAACTAAGCAGCCTTTGTAAGACTAATGAAAGGTCACAGGTTAGGATTATGAGAGGAGCCTGAATTCTGCTAAGATGTAGGGTATAGTTAGACAATAACCAGCCATTGTTCTGGAGGTCACAAGATTTGTAACTTCTTCAATTACTCCTGTGGATAACATCACTATTGTAGAACCTAAGATTGGTCTTCTGAGATATTTTTCAGACTTTTGCATTCTGACAACCAACAACTGACCCCACCCAGAGGCGGACTCAAGACTCATGACCCAACTGATCCCATGCACGCCCCTCAACCAGAGGCAGTCTCAGCACATGATCATAGTTTTCCACACCTCTATGATTGCATTCCAAATCAGTCAGTAGCATGCATTCCCTAGTCCCCTGTCCACCAAACTATCCCTGAAAACCCTAACCTCTGAGCCTTTCGGAAGACTGATTTGAGTAATAACTCTGTCTTCTGCATGGCTGACCTTGTATTAATAAAGCTTCTTTCTCTACTATAATAACATGATCTCAGTGAATTGGTTTTGTCTGTGCAATGGGCAGGAAGAACCCATTGGTTGAGTACACTTTCAAGGAAATACTAAGGAAATTCCTTATTTTAGCTGCCTGGTCAGTTCCATTGTTCAGGTTTCTGGGTCTTCCTGTTTCAAAGGCTGGTTTGTAAATCCTGAGCTATTGAGGAGCTGTATGTTTTCTCAAAAGAGCAGATGGGGCCAGGTGCAGTGGCTCATGCCTGTAATCTCAGCACTTTCGGAGGCCGAGGCTGGGCAGATCACAAGGTCAGAAGTTCAAGACCAGCCTGGCCAACATAGTGAAACCCTGTCTCTACCAAAAATACAAAAAATTAGCCAGGCATGGTGGTGGGCACCTGTAATCCCAGCTACTCGGGAAGCAGAGGCAGGAGAATCGCTCAAACCCGGGAGGCAGAGGTTGCAGTGAGTGGAGATCGTGCCACTGCACTCCAGCCTGGGCATCAGTGTGAGACTCCGTCTCAAAAAGAAAAAAAAAAAAAAAAAAGTAGATGGGCCCTCTGGTCCCCAGCATAACCCCCACCCCCACCACTGACTCTTCATCCACCTGGGGGTTTTTGCTCTTGGCTGCTAGCCCAGGCAAGAGGCCAGTGCCCATGGAAAACAGTGGGTCTCCAGTCCTTTGGGGGTGAGGGTTCCACCTCCCTTCTCTTTCCCCGACCAAGCCCCACCCCATCAGACTTTGGATAAGGGAGAAGGCACAGGCATGGTAGCATTGGCAACGAATCTGTCTTGCATCACATTTTAGTCAGGCTCTTCTAAGTCCTCTTCCTGATTGCACCTGGACCTTGGCCTCATCCTTGCCAGACCTGCATAGCCCCGATTTGCAATAATCTTGTTAAGTCAGTTTATTTATTTATTTATTTATTTGAGATAGAGTTTCACTCTTATAGCCCAGGCTGGAGTGCAGTGACATGATCTCGGCTCACTGCAACCTCCACCTCCTGGGTTCAAGTGATTCTTCTGCCTCAGTCTCCCCAGTAGCTCAGATGACAGGTGCATGCCACTACACCCAGCTAATTTTTTTTTTTTGAGACGGAGTCTTGCTCTGTTGCCCAGGCTGGAGTGCAGTGGCGTGATCTCGGCTCACTGCAACCTCCACCTTCCAGGTTGAAGCAATTCTCCTTCCTCAGCCTCCCAAGTAGCTGTGACTACAGGTGCGTGCCACCCCACCCAGCTAATTTTTGTGGGCTTTTTTTTTTTTGAGACAGAGTCTTGCTCTGTTTCCCAGGCTGGAGTGCAATGGCGTGATCTTGGCTCATCACAACCTCCGCCTCCCAGGTTCAAGCAATTCTCCTGCCTCAGCCTCCTGAGTAACTGGGACTACAGGCGTGTGTCACCGTGCCTGGCTAATTTTTGTATTTTTAGTAGAGGCAAGGATTTCACTATGTTGGCCAGGCTGGTCTCGAACTCCTGACCTCGTGATCTGCCTATCTCGGCTTCTCAAAGTGCTGGGATTACAGGCGTGAATCACTGCAGCTGGCCATAATTTTTGTATTTTATTAGAGCCAGGGGTTGGGCACGGTGGCTCATGCTTATAACCCCAGCACTCTGGGAGGCTGAGGTGGGCAGATCACAAGGTCAAGAGATCGAGACCATACTAGCCAACATGGTGAAACCGTGTCTCTACTGAAAAAAAACAAAAAACAAAAATTAACTGGGCATGGTGGTGCGTGCCTGTAGTCCTAGCTACTCGGGAGGCTGAGGCAGGAGAATTGCTTGAGCCTGGGAGGTGAAGGTTGCAGTGAGCTAAGATTGCGCCACTGCACTCCAGGCTGGTGACAGAGCAAGACTCCGTCTCAAAAAAAAAAAAAAAAAAAAAAAAAAAAAAAAAACATAGAGATGGGGTTTTACCATGTTGGCCAGTCTGGTCTGGAACTGCTGACCTCAAGTGATCCACCCACCTTGGCCTCCCAAAGTACTGGGATTACAGGTGTGAGCCACTGTGTCTGGCAACGTCAGTTTAAAAAGAATCCCCTCATTCTTAATATCTGATCACCCTAGTCTGCTCTCAGAAAGAATCCTGTTTGGTTAATCTAGCAAGAATCCTCCCTTATCCTTGATGTCTCTTAGTAATTTTCCATCCATCAATTGTACCCCCTGGCTGCACCTGCCAGTACTCTGCTCCTTGACTAGAAATTCCCAGTCCCTCAGAATTCAGTATTCAGCTCCTCCTCACTATTCAGAATTGAGCCCAGTTCCATATTGAGGTTTTCCTCTCTTGCAATAGTTTCTTCTTTCTTTTCTTTTCTTTCTCTTTTCTTTCTTTTTTTTTTTTTTTTTTTTTTGAGACAAACTCTCGTTCTTGTCCCCCAGGCTGGAGTGCAACGGCGCAATCTCGGCTCACTGCAACCTCCGCGTCCTGGGTTCAAGCAATTCTCCTGCCTCAGCCTCTCGAGTAGCTGGGATTACAGGTGCCCGCTACCATGCCCGGCTAATTTTTGTATTTTAGTAGAGATGGTGTTTCACCATGTTGGCCAGGCTGGTCTTGAACTCCTGACCTCAGGTGATCTGCCCGCCTCGGCCTCCCAAAGTGCTGGGATTAGAGGCGTGTGCCACCGCGCCCGGCTCCCCTCCCCTCCCCTCCCCTCCCCTCTCCTCTCCTCTCCTTTCCTTTCCTTCTTGACTGAGTTTTGCTCTTGTTGCCCAGGCTAGAGTGCAATGGCACGATCTTGGCTCACCGCAACCTCTGCCTCCCGGGTTCAGGCGATGCTCCTGCCTCAGCCTCCCGAGTAGCTGGGATTACAGGCATGCACCACCATGCCCGGCTAATTTTGTATTTTTAGTAGAGATGGGATTTCTCCATGTTGGTCAGGCTGATCTCGAACTCCCGACCTCAGATGATCCGCTGCCTCGGCCTCCCAAAGTGCTGGGATTATAGACATGAGCCACCGTGCGTGGCCCTTCTTCTTCTTCTTTTTTGAGATAGAGTTTTGTTCTGTCACCAAGGCTGGAGTGCAGTGGCCCGATCTCAGTTCACTGCAATCTCCACCTTTCAGGTTCAAGCAATTATCATACCTCAGCCACCTGAGTAGCTGGGATTACAAGCATGTGCCACCACACCTGGCTAATTTTTGTACTTTTAGTAGAGATGGAGTTTTGCCATGTTGGCCTGGCTGGTCTCGACCCCTGGGCCTCAACTGATCTGCCCACCTTAGCCTCCCAAAGTGCTGGGATTACAGTTGTGAGCCACCACTCCCCACCATCTCTTGCAATAGTTTCTGAATAAAATCTTTTTTTACTGATGTCATCCAAAAAGCCACCAGGATGGCTAAATAGTAGAAAGGAGAGCTTTATTAGTAATACTGGTCTGCAAGCTGGGAAGAGAAAGTCTCTAGCACAGAGAGAGACCAAAGGCACTCTCTCTTCAAAGAAGGGAAGGACGGATTGGGTCGTATACCTCACAGGGCTGGTATCTCACATATTCAGTAGGTTTTGGGGGGAAAGCTATACTATTTATGAGGGGAGCCAAGCACATGCAGGTTGGCTAAACATGTATGTAACATACATCCCATGTTCACTTTGGGATGAGGTTTCGGCATTAAAATGAGGTAGAATTTGGCTTTTTATGTCAAAATTTAAATTACAGGACACAAGACAGTTTGTGCCCATCCTCTATAAAGTGGCTGAAACTGGCAAAAAGTCTTCAACAGCTCGTCAGAAAAGAATGTTTTTAAGGCTGGTCCTCTGTCCAGTCAGAGTTATAGTGGTCTGAGTTGTTAATTACAGTTATCATAATTTTCCTGATAATTTCTGTTGTTAAGTAAGAGTGTGCTTTTTCTTGTAGGAATTTGGAAATTTGCCATGCCAGCCAGGCCCTGAACCCTGGACCCATAGGTAACTTTTTTTCCTTAACCTTAGGGTCTGTCTTAGTTGAAAAAGAGGAGTTTATTTTGGTCTCTCAGAGCACACTGGCTTAACTAGTGTCTGGCTCTGGTTCTGTTTTGACAGTTTTTTTGGTGCTGTGACTGGGACCTAAATGGAAACCACACTGTCAGACTCTTGGACACGACAAGCAGGTCTCCCAGCAAGCACTACTACTTTGTCTCCAGTCAGCTTGCTCATTTGGGCATCTTGTTTTTAGACCAACTCCAAAATCTAGTGCTTTGGATAAATGTCAGTTTAAGCATGTTGGGCTAGATTTTGATTCTTAAGATTCTGCATATACTCTAGAAGCTGGATTAGAGTTCCAGGTAAATAGACACTGGGTTAGAGTCCTGGGGTTCTCTGTAAGAGTTTAGTGTCTCTAAGAAACAGGCTGGATTAGAATCCCAGTTTTCTCTGTTCATAAATGTAGGGGTACCATTAGTCAAGGACATGAGCACTTCTTAATCAACTGAAATCCCCTCCCCCATCCCTTTTTTTTTTTTGAGACAGGATCTCGCTCTATGGCCCAGGCTGGAGTGCCGCGGCATGATCATAGCTCACTGTAACCTCTGCCTCCTGGGCTGAAGTGATCCTCCCGCCTCAGCCTCTGGAGTAGCTGGGACTACAGGCGCATGCCACCACACCCAGGTAATTTTTGTATTTTTTGTAGAGACAGGGTATGACCATGTTGCACAGGCTGGTCCCCAACTCCTGGGCTTAAGTGGTCTGGAGCCCACCTTGGCCTCCCAAAGTGCTGGGATTACAGGTGTGAGCCACTGTGCCCGGCTGAAATCCCCTCCTCTGAAACTCCTGCTGACCACATGCTTTGCCACTATAGCATTGTTTACTTTCTTACTGGGAAAACTTTACTAAAACTCTCTTGACCTACATGGCCCCTCTGGAGCTCCTGGAATATCCCCAAGTTTGTTTATCTAAGAAGAGCCCTAGAACAAAAAGGAACAAAAATCTTGAAAACACAATTGTCGGCCGGGCGCGGTGGCTCACGCCTATAATCCCAGCACTTTGGGAGGTCGAGGCGGATGGATCACCTGAGGTCGGGAGTTTGAGACCAGCCTGACCAACATAGAGAAAACCCGTCTCTACTAAAAATACAAAATTAGCCAGGTGTGGTGGCACATGCCGGTAATCCTAGCTACTTGGGAGGCTGAGGCTAGAGAATCTCTTGAACCTGGGAGGCAGAGGTTGCCATGAGTCGAGATTGCGCCATTGCACTCCAGCCTGGGCAACAAGAGTGAAACTCCGTCTCAAAAAAAAAAAAAAAAAAAAGAACACAATTGTCCACTTGTTTCACCTGGTATGAAGAAGTTGAAAAATGGCCAAATAATTCATACCTCACTCAAACTATTCAAGCTCTTAATGACTTCAGAAAAGTTTTTCTGGTCCAGTAAGCCCCTAGAGTCCTTAACAGCATCCCCATATTCCCCTCTCAGCTCACCTTTGTATCCTTCTCTCCCAGAATGTCCTCTACCAGTTGCACCCCCAGCCGATCAATCTTATAGCTGTATGGTTCACAAGGCCTCCACCTCCTGCAGATGAAGCCAAGTGTATGGCTGGTACCTGATCCCAAGTGAGTCCAACAGAAGAGATAACATTTAAACCTAGGTATTGGTCTGAATTACATGCCATCAACAAAGACTTTCCTGACCCCCAAAAGAAAAGGTAAAGGTGTGTTGAACAATTTAGAACTGTCCTAGGGGTATACTCTCTGGGTTCCCCAATTTATATCAAGTTATCCACCTATTGGTTGGTCCTTTAGTTTAAAAAAGCCAAATGGACCACCATTCCAGAAGACTTTCAAGGATCTCAGACTACCCCCAATTCTCATCAGAAAATGAAAGAAGTAAAAGAAAAATTATTAGGAGAGGATCCATCCCTCAGATCTATCACAGAGACTAGATTTGTCATATATTCAAAATTGTAAACAACAAAAGGATGAAACCGTAGCTAATTATCACCCTCAATTGTTGCCATCGAGACAACATGAAAAGAGCGTTTGGGCCTGAAATTGGCTTGCCAAACAGCCTCTGCTCTGGCCACAAACTTTGAAAATAGTCTCAGACTGGAATTCCATGACATTTTCCAGAAAACTTATATTAGCTGACAAAATCCAAACATGTCTGAACTCCAGACATTAGCCCAGCATTATGAAAAGAGTATTTTTTAAAAATTGGAAAATGCAGAATACAAGCTTATGGCATTGACATTAAAATAGTTAGAAAAACCTGAAAAATTTAATCTATGGCAAACTCCAAAATCACAGGTTCCCATTCACTGGGACACCCACCAAAATTGTAAGGAAGAAGGGCATGGTGTCCAGGTTTTCCTGGACCTCAAGAGGAAGGATAAAAACTGGAGCCCCCCTCCTTAGGGGGCCTTCTGGTTACCTCATCAGAAAATTGTTGACTGTCCTCCAATGCTCTCAACTGCCATTAAATTCACAAGGGAAAATTACCCTACAAGTTGAAGGGCACCACCAAAGTTTTCACTGATACCAAGGCAATGCCTTATACCTTTAGCACCACTTCATTTTTTGCCCTCCTTCCTTGGACTCACCCAACTACCAGTGGTGGGTTTTGATAATTTGCCTCACAATTTGCTGCTTTCTCAACCTTTTAACATTTCTATGAGACCCATCAAAACTCAACACAACTTCCTTCTCATTCTATTACCCCAGTAAAACTCTTAGGAAAGGATCTTCTTATAAATTGGGGTTTTAAAATTTATTGTACCCCTGAAGGACTTCTACAGGTCCCTGACTCCTCTCCTTCATGATTATGTCTCCTAACTTTTTTTCTGATCTGAGTTACTTTGCCCCCTTCAACCTAGAACTTATTTAACTGAAGATTTAAATAAAGTATTAGACAGAATTCCTGCATTAGGGGCAAAAAAACTCCACCGAGATTGGGTGCATATGGGATGCAGAGCTCCCTAAGGTAGAAATAAATTCTTCTGTGCTCCTCCCCAAGATTCCCAAATATCATTTAAAACAAGAAGAACAAGAGTGACCCTGCTCAATAATCCAAAGTTTATTTGATAAAAAAACTTCTTGTCACAACTTCTAATCCATGCAATACAACCATCTTGGCCACTAAAAAACAAAATGGAGCCAGGTGCACATCTGTAGTCCCAGTTACTTGGGACACTAAAGCAAAAGGATTGAATGAGCCCAGGAGTTTGAGGCTGCAGTGCACTATGATCATGCCTGTGAATAGCCATCATACTCCAGCCTGGGAAATACAGCGAGACCCTGTTTCTAAAAAGAAAAAAAAAAAAAAAAGGAAATGATATTGGTTAGTTTAAGATCTGAGCTCTATCAATAAAATTGTCAAACACAGATTTCTTTTGGTGCCTGATCCTAACACTATCCTGTTTGCTACCCTTTCTAACACCCAATATTTCATCGACATCAATTTATGTTTTGCCTTTTTGCAGTAATCCCCTTCATAAGAAATCTCAATACATGCTTGCCTTCACCTGCGAAAACCCACAATATACCTAGACCATTATGCCCCCAAAATTTACCGAGACCCCTACCTCTTTCTTGCATACATTAAATGTCCAGTTGAGGGACTTAAAATTCCTAGGAGACACCACTTTAGTCCAATATGTAGATGACCTCCTCCTATGTTCTGACATTTATGACAACTCCCTTTTGGACACTGAATACCATCTTAAGGCCTTAGAAAGGGCCATAAGGTGGCTAGAGCTAAAACTCAATGATGATCATTGTGTGTGTTATACCTGGGTCATGATTTCTCAGCCATGAGCAAAACTGTCTCTGAGCCTCTACTATTTAACATTTTACTTTCCCTGAAACAAAATGACAACCAAGAGGAAATGGTAGAGTGTGGACACCTAATTTCTCCATGATTGCCTCATTCCTCTATTCTATGACTAGGGAGTCTCCCCAGACCCAGTAGTCTGGGATTCCCTATCCAATGATGCTTTTAAGGTCCTTAAAGGCTCTCTGCTTTCACCTTCTACCCTTGGATTTCCCAAGTACTCAGCCTTTTTCCTTTTTTGTGCATGAATGAGAGAGTCATGCCCTTGGAGTATGATTCCAGAAGCATAATGGTCACCACTCAGTTGGGCATATTTGTATGTGTTTACTTCTTTTTTTATTCTGTAACATTGATCTACATGCCTATATCTCTACCTATATCATTCTATCTTGTTTATTAAACTATATATTTTAAAATAAAGTAGACTGATTCTTCCCATTTTATCCTTGTTTTTCAAAATTGCTTCAGCTATTCTTTCTCTATCAATTTTAGAATAATCTATATCTACAAAAAATCTTGCTGGGATTGTAACGGAAATTCCATCAAACCTGTATATCAATTTGAGGAGAATAGATATATTTTATTTGTTGAGCCAATCCATGAACATATGATTCTCCATGTATTTAGATCTTTGATTTCCTTCATCAGTATTTTTTACTTTTCAGCATACAGTTACTGTACATGTTTCATTAATTTACACTTAGTTATTTCATTTTTGAGTGACTATTAACTGATATCATATTTTAGTTTTAGCATCCATGTATTCATTACTAATATATAGAAATACAATTGATTTTTGTATGTTTTCCTTGTTTCTTGCAACCCTGCTATAATTATCAGTTCCAGGAGGTTTTTTTGTGTGTGTTTTTTCCCAGTAATTACTTGGGATTTTCTCTGTAGACAATCATGTCATCTGCAAATAGGAACAGTTTTGGTCTTTCCCCTCTGATACGTATGCCTTTTATTTTCTGTTACTGCCTTATTACACTAACTTGAACTTCCGTCACTATGTTGAAAAACACTGTGAGTGTAAAATCCTACATCCTTGCCTTTTTTTTTTTTTTCTTTTTTCTTTCTTTTTGTTTTTTTGAGACAGAGTCTTGCTCTGTCACCTAGACTGGAGTGCAATGGCGCAATCTCAGCTCACTGCAACCTCTGCATCTGGGGTTCAAGCGATTCTCCTGCCTCAGCCTCCTGAGTAGCTGGGATTACAGGCATGCACCACCATGCCCGGCTAATTTTGTATTTTTAGTAGAGACGAGGTTTCTCCATGTTGGTCAGGCTGGTCTTGAATTCCCGACCTCAGGTGATCCACCCGCCTTGGCCTGCCAAAGTGCTAGGATTACAGGCATGAGCCACCATGCCCAGCCATCCTTGCCTTTTTTCTAATCTCCAGTGAAAGGCATTCTGTCTTTCACCATTAGGTATAATGTTAACTGCAGGTTTTTTGTAGATGTTATTTATTGCATAGAGGAAGTTCCTTTTTATTCTATTTTTCTGAGTTTTTATCATGAATGAAAGTTGGATTTTGTCAACAGCTTTTGCTGCATCAATTCATACAACTATGTGATTTTCCTCTTCAGCATATTAACTTGGTGGCTTACATTTATTGATTTTTGAATATTCATGAGGGTATAAGTCTGGGCTCCCCACTAGGCCTTTGCTGGTGGTGAGACCATAATATATATATATATTTTTTGAGACGGAGTCTTGCTCTGTCGCCCAGAGCTGGAATGCAGTGGCGTCATCTCGGCTCACTGCAACCTCCGCCTCCCAGGTTCAAGCAATTTTCCTGTCTCAGGCTCCTGAGTAGCTGGGATTACAGGCGCGTGCCACCACACCCAGCTAATATTTGTAATTTTAGTAGATACGGGGTTTCACCATGTTGGTCAGGCTGGTCTTGAACTCCTGACCTCGTGATCCACCCACCTCGGCCTCCCAAAGTGCTGGGATTACAGGCATGAGCTGCTGTGCCCGGCCGAGACCATAATTTTTTTTTCACGATGTTTGCCTGAAGGAGAGCAGTTATTGTCTAAAAGTTTTCTATCTTTCTAGGCTGTGTCTTTTCTGGCCCTTTGGCTGATAAGAGCAAGCTTTTCTTGGGGCTTTTTATGTCTGTGCCTATTGAAGTTTCTGGGTTGCTGGCTTCTTCTGCTTCAAGTCTGGATATATGAGGTTAAACAAAAAACCAAGGAACTCACTACTGTGTAGTTCCTTGGTTCAGAGGTCCCTAGCCTGTTTGACTTCTTCCCACCACCTTTCAGTTTTCTTTTTTTTCAGACGGAGTCTCGTTCTGTCGCCCAGACTGGAGTGCAGTGGCGCGATCTCAGCTCACTGTAACCTCTGCCTCCTGGGTTCACGCGATTATCCTGCCTCAACCTCCCAAGTAGCTGGGATTACAGGCGCACACCACCATGCCCGGCTAATTTTTTTTTTGTATTTTTAGTAGAGATGGGGTTTCACTATGTTGGTCAGACTGGTCTCGAACTCCTGACCTCGTGATCCACCCGCCTCAGCCTCCCAAAGTGCTGGGATTACAGGCGTGAGCCACCGTGCCCAGCCCAGTTTTCTTATGTGTATTTTACATACAATGTTCAGAGGTATTTGTTTGCATTTAGCCAGAAGAATAGTACATGTATTTTATCTTCTTGGAAGCAGAAACCCTGTTAGCCCTATCTTATTTTTTAACAGATATTTTGTTTGTAAATCAGGAAGACGCTTCAATTTTATAAAATGCTTTTTTAGTCTCTATTGGTGTGTTTTCCTGTTTGTATCTATTAATACAGGGCTTATATAAGCAGTTTTACCTAAAACTTGTGTGGTGGATGTTATATAGTTGTCTACCCATGTCCCAAGGCATACAGCATGGGTTATGGACTCAAGTACAGAATACTGGCTGTGACTTTTGCAAGACTACAGGGAGTAGTGCACCTGAAAGTCTTCCACAGGAATGTGTGTTTTTTGCTTCCTGATCCTTGCTTTTGCTCCAGAGAGACTAAAAATAAGTTGTTGTTTTTTTTTTTGAGATGGAGTTTCGCACTTGTTGCCCAGGCTTGAGTGCAATGGCGTAATCTTGGCTCACTGCAACCTCCGCCTCCCGGGTTCAAGCAACTCTCCTGCCTCAGCCTCCTGAATAGCTGGGATTATAGGCATGTGCCACCACGCCTGGCTGATTTTGTATTTTTAGTAGAGACGGGGTTTCTCCATGTTGGTCAGGCTGGTCTCCAACTCCTGACCTCAGGTGATCCACCCGCCTCGGCCTCCCAAAGTGCTGGGATTACAGGTGTGAGCCACTGTGCTCAGCCAAAAATAAACATTTTTATGAGAAATGTTCCAATTTTTAAATGTTGACATGTAATTCACAAATACTGTTAAACAATCTGTGGGTCAAACTAAACACATTTGTTAACCTGATTCAGTAAGAGGGCTACCATTTCATGTTTACTGACATAAAGATATTGATGAGTCAAAATAAGGCTTTCCTTCCCCTGAGACTAGAAAAGATTTCCTAGAGACAGGAAATGTAGAGGGCTTAAAAGGCTGAGTGTATCCTTAATAAAAGGACACAGACTCTTCCTCCTCCAACTGTGGGCCAAACTCCTGAGGGCATGGGAAATGAAACTCCAGATTTGGAGGAATTCAAACACAGAATCCTGTGTTCCTCCTTTCCTAAATAGAGTCCAGCACAGTGATGAGACCCAATAATTTTTGTTTGCTCAGTGTGATGTAGGAGTTTCAAGTTGTGTCTTGGCAGATTGGACTGAGATGGCCCCACTTAGGGGCTGAGAGTCACAGAGAATGACAGAATTAATCTCTAGGAGCCCAAGAGGGTCACAGAAGTGGAAAGGAACTCAGCCGAATGGAAGGGATCTTTTAGCTGGGAATGAAAGATTACACTTACGGTGTTCATAAAAGAGTGTGGCTTCAATGAGATACTATCTCACACTAGTCAGAATGGCTATTATTAAAAAGTTAAAAAATAACTGATGTTGGTGAGGATGTGGAGATAAGGGAACTCTTATACACTGTTGGTGGGCAAGTAAATTAGTTCAAACTCTATTGAAAACAGTATGGAGATTTCTCAAAGAACTAAAAATAGAACTACCATTCAACCCAGCAATCCCACTACTGGGTATCTACCCAAAGGAAAAGTACTCATTCTATGAAAAAGACACCTGCACTCATGATTATCACAGCACTATTCACAATAGCAAAGTCATGGAATCAACCTAACTTCCCTTCAACAGTGGACTGGTCAAAGAAAATGTGTTACAAGGCCGGTCACGGTGGCTCACACCTGTAATCCCAGCACTTTGGGAGGCCGAGGCAGGCGGATCACGAGGTCAGGAGTTCGAGACCATCCTGGCTAACACGGTGAAACCCCGTCTCTACTAAAAATACAAAAATTAGCCGGGCATGGTGGTGGGCACACCCGTAGTCCCAGCTACTCGGGAGGCTGAGGCAGAAGAATGGCATGAACCCGGGAGGCAGAGCTTGCAGCGAGCCGAGATCACACCACTGCACTCCAGCCTGGGCGACAGAGCGAGACTCCATCTCAAAAAAAAAAAAAAAAAAAAAAAAAAAAAAAAAATGTAAACAGACACTATACAAGGACATGTAAAGACAGCAAACAAATCTACAAAAAGATTTGAAAAAATAATATGGCCAGGCACAGTGGCTCATGCCTGTAATCCCAGCAATCTGGGAAGCCCAGGCTGATGCATCAATTGAGCTCAGGAGTTCAAAAGCAGCCTGAGCAACATAGTGAGACCCTGCTTCTACAAAAAAAATACAAAAATTAGCTGAGTGTGGTGGTGCTCACCTGTAGTCCCAGCTACTCAGGAGGTTGAGGCGGAAGAATTGTTTGAGCCCAGGAGGTTGAGGCTGCAGTGAGCCCAGATTGCACCATTGCACTCCAGCCTGGGCGACAGAGTGAGACTCTGTCTCAAAAATAAAGAAATAAATAATGTGGCTTCAGTTACAAATAAGTTACATTTTTTAACCCTTTGAGTTTATGTGTCAAAAACTGTACCCCTGTACTAGACTTTCTGCTATAAACGGTATCATATCCTAGGTTTGACATTATTATTTTATAAACCAGTTTCCATTACAACTTCAATTTTCTCTTGACACAACAGTTACCTCTCCCACCCTCAGTTTTATTTAGAGTTTAAAAGTGCTTTTTCTATTTTATAAAAGTTTGGTTGTTTTTCAAATCTGAATTTTAAAAATGGATTCCAGCATATGAAACTCAATATTTTTATATCTGAGAAAATACATTTTGAGCCGGGCACGGTGGCTCATGCCTGTAATCCCAGCACTTTGGGAGGCTGAGGCAGGCGGATCCCCTGACATCAGGAGTTCGAGACCAGCCTGGCCAACATGGCGAAACCCCATCCCTACTAACAATACAAAAATTAGCTGGGCATGGTCGTACATGCCTGTAATTTCAGCTACCCAGGAGGCTGAGGCAGGAGAATTGCTTGAATCCGGGAGGCGGAGGTTGCAGTGAGCCAAGATTGCGCCACTGTACTCTGGGCGACAGAGCGAGACTGTCTCAAAAAAAAAAAAAAAAAAAGAAAATATATTTTCAGAAACTCCTAAATATAAATATGATTTTCATTTCTGTGAAGAGTATTTTTCAAATTACTGAATCCCCAAACTCTGCTTAATCTTAATGTTTATACTTGTTTTCTTATATACTTATATATTTAAAAAATATGTAAGTCCAGGCTGGGTGCAGTGGCTCACACCTGTAATCCCAGCACTTTGGGAGGCCAAGGCAGGCAGATCACTTGAGGCCAAGAGTTGGACACCAGGCCAATATGGCAAAACCCTATCTCTACTAAAAATAGAAAAATTAGCTAAGTGTGGTGGCAGGCACCTGTAATCCCAGCTACTCAGGAGGCTGAGGCAGGAGAATCACTTGAACCTGGGAGGTAGAGATTGCAGTGAGCTGAGATCGTGCCACTGAAGTCTATCCTGGGCAACAGAGTGAGACTCCGTCTCAAACGAACTATATATGTATATATACGTCCAAACTTTGCCATCAATATCTATATGTCCATGATTTGCTGTTAAGGTTTTTTGTTTTGTGTTTTTAAAGACAAGGTATCTATCACTCTGTCTCCCAGGCTGTAGTGCAATGGTGTGATTGATCATGGCTCACTGCAGCCTTGACCTCTCGCGCTCAAGCAATCATCCCGCCTAAGCCTCTAGAGTAGCTGGGACTACAGGCATGCGCCACCACACCCGGCTAATTTTGTATTTTTTGTAGAGAAAAGCTCACTGTGTTGCCCAGGCTGCTCTCAAACTCCTGGGCTCAAGTGATCCTTCTGGTCTGGCCTCCCAAAGTGCTGGGATTACAGGTGTAAGCCACTGCGCCCGGCCTGTTAAGATTTTTTGTTTCTGTTTTTTTCTGATTGCTCTCTCTCTCAAAGCAGCTCATATACATTATACATTTTGTTTCTGGTTTATTTTCATTAAACTACACACTCTATGCAGGGCCAGACAGAGATGTCTCGTTCAATGTTGTTTAAAACCTAATGAGGCCAGATAATTCAAAGCCATCAATATGATAAAATTTAAGTTACTTTGGCAAGGTCATGGATTTTCAGAATCAGCTTTATTTGCCCTATGGATCTCTGAGGAAATATAACCTCCTCAGGGTGCCCTTGTGTATCTAAAACAGAACCACATTCTTTCCCTCTTTCCCCCACATACACATTCTCTTTTTATCCTTTTACCTCCTGTTCTTTCTCTCTATGGCAATTTACCTTCATCTGACACACTATTTTTCTTGTTAATAGATTCTAGGCCTGTGTTTCTAAATTTGTTCTAATTTGTTCACCATTTAGATCCAGCTCTTCCAATAGTGCCTCTTAATTAAATGTGTTAAATCAAAATACAACAAAAGAACCCCTTAAGTGATTGGTGCTCAGAATGACTATTTAATAACTAGATTTGCCCGTGGGGCAGAAGCAACACGTTAATTGTGGGGCATCTACCAATGATTAACTTTTTTGAGGTTTTTTTTTCTAGCTCTTTCCTCCTTTAACATGGTAATTAAAGCTCACTTGCCTGAGAGTAGCCTCAATCTATCGACCTTTCGGTGAGTGAAGTTTTCGGAGAAAATAATACAATTATCAATCAGCAAAAGGGTGGGGGGTGGGGGGGAAGATTTAAGTGGTAACCTCACTGGGACATTCCTTGGCTAGATGTCGGGATTTGCCGCAGCGGTAGCAGTTGACCTGGCCTCGCCTTGCTGCAATTGATGGCCACGTGGCCAATCTCGCCGCATCGGTAACACTTGACCTGGGCGCAGTCTTTCTGAATGTGCCCAAGTTTGCCGCAAGAGTAGCATTTCTGCTCTTTCTGACGATCACAGTCACGAGCCAGATGTCCTAGTCTGCCGCAGGTATAACAGTGTTGGCGTCTCTCTCGTTTAGGATCCTTACAGTCTTTGGCGATGTGGCCGCTTCTCCCACAGTTGTAGCAGATGTTTCCGAGAAGGACACAGTTCTTAGCATTACGACCGGACTCACCACAGCAGTAACAGGTGTAAGATAGGGTGGTGGAACCACATTGAGAACCTCTGCCATGGCCTCCACCTCTTCGCCCTCCAGCTCCTCCTCTAGGGCATCCCCGAGCCCAATGGCCAGAGTGTCCACACGCGAAGAAATCCTTACTGCTCATGGCTGCGATGCGATCTTCCAATGAGCAGGCCCACCTCGGCCCCGGAGGCCCCGGCGCAACCCCGCTTTGGGCGGCTTAGAAAGAATTAGCTGTTTTCCGCTAGGTGTCTCAGTGATGTCATACAAGGTTTGCACACGGCCCCATTCACGTGTCACGGACATTCCTGACGCCCTTCCCGCCCGACTTTCCTCCTACTCAAGAAGCCAAAAGCACAATAATCTGTTAACTGAGTAGTGTTGTTTTCCGTTTTTGTTTGTTTCAACACTTGAATCATTGAGTTTGAATCCTTTCCTATTTAGAAAATTAGACTTGTAGAAGTTTTCATAATTTAAGACTTAGTCGGCCGGGTGCGGTGGCTCATGCCTGTAATCCCAGCTCTTCGGGAAGGCCAAGGCGGGAGGATCACGAGGTCAAGAGATTGAGACCATCCTGGCCAACATGTTGAAACCCCGTCTCTACTAAAAATACAAAAATTAGCCGGGCATGGTGGCGGGCTCCTGTAATCCCAGCTGAGGCAGTTGAACCAGGGAGGCAGAGGTTGCAGTGAGCCAAGATCGCGCCATTGCATTCCAACCTGGGCGACAGAGGGAAACTCTGTCTCAAAAAAAAAAAAAAAAAAAAAAAATTTGGTGTTCCAGTGGAGGTGAGGGGGACAAATTGTGTCGACTTCTATCCCATGATCTTGCTCTGTCCCCTGGGTTTCTTAATTCACTAAATAATTGGAACTCATAGTTTGAAGCATACTATTTAGAGGCATATGTGTAAACATATCTTTATATTACGAGTTATTTATTTATTTATTTTAGACAGGAGGAGTCTTGCTATGTTGCCCAGACAGGTCTCAAACTCTTGGGCTTGAGCAATCAGCCTCCTGAGTAGCTGGAACCACAATCATATGCTGGCTACTATGACTTTTTGATGTTTCAATTTTAGACATTATCTGTGTCTTTCCATTTTGGAGGATGAACATTTAGTCTTCTTTTACCACCCACCCTATGCACTTGCACAGTCCAAACTCCTCATTCCAACTATGCCTCCCTTCACTTAATATTGGTTGGGACAATATTCAATGTTTTTATAATTATAAGTATGTAAATGATACTCATGCCTGAGCCATTTGGAGAGTACTCTGATCACTTCATTACCTGCATGGTTTTTATGTTCTCTGGAGTTAGTTATTGTCATTCTTTATTTCTTTAGTTTCTCATATATTTACCTAAATACTATTTAATAGCTATATCTGTGTGTTTATCTTTATACCAGTACCACATAATCTTGATTACTGTAGCTTTGCATTATACTTTGAAATTGGGAGGAGTAAGGCCTCCAACTTTGCTCTTTTGATGTGACTATTCTGAGTTCCTTGCATTTTCATATGAATTTTAGGATCAGCTTGTCAATTTCTGCAAAAAAAGGCAAACGGGTGTTTGATATGGATTATGGAATCTGTAGATCATTTTGGAGACCATTGTTATCTTAAAAATATTGAGTCTGGCCGGGCGCGGTGGCTCACGCCTGTAATCCCAGCACTTTGGGAGGCCGAGGTGGGCAGATCATGAGGTCAGGAGTTCAAGACCAGCCTGACCAACATGGTGAAACCCTGCCACTATTAAAAATACAAAAATTGGCCAGGCATGGTGGCGCATGCCTGTAATCCCAGCTACTCAAGAGACTGAGGCAGGAGAATGGCTTGAACTTGGGAGGTGGAGGTTGCAGTGAGCCAAGATCGCGCCACTGCACTCCAGCCTGGGTGACAGAGAAAGACTCTGTCTCAAAAAAAAAAAAAAAAAAAAAATTGAATAATTAAATACATGAGCACAAGTTATTGTTTCACTTATTTAGGCTTTTATTTTCATTCTCTGATATTTTGTAGTTTTCAGTATACAAGTCTTGCACATCTTTTGTTAAATTTTTAAAGTATTTCATCATTTTTGATGTTATCTTAAATAGAATTATTTTCTTATCATTTTTCAATTGTTTATTGTTATTGTATAGAAATACAATTATTTCTGTATGTTGATCTTGTATCTTGCAACCTTGCTGAACTGATTTAATAGTTCCAGTAGTTTTTTAGTGGATTCCTTAGGATTTTCTATAGACAAGATTATGTCATCTATAAGTAAGGATAGTTTATATTCTTCCTTTCTAATCTGGATGCCTTTTATTTCATGCTCTTGCCTAATTGCCCCAGCTAGAACTTCCAGCACAATGCTGAATAGAAATAGTGAAAGCAGACATTCCTGTCTCGTTCTTTATCTCAGGAGGAAAGCTCTCAGTCTTTGACCATTAAGTATGATGTTAACCATGGTTTTTTAATTAAAAAAAAAACTACATACTTTTTTATTGGGTTAAAGAAGCTCTCTTCTATCCCTAATGTGTTGAGTGCTCTTATTATGAAGGGGTATTGAATTTATCAAATGATTTTTCTGTATCCTTGAGTTTGCCTTGCCTTTTGCATTGGCTATAACCAACAGTAGTACATTGTTGAATAGCAATTGTGAGAGTAAACATTATTGTCTTCTTTAAGATCTAAAGAGGAAAGCTTTCAGTCTTACCACCTAAGTATCATGTTAGCTGTGGGCTTTTAGTAGATGCCCTTTACCAGATTGAGAAAGCTCCCTCCTATTCCTAGTTTACTAGGTGTTTTTATCATGAAAGTGTGTTGAATTTTATCAAAGTGTGTCCACTGAGATGATCATGTTAGTTTTCTCTCCTCTATTCTGTTAATATGGTGTATTACATTGATTATTTTTCATAGGTTCATCTAACCTTACATTTCTGAGATAAATTCCACTTGGTAAAGGTATGTAAAGTAATCCTTTTTATATGTTGTTGGATTTGATTTGCTAGTATTTTGTTGAGGATTTTTATGTCCATATTGATGAGGAATATTGACCAATAGGGATTTTTTTCTTGTGACATTTTTGTCTGTTTTTTGTTTCAAGGTAATACTGACCTCATAGAATAATTTTGGAGGTCTTCCCATCTCTTCTTTTTTTGGAATAGTTTGCAAAGAATTGGTATTATTTCTCCTTTAAATGTTTGGAACATTTCATTAACGATGCCATCTTCGCCTGGGCTTTTCTTGTGGGAAGTTTAAAGATCACTAAGTCAGTTTCTTTACTTGTTATAAGTCTATTCAGATTTTATAGTTCTTCTTGAGTCAGTTTTGGCAGTTTGCATTTTTCTGGGAATTTGCTGTTTCATCATTTTTTCTAATTTATTGGCATAGCGTTGTTCATAGTATTCCTTTATACTGCTTTTATTTTTGTAATGATGAACACTCTTTCATTCCTGATTTTAGAAATTTGAGTCTTCTCTCTTTTTTCTTGGTTGGTCTAGCTAAAGGGTTTTTCGAAAAATGAACTTTTACTTTTTTGTTATTCTCTATTATTTCTATTCTATATTTCATTTATTTTCACTTTAATTTTTATTACTTTCTTTTTTCTGCTTGCTTTAAGCTTAATTTGCTTTTCTTTTTTCAGTTTCTTAAGGTGGATGGTGAGATTATTACTTTGAGATCTTTGTTTATAATGCAGCTGATTATAACTGTAAATTTCCCTCTAAGCATTGCTGTAGCTGCATTCCATAAATTTTGGTATGATATATTTTCTTTTTCATTTATCTCAAAGTATTTTCTAATTATTTTTATGATTGCTTCTTTGACCCTTTGGTTATTTAGGAATATAATGTTTAATTTCCACATATATGTGACTTTTCAAAATTTTCTTCTCATATTTATTTGTAATTTCATTCTGTTGGCATTGCAGAACATATAATTCCAATCACTTTACATTTGTTGAGGCTAGCATGCAGTCTGTCCTGGAAAATGTTTCATGAGTGCTTGAGAAGAATGTTTATTATGCTGCTATTGGTTGGATCATTCTATAGAGGTCAATCATTGCTGATTTTCCATCTACTTGTAGTATCCATTATTGAGAGTGAATTATTCAAGTATCCAACTCTTATTGTTGAATTACCCATTTGTCTATTCAATTTTGAAAGTTTTTCCCATGTATTTTGGGACTTTGTTTTTAGGTGCATACATATTTATGATCATTATAGTTTCTGGATGAATTGATCCTGTTATTATCATAAAATGCTTTAACTTGTTAAATATTTCTCAGAGGTGTCACATTTCTCTCCATCTCACTACTATACTAAGCAGGACACCATCACCTCTTGGCTAAGTGTTTCTTCTAAAATGTAAAGATGATCACACCACTCTCATGTTTAAAATCTGTATTCCCAATAATAACTAGATTAACTCTGTTAGGCCTGAGAGAAGATGAAACTTTCCCAAGATCAAATTAAGACTGTGAAGAAGGACTAGATCCCAGGTTTACCAACTCCCAGTTGAATATTCCCTTTACTATATCGTATCTACTATGGAGCTGGGTACTCTTGATTAGCCCACTGAACCTTTATTTAATTCCCCTTCATGTTTAAGAAGTTGTAAATTCAAAGTGTTCACTTTTCACACACGCTTGCAGCTATGGGCCTGGAGGTAAACTAGGTTACATCAATTAGAATCAACTTCTCAGCATTTGAAAAGCATATATGAAGTGAAAGCCATCTTCAAGCCACATTTTGCCTGTTTTTGCTGGCAAGTGAGTTGTGCAGACTTACCACTCAAATGTAATAGCATTTTAGCATTAATTCTCCAGCTTCCTATGCCAATAATCAGTTATAGTGGCAGCAGCAGCAGTGTTTTTTGTTCGTTTGTTTTTTGTTTTTCCTTTTGTCTTTCAATTCCCCAGATCACAGCTCTCTGAGTTCCTGAATTCATGAATCTGGTTGTAGCCTCAAAGGTCCTAATAACTCTGGTTGGTCAGCTTTATATTCTTCTGGGAGTCATTCCTTGAGACTCTCCCTAGAAAGTGTTCTTCCTTTCCTTACAAGTAACTTGTAAGCATCCAATTTCTTATATTAAGTTCCTTCATCTAAAATCCAGGAGGGTTTTTTGCTCCTTGCACTGAACCCTGATTAATTCAAACATCTCCAAAATTATAATAACTTCCTTAACAACATACCAGTTCTCTTAAATAACACTGTTTATTTTATAACCAGATATTTTTATTGTTTATACAGAAGAGTAGATATATTCTTAGCCCTAGTATATCTCTTTTTTTTTTCCCAACTGAATTTTGTTGTAAGAGGTAAATTTCTGCAGAATTTATCAGGGAGTTAGTAACAAGATCAATTCTCTTTCTTGGTCTCTTAGCCATCTTATTCACATATTCAAACTAATTAACCTTTAGCAATGAAATCAAGGCCTTTGTTAAGTTTGTTATTGTACCATCTTGCCAGCTTCTTCACTTCCCGTTACCTTCTTTTTCATTTTGTTTTGCTTTGCTTTTTGAGACAAGGTCTCACTGTGTCACCCAGGCTGGAGTGCAGTGGTGCAATCAGGGTTCACTGCAGTCTTGACCTCTCGGGCTCAAGTGATCCTCCCACCTCAGCCTCCCAAGTAGCTGAGACTACAGGCATGTGCCACCGTGCCTGGCTACTTTTTTTTTTTTTTTTTTTTAGACAGAGTCTTGCTCTGTCACCCAGGCTGGAGTGCAGTGGCTCAATCTTGGCTCACTGCAACCTCCGCCTCCCGGGTTCAAGTGATTCTCCTGCCTCAGCATCCCGAGTAGCTGGGATTAAAGATGTGCACCGCCACGCCCAGCTAATTTTTTGTATTTTTAGTAGAGATGGGATTTCACCATGTTGGCCAGGCTGGTCTTGAACTCTTAACCTTAGGTGATCTGCCCGCCTGGACCTCCCAAAGTGCTGGGATTAGAGGCATGAACCATCTCGCCCAGCCTACTTTTTGTATTTTTTGTAGAGATAAGGTTTTGCCATGTTGGCTACGCTGGTCTTGAACTCCTGGCCTCAAGTGATCCTCCTGCCTTGGCCTCCCAGAGTGCTGGGATTATAGGCATGAGCCACCATGCCCAGGTAACCTTTTTTTTCAAAGTCACAAAGAACACACCAGTTCTTCTTGTGCCAGAGGAGATTAGTACTATCATGAAAAATTAATGGACTCTAGGAAGACAAAAGGTACTTCTTGTTTTCCAAGTTGTTTTACATTTTTGTAATGGTAGCTTTTGGAAAGTTAAGGCCAGTCCCATGTCAGATTTAGTCAACATACAATTTGGCAAGGTAAAGCTGAATTCAAGGGACTGAGAGAGTCTTCTTGACTACCTTTCCTTCCTGTGCCACAACCTCAATTGAGAGTATTCATAGGTTTCAGGAAATCTGTATTAGTCATGGTTCTTCAGAGAAAGAGAACACCGTGTGTGTGTGTGTGTGCATGTGTGTGCGTGCACACACACACACATGCATGCATGTGCGTAAAGAGAAAGAGAGAGAGAGATTTTAAAGAATTAGTTCACATGACTATAGAGGTTGGCAAGTCCAAAATCTGCAAGGTGGGCTGGCAGCCTGGAGCTCCAGGAAAGAGCTGATACCGTAGTTCAAGCCCAAAGGCCATCAGACTGGGAACCTAGAGAAGAGCCAATGTTGCAGTTCAAAGGCCATCTGTTGGCAGAATTCCTTCTTACCCAGAATAGGTCAGTCTTTTGTTCTATTCAAGTCTTCAACTGATTGATGAGGCCGACCCACATTATGGAGGGCAATGCTTTATTCGAAATCCATTAATTTAAATGTTAATTTCATCCAAAAGCACCCCTCACAGAAACATCTAGAATTATGTTTCACCAAATATCTGGGCATCGTGGCCCAGCCAAGTTGACATATAAAATTAATCATCACATCCTCTAGAAGAAGCCCAGTCTCCTAAGAAATGTATAGGATGGGGGAAAAGAGAAAAATAAAGTCTCAGATGTTAGCTTAAAATGAGTGGATACAACAGAGGTTCCCAAATTTCTTCCTTACCACTCCTTAGGAACGGCTTGTGAACTGGGAAGTTTAGACAAATAGGTAGGCCTAGGACTCTAAGTATTTTACAGGGTTCAAGATTTACCAGCTGTGTCTCTTTTTCTTTTTTTCTTCAAGATGGAGTCTTGCTCTGTCACCCAGGCTGGAGTGCAGTGGCTCGATCTTGGCTCACTGCAACCTCTGCCTCCTGAGTTCAAGCAATTCTCCTGCCTCAGCTTCCCGCATAGCTGGGATTACAGGCACCTGCCACCATACCCGGCTAATTTTTGTATTTTTAGTAGAGATGAGGTTTCACTGTGTTGCCAGGCTGGTCTCAAACTCCTGACCTCGTGATCTGCCTGTCTCGGCCTCCCAAAGTGCTGGGATTACAGGCGTGAGCCACCGCACCCAGCCCGTGCCTTTTTCCTGAATTTCTCTTCTTAAGGGGCCATGGTACATTATGGAAGTTTTTCAAAATAAAGAGACGTGGAAAGAGTAAGTAACTCAATCTGTAAGAATTATGTGCTGATTTCAATTTTATAATACTTTCAAAAAATGCAATGTTGTCCATTTATTAAAAATAGTGAAGATAATTAATAATTAGGGGCATGGAAAAGCAGTGAAAACATCACAATATTGTATCTATAAAATGTTGATGTTTGTCTGTGCCATTGGTAAATAGTGTTGGTGGGGGAAAAGTTGAGTCTCTTATGCATTGAACCTTTGGGGTAATGTGTAGTGATTTCCATATGGCTGAGCCTAGGACCAAGCTCCTTGCCTGAGATGAAGGTAGAAGTAGAAGTTCCTTGGAAGAAACAGAACTAAATCTGTTTGCTGATGAATATTCATCTGTGCATGGTAAAAACACAGCCTCAAACACAAATATAGTGTCATAAAAAATGTTAACGTTAGGCCAGGTGCAAGGGCTCCCACCTGTAATCCCAGCATTTTGGGAGGCCGAGGCGGGCGGATCACGAGGTCAGGAGTTCGAGACCAGCCTGACGAACATGGTGAAACCCCATCTCTACTAAGAATACAAAAATTAGCCGGGCGTGGTGGCGGGCGCCTGTAATCCCAGCTACTCAGGAGGCTAAGACAGGAGAATCGCTTGAACCTGGGAGGCAGAGATTGCAGTGAGCCGAGATCGTGCCATTGCACTCCAGCCTGGGCCACAGAGCAAGACTGTCTCAAAAAAAAAAAAAAGTTAATGTTAAAACATTATATATACATTTTTTCTTTTTCTTTCTTTCCTTTTTTTTTTTTTTTGAGATGGAGTTTCACTCTATCACCCAGGCTGGAGGGCAGTGGCATGATCTCGGCTTACTATAACCTCTGCCTCCCAGGTTCAAGCGAGTCAGCTGCCTCAGCCTCCCGAGTAGCTGGGATTACAGGTGCCCGCCACCACGCCCAGCTAATTTTTGCATGTTTAGTAGAGACGGGGTTTCACCATGTTGGCCAGGCTGGTCTTGAACTCCTGACCTTAACTGATCTGCCTGCCTTGGCTTCCCAAAGTACTGGGATTACAGGTGCGAGCCACTGTGCTTGGCCCCCACCTCTTTTTTTTTTTTTTTTTAAATAGAGACAGGGTATTGCTATGTTGCCAAGGCTGGTTTCGAACTTGTGGTCTCAGGCAATCTTCCTGCATTGGCCTCCCAAAGTGCTGGGATTACAGGCATGAGCCACCACGCCCAGCCAAAACATTATATATTTGAACAAAAATCATAAGAGAACACAAAGATGCTTGCTATGGTTTGAATATGTCTCTCAAAGTTCATATGTTGGAAATTTGATGCCCCATGTGGTGGTGTTGGGAGGTGAGGCTTAAAGGGAGGTGTTTGAGTCATGGGGGCACCACTCTTATGAATAGCTTAATGCTATTATTGAGGGAGTGGGTTTGTTATTTCAGTAGTGGGTTCCTTATTAAAGGATGAGTTCTGGCCCCCTCTTGCGCGCACTCTCTCTTTCTCTATCTCTTTGCCCTTCCACCATGGGATGATGTAGCAGGAAAGCCACTGTCAGATGCCAGCTCCTCAGTCTTGGACTTCCCATTCTCCAGAACTGTGAGGAAATAAATTTCTGTTCTTTATAAATTGCCGAGTCTGCAGTATTTTGTTACAGTGGTACATAATGGACTAAGACAATACTAATGGGTATGAAGTTTCTTTTTGGGGTGATGAAAATATTCTAAAATTGATTGTAGTGGTGGCTGCATAATTCTGTGAATATACTAAAATCCATTGCATTGTACACTTTAAGTTGGTTAACTGTATGATATGTAAATTATATATTAATAAAACCATTAAAACAGAAAAATAACAGAGATAAGAGCATTTGTTAAAATAGTGTTGTAGAATTTGGGGTAAAATTTCTTATATTTTAACTTTTGTGTAATAATAAATGATTATTTTAATTTAGAAGAGGTTCTTTGTACCACTGAGATTTCGGCATTTCTTTTTTATTTAATGCATGCCTATTTCTCTTTTTTCTTCTTCATATGCACATTGTTGTATAATTTTTTGGGCGTATTATATAACAAATGCAAACCCATTTTTCTCTGAATAATGTTGATATAACATTCTTAAGTTAATTTGAGAGGATGGTGATGTATAAGTTTATGAGTTTTAGGATTTATGAATTTGCGGGTCTCAGTTTTTGGTATTTCCAAACTGGCTCTTTTAGAAAGCAATAAGAACCAGACACCAAAGTAAAACATAATAAAGAGAAACAAAATATTATTTTGTATTCTTTCTAGTTCACACCCAAAGAGGGATCTATTTCAGAGCCTCTTAAGTAAATAATGCCATTTCCCTCAAAATTAATATTTGAGTTCTTACAGAAGACAAGAACAGGCCTTGTAGTAAGCAGTGAAGGACATTGAATCTCATTTTTAATGTCCAGACAATACCAGGGTTGTGAATAGAAAGAAAAGAGCTTTCCATGTTGGTGGTCTACTGCCTCTTACCCCCAAATTGATTGAACACTTTTGCAGTTTTTGTTCTGGTTCCCTGTCTCTGGATCTTCCCTGTGGGTCATCATCAAAAAGGTGTTCTCTTTGCCCAAGACAGGCTGGTTGAGCTCACCCTGAGAGCTGCTTTGGAGAGGATGTGTGGAAATATTTTTTTTCTTTTTTTGAGATGGGGTCTCACTCTGTTGCCCAGGCTGGCAACATCATAGCTGGCACAATCATAGCTCACTGTAGCCTCGACTTCCTGGGCTCGAGTGATTCTTCCACCTCAGCCTTCTGAATAGCTGGGAGTACAGGTGCGCACCACCACGCCCGGCTAATTTTTGTATTTATTTGTAGAGACGGGGTTTCGCCATGTCACCCGAGCTGGTCTCGAACTCCTGAACTCAAGGGTTCCGTCCACCTCGGCCTCCCAAAGTGCTGGGATTACAGGTGTGAGCCACCGCGCCCGGGCTACAATTATTTAAAAAAAAATTTTTGCGGTAATTTTTACAAATTTCAACATCAGGCATAGGAGGAGAGGAGTAAGAGGCCCAAGAGGGCTGCAGACTGGCAGGGAAAGTGAAGAATTGAAGGGTAGACCACTAACGATAGCAGAGGAAATAAAGGTAGATGGTGGGCTAAGAATAATGGGAGAGGGATTGACGAAAGAAGTATGGGCTGAGGGAGGGATGATGGTGGAGGCCAGTGTGACCGAGGGGAGGGGAAAGGTGGAAGAAGCAGAGTGGGATAGCGTCCTGGGAAAGAAGTGAAGGAGGTCGGTGGACCGCTAAGGGTTAGACTCCTAGAGGCTGGAGAGCGGCGCGTGGGGGAGGCGGGGCGCGGAGGGGGGGTTAAGGGGCGTTAGCAGCGCATGCGCTGGAAGCACACTGCGGCGATTCTGGAGAGGTTGTCCTTTTCTGGCATCAGCGTTGCGGCTCGAGGCAAAGCTGGTCCTGTGCCTGCTGTCCATTGCCGCTAAGGCCTGCTGCTGCCATTCAGGCGTGTCTCTCTCTCTCTCTCTCTTTCATGCCGCTCTCTCCACCCCATCTTGGGACGGCCAGCTCTAAGAATTCCTGCTACGACACTGAATTCAACCAGGAGGTAAAGGAACGATGTAGGGGAAGAACAGAACATGGAGGGCGGCGGAGGGAACTTGGGCCAGGAAGATCCTTAATTTGTGCATTTTTCCAGTTCACGGGAGGAAAAAATGGAATACGTTACAGGCCCCAGTTTTCCAAAAGGATGTTGAGCATTTGCTTCCCATTGTGAAAGGAATGCGGGTTCCTTTCCTCTAACTAGAGTCAAGGCACCTGAGCATCGGTGTTTTCCATAATGTTCCCTGTTTAAAACATTTGTGGTTCGTCATTTGTAGCAGATGTATTTAAAGGGCGAGGCCTTAGGATTATGTTCATCCGATGGTTTGTGAAAGTTTTCCTTGCCTTTGTTCAGGTTGACCGGTCTTATGTGAATCCTGGGGTACTCTAGCCCCCTCCCTTGGAGTTGGGACCGATTCCATCTAGATCTGGGATTCACTCTGATCACCTGCAACGCCTTCTTTCCCCGATTCAACTTCCCTAGTTTATCGCATCTACTCGCATTAGGGAAGGCTGGTAATGGCTCTCCTTGGGCACTGGGGCAGAATTGTGGCGAGAAACACGTCCAGATAGCATCAGGCATGCATACTGTATACAAATGGGAGCAAGAAGAGAGAGGACTATCGCGGTGCGCAGGGTATTTGAGAGGCTGGATGAGGAGGCGCGGCGCCGAGGGGCGGCGCTCAAGCTTACAGTATTTGAGAAGACCTGAGTTAAGGGGACGGGCTCCAGTGGGGCGGGGGTGGGGAGAGGGAGGCACGCATGCGCAAGGCTTGAATGGCGTCGGGGTTGGAGGGTTGGAAGGTCGGGAAGTGAAGGACTCGCAGGCATATTTAACAACGCAAAGTTGCTAGGAGTTGGTACCAGCGTTTGGGAGGTAGAGGTGGCGCTCATGCATATTTGAGACAACATCTGGATGGTTGGGGAGAACGGTAAGGAGGAAGCGGCGCGCATGCGTATTTCAGACGGAGTGCCGGGGAGGGGAGGCGCTCAGCATTCGGGTAATTAAGGTTGCAAAATGGCGAGGGGGGAGGTAAGCTGTCTTTGCTTGGCCATCTTGGGCTAGCAGGCCTTGCAGAGAACTACCTTTTTAGCTGAGTGAAGGGATCAACCTGAGTTGGAGTTCTCCTATGCTGTGGCCAGATCCACTAGAAATTAACCCAGAATCTTA
This sequence comes from Homo sapiens, assembly GCF_000001405.40. Taxonomy (NCBI): domain Eukaryota; kingdom Metazoa; phylum Chordata; class Mammalia; order Primates; family Hominidae; genus Homo; species Homo sapiens. The sequence continues at coordinate 74,292,187 of NC_000023.11, read as the reverse complement.
GCCTCTCAGTGGCCTATCGGTAAGTGGGTACAAAAATGAGGAGGCGATGATGACTCTGCAAAAGGTTGCGGCAGCTGGCGGTGCGTAGGAAATGCGTAAAAAGGGAGCACTTGGAGACAGGCCACATTTGGGCAGTACGCATTCGGAGGGCTCTCTGGCTTTCCGATCTTGGGTCGCTGTACTTGGCTCTGAATACAGTCACCCCATCAGAGTAGCAAAACACTGTGGTTGTAGTGTGAGAATCCAATGTTAATGTTGGCCGAAAGCTCTTGATTTTCTTCCCTGAGAACATAGGCGTGAGGATTTGGATGTGTTTCCAAATGCTTGTTACTCTTTGCCGTAAACCTGGAATTTGGACCTATGGCTGCCTGGGACTCATACTGTCGTGGAGAAAGATTGAAAAGTAGTTAATGGCAGTGGTGGTATGAAGGTAACCTGGGCTTTCACCCTTTCCTTTATTTTTTCTTCTGTAGAACTTTCAGCACGGTTTTGTCAAGGGAGAAGATTAGAGTTTCTATTTTAAAGGCAGATGTACTGTCATGACTCTCTGAAGACTTGCTGTTAATCGCTAAAACTAGTAAGTTAGCACTTAGATACAGACATAGTTAGAAGGAGCACAGGATTAAAAACTGAAAAAAACATCTTTTCCCAGTAATCCTAGCTATTATTTCATGGTGGTCCTTTTCCTTCTCTGGGCCTATTTCTCTCTCTCGCTCATTTATTTATTTACTTTTAGACAGAGTCTTGCTCCGTCGCCCAGGCTGGAGTGCGGTGGCGCGATCTCAATTCACTACAACCTCCGCCTCCCGGGTTCAAGCGATTCTGATATCTCAGCCTCCCAAGTAGTAGCTGGGGTTACAGGTGCGCGCACGCCCGGCTAATTTTTGTGTTTTTAGTAGAGACGGGGTTTTGCCATGTTGGCCAGGCTGGTCTCGAACTCCCGGCCTCATGTGATCCGCCCGCCTTGGCCTCCCAAAGTGCTGGGATTACAAGCGTGAGCCACCACGCCCGGCTGCTGGGCCTATTTCTCTATCTGTAATAATGATTAAACGTCAATAGCACTTACTACGTTCGAGGTTCTGGTCTGCGTGCTTTTACATAGGCCGTAACTCATTTGGTACTCTCGACAATCTTACGAAACACAGTACTGTTATTAAGTTTATACAAATGAGAAATTTGAGGGACACGAGACTAATTTGTTCAAGGCTTTACAGCCAGTTGAATGGCTGAGACTGGGTTTTTATCCAGGTGGGATGGCTCCAGAAGCATGTGCTTTTAAGCATTATGCTTTATTCCCTAAAAAGAGGGGGCGAATTTAAAGGAACCTTCTTTTATGATTTCAAAATTTGTTTGTAACTAACCAAAACCATTTGAGAAAGAAGACCTGTTTTCTGTTTCTGACTGTGCAGACTACAGGGTTACATACCTAGGAGACAAAAGATAAAGAATTGTTGATTTGGTGCCTAGTGGGGTGGCTATCCTTAACTACCCTTGTTTTCTGTGCTTTTTGTTCTGCAGAGGGTCTAAAATGGCCGACTGCGGCAGGCTGGACACACCCTTCTTGTTTTGCCTGATTTTCTGTCTGATCTAATGCTTTGAGACATCTAACCAGTCATTTACTGCAGTAGTTTTTTTTTTAACCCATTATTAGTATTTCGTGTTGATCTAAATATACAATAGTGATGGAAAGGTTATTGTCTTTTTTCTTGTAATAAAAGACTGAAAATACATTTGTTTTATTTTTATTATTTGCTTAGGATACATTCGTGGAAGTGGAGTTAGTACATCAAAGGGTATGAACATTTTAAACTCTCAGTATCTATTGCCAAATTTCTTCCTAAAAAGGTTGTATCAATTTTTACTCATACAAGCGCTGAATGTTGTTGTTTTTTAATTTTTAATGGATAAAAACCAGTATTAATTTTTCGTTTGCCTATTAGTTTGGATTTTCTTCCTCCATATATATCTCAGCAGTTTTCTTTCATGTAATGATAGTTCATATCTTATGTTGATTTATGCGTTGAAGTTTTAGTTTACTGTTTATTATTATCTGTTTGTGTTCTGTAAATAAAGATTAGTATTCAGACTTTTGTAATGTTATAAATACCTACTCCATGTTATTGTTTGCCTCTTAATTTTTGTCTTTAAATTTTTGGCTAGTAGAGATTTGAAATTATTTGACAAATTTATCTTCTATTTTGTGATTTTTATTCTATTGTTTAAATTTGAATAGCTCCCTCAGTCTAGAAATTTGGTAAATATTGTAACTTTGCCTGAGGGTAACTATCAAGCATGGGAGAAAAAACATCCATGATTTTACCACCCAGAGATAACTATTGTTAATACATTTATTCACTTCATTCTCTGCATTTTTCTTTGCAGTTGATAATATATGTGTACTATTTTATATTGTGTTTTGTTTTTAACATTATAACATGCGCATGTCCATGTTAAACATTCTTTGTAATTGTCATTGTTTCATGATGTTCTGTTGTATGGAAGTATTTTACAGATTTTCAGTATTTTAAATTATGTAATGAATATCTTTTCATTTGGTTTTTATTATTTATTTTGGGTTGTTTATCGAAGAGACTTCTAGAATTAGTTATTTGTCAAAAGATTTGAACATTATAAAGAATTGGCATATTTACTTTTCAAAAAATTAATGTCAGTTTTTGTACCCAGTCATTTAGGTACTTATAAAAAATGTTTTTGCTTTTTTTTTTTTTGCTGACTCCATATGTAAATGAATGAATGATATCTCTGTGGGGTTTTTTTGTTTTTGTTTTTTTCTGAGACAGGCTCTCCCCCTGTCGCCTAGGCTGGAGTACAGTGGCGTGATCATGGCTCACTGAAGCCTCAACTTCCAGGGCTCCAGAGATCCTCCTACCTCAGCCTCCTGAGTAGCGGGAGTACAGGTGTGTGCCACCATGTCCAGCTAATTTTTAAATTTTTTTGTAGAGATGGAGTTTTGCCATGTTGCTCAGGCTTGTCTTGAACTCCTGGGCTCAAGTGATTTTCCCACCCCGGCTTCCCAAAATGCTGGGATTACAGGGGTGAGCCACCATACCTGGCCGATATCTTTGTTTTGTGATACAGTTCTCTGATTATTAGTGAGGCTGGACTTTTAGATCTTAATTACTAGCTCTTATTTCCTTTTGTGAATTATTCAATTTGTGCCTGAATGTTATTTGTAAGTTGCAAATGTCGTTTGTTGCAGATATGCTCCCAGTAATATTTGTTGCCATTGAGTCTGAAGAAATGTTTGCAATTCCAAATATAACTGCTGTGTGGATACATGTCTGGTTCTTGGTAGCCATTTTGAGATAACATTTGTCTGACCTCTATCTTATTTTTGTTTTTATTTTTAGAGTGGAGGTCTTGCCCAGGCTGGTCTCGAACTCCTGGGCTCAAGCAATCTTTCTGCCTCCGCCTCCCAAAGTGCTGGGATTACAGGCATAAGCCACCTTACCCAGCCTTGTCTGACCTTTAAACAGAAATCCATTTCTTTTTATCTAAAAGGAAAGCACTTTTGAGTACTGTACAACAGTGGTGCTTCCTGGCTCTGGGCATGGGGAGAAGACAGGGCAACATTTTGTCCCTAATGAGAAACTAATTTAGACAAGAAACAAAACAGCGGTCCCTTCTCCCCCATCCATTCAGGGACTGGTCTTATTTTAAATATTTCTGAGTGGTCTGAGGGAGGATATGGGCAATATTGAAGTGTCCACATTTATACATACTGTTAAATGCTTTGGGGATGTGAAATGCTAATAGGAACACGCTAGCATGTGAGAAGGCACCAGGAGTGGGCTAATTGGCAGAAAGGAACAGTGTATAGGCAAGAGCAGTGAAATAACTTTAGGGGAAAATAGTATGTTAAGCTTATTAAATAACAGCCTCATAGAGACATTGGGTCCCAAAACAGTGATCTCAGTATAACTGTCAACAACTTGCTGATGTTATCAGCCCTATTTGCTGGTCAGAGACAAAAAAGCCAGTAAAAACCTAGGTATTATTAAGAAAGGTATGAGGCACAGAAAAATGCCATCTTATCTTTGTATAAAACCATCTGAACCAAATAACTATTACAGTAATAATCTTGCCTCAAGGAGTCTGTTACTATCACTCACATGATTTTGAAAAGGGAGTGGGCAGAGTGTGTTATCTCTCTGTTTCATTTTTCTTGTTTATAATACATAGGTGAATTAGATATTCTCAAAGGTCTTGGAGGGGTCTAATTCTGGTTTCCTGAAACTGAATGTTATTTCTAGTTTAGAGAATCTGTTTAATTATGTTTATTAAATAAACTTTTCTAACTTATTCCTACTCTGATCTGTATATTATCTATTTTGTATTTAATAACATTCTAACTTTTTTTTTCCAGTGAAGGATGAGGATTATTGGATTTAGAAGTGCCAAATGAGCTATTACTTACTGCTTTTTGCTATCCGGTTACACTGGGTTAATCCAGTTAGTTGTAAGCTCCCATTTTTCAGCATTTTGCTAGCTGTAGATATTAAACCAGGCTCATGTGGGTAGTAGGGTGGGGAGGTTAAGAGGAGTATAAGCAAAAAGGAAAAAAAAAAGCTCATATTTTAGAGGAGGGGATTGAGAAGTTCCTTTATTGGAAGTCTGTGCATGGAAGTCCCATTTTACATCATGCCAGTGTCTAGTTCCCAATTCCGTCTATGGCCACGGGTTAGGGAAAGCCTGAATATTTGAAATAACCGAAAAGCATTTAACCTTTGATTTCTATAATTTGTTCCTCACCTCTCTTGATGTTACAGCCAGCAGCAGCCTGGAGCAGCACCCCCTGGGAAGAAATTTTACATCGGCCATTATAATACAACCTGATAAGTGTTATAGCACTTATCAGATTGTATTGTAATTGTCTGTGTATATGCCTGTCTCTCTTCCTGTTATCAGTTAGACTGTGAGCTCCTTGAGGGCAAGGAAGGTGTCTTCATCTCCAGAGCCCAGCCTGGCACATTAGTAGGCCTCAGTAAATGTTTATTAGATGAATAAATGAATGACTCATCAGCAAACATTTATTGTGTGCCTGCTAAAGTGAGCTCCACAGGCTCTGGATTGTCAGCTGTTTCTTCAAAAAGCATGTGGTCAGAAATTTGATATTTCTGTATATATCTTCCTAAGAGTTTCTCATGAGACAATGCCATTTTTGTGTTTGGATTTCAGTCCTTGATATTTACAGATGTTGCAACTGTTGCTATTGCTGACACTTGCTTTCTTGGTGGGACTTGAGTGATAACTGTTAGATTGGGGCCTCATCCTCAGGGCCCAGGTAATCATCCAAATAGTATTCTTAGATAGGACTTTGCATTTTTCTTTCTTTTTTTTTTTTTTTTAAGGGACAGGTTCTCACTCTGTTGCCCAGGCTGGAGTGCAATGGTGCGAACACGGGTCACTGCAGCCTCGAACTCCTAGGCTCAGGTGATCTTCCACCTCAGCATTCTGAGTTAGGACTATAGGTGTGTGCCACCACCCCTGGCTAATGTTTGTATTTTTCGTAGAGAAGGGGTCTCGTTATGGTGCCCAGGCTGTTCTTGAACTCCTGGACTCAAGCGATCTACCTCCCTCAGCCTCCCAGAGTGCTGGGATTACAGGTGTGAGCCACTGCACCCAACCAGACTCCATATTCTAAACCAAGGGTGGGCAAACTTTATTGCCCATGGGCTACCTGTTTTTGTAAATACCATTCTATATTGGAACACAGCCATGTTCATTCATCGATGTTTTACCTGGGGCCGCTTTTGCGGCCCAGTGGCACAATTAAGTAGCTATTAGGTTGGTGCAAAAGTAGTTGCTGTTTTTGCCATTAAATATATTGGAGACATTGTGGCCCACAAAGCCTTTGTAGAAAAAGATCTGTGCCCACTCTGGATCATCACTCGACAGTGATGGTTTCATTTCTCATTCCATTCACCAGACCAGAAATTCATATTTATTTACTTCATTTGTCATTGCTTGTGACAAGTCTTTTTCCTCTTTTACAGATAAGCCAGCTAAGACATGTTTTAAAGTAGAAGATTATAAGACCTCCCCCAGGGTCCTGCAGTCAGTCAGTTATACCCTGCCCTTCAACATCAAGCTTTGAACCTCTACTCTAGAAATACCTTTTATTATATTCAAACTTGAAGCACGTGGACATAGCATGCTTTGGTGCCTTCGTCCTTGCCCCCCTCCTTCCTACACAGTTCTTTGCAATGAGAATATGGGAAATAAGGACTTAATGTGAGATAAGGCAGAAAGGTAAGCTGAGGCAAATGTTTAGAGGGTCCCTAACACTAATTTTTAAATGAAGAAGTGGGGTGTCTGAAATACTCATTTATTTAGATGTATACAGATAGTGAGCCTAGACTTCCAAGAGCTTAGAGCCCCTCCCCTTGTGCCTCCCCAACTTTACATGTACTATCTTGGTAACCTGCCTATGAATACATGTTGATTCATTTCACTTCATTAAAAAGTCGGAGAGCTCAAAGTCATATTTGAGAAAGCTAAATCTAAAACAAAATGGAGGAAACACTGAATAGGTTCATCTCGTTGGATAGGATCATCCTAGGAATAAAATATAATAGAAGGAAAGGTCTTACAGCCATATTTTTAAAGCTGCTTGCTGGATTTTTCCCAAAATTGTATTGTGAAAGTTGTCAAACATACATACAGAAAAGTTGAAAGAATTGTACGGTGAAAAGCCATGTACCCAACACCTAGATTTTATAATTAACATTTAACTATACAGTCATGTGTTGCTTAAAGACAGGATATGTTCTGAGTAATGGATCATTAAGTCATTTTGTTGTTGTGTGAACATCATAGGGGAGTGTACTTATACAAACCTAGATGGTATAGCTTACTACACACCTAGGCTATATGGTATAGCCTATTCCTCCTAGGCTACAAACCTGTACAGCATGTTGCTGTATTGAATACTGTAGGCATTTGGAATACAGTGGTAAGTATTTGTATATCCAAACATATCTAACATAGAAAAGGTACAGTAAAAACGTGGTGTTATTATCTTATGGGACCACCATTGTATATGCGCCTGTGACTGAAATGTTACTATAAGATTCAGGACTGTTTGTGTTATCACAGTAACTCATCTTTGTTGAATAGGTTTTAAAAATCTGTCTGTCTTCTGTGTTAATGTCATCTGTATCTGACCCATCATGGTGCTGAAAAAGCTTCTTTTCATTCTTATTTTTGTCTTCTAAGTCAGCATGAATACCAGCACAGCCCAACTATGTGTAAGCAGATCTGTGCAGGAATGAGAGTCCCAGGGAGAGAATCCACGTTGTTTCTGAAAGAAAATGGCTATAGCTCACTGTTGTTTACTGGAAATAGTAGGGGGAAGGAAAGATGGAAGTCCAGGTCCAGTGTCATATACTGCCCTGCACCTTACTCACTTCTCTGCCTTTAGGGTAGGTGGTTTTCTGAGCAGCTTCTGCTTGGTTCTCTCCTTTAAGGCTTGCTAAAGGAGAAACAACAATGTCATATTGAAATGCCAATGAGGCAATATTTAGCATTAGAATAACTTTGGAATTCTAGCAAATGGAATTTTAATTTGGGCTACTGTCTAATAGTATTCTTTGAGCCTTTTCTGTTAGCAACAGCTGCAGTTTCAATTAGGAAGCACCATGAAATTTTGTTTATCTTTATCCATGGACATGATAATGGTAAATGTTACCTGTTTGTGTCTCTCTCCTTTGATTTAAACTCAAGGGTAGAGATGTGTTTTACTGATCTTTGCAAATCTCTTACACTGTAAGATTTGTATTCATTTATAGGGATATACCCCCAAATATATGTTTAACATTATTTAAAAAAAGATTTAGATATGGGCATATTCACGGTGTTCATAACAGTAAATAATGGAAAAACTTACCTAGTCATGAATAGGAACTTGGTTAAATACATTTTGGTGTATTCATGTAATGGGACAGCATAGCCATTAAAAATAAAAATAGTCTTGAAGATAAATATTTGACTTGGAAAGAAGTATACAGTATATTAATTGAAAAAGGGCTAAAGGGCAATAGTATAGTTTCATCTAATCATTGTAAAATAAGAATTCATGTTTGTGTATGTACATGGAAGTTGTTGGATGAACATACCCCAAGTGTTAAACTTTTCTGGGATTCTGGCTGATTTTTTTTTTTGAGACGGAGTCTTGCTCTGTCGCCAGGCTGGAGTGCAGTGGCGTGATCTCGGCTCACTGCAACCTCCGACTCCCTGGTTCAAGCAATTCTCTTGCTTCAGCCTCCCGAGTGGGATTACAGGCATGCGCCACCACGCCCAGCTAATTTTTGTATTTTTATTAGAGACGGGGTTTCACCATGTTGGCCAGGATGGTCTCGATCTCCTGACCTTGTGATCCGCCCGCTTCGGCCTCCCAAAGTGCTGGGATTACAGGCCTGAGCCACCGCGCCTGGACTCTGGCTGATTTTTACATTCTTTGCCTAATATAGTTCTGGAATTTTGTTTTTTTTTTTGCAGTGTTCATCTATGACTATCAAAGTTAGAGGCACATTGAAACTATTTCCATTTTGAAATTGTTGACCTGAACAGAAGTGGAATAAATGGGGGTGGTGAGGGGTTCTGGAAACTGGAGAAATTTAGTTTGGAAAAGAACTGGGTGGGGTGGGGGGAAGGGAATGGTGGAAATAAGATCACTGCCTTCAGAGGAAGGCACTAACTACCACCTACCCCTCTATTCCTGGCTCCTTAGTGCAAGCATTTTCTGGATCAGTGTTTACACTTCTCATTTATTTCACAGTTAGGCCCTCTACACATTCCTTTTCTGCCCTTGTCCCTCTGGGCTTTAAAGCTACAATAATTGCTAGTGGCAGCAGCTGCTTATGAATATGCAAGTCTTGCTCTAGTAAATGGTGGCCTTAGTTGCTCCAATAAAGAGATGGCTCAAACCTATCAAGGCTCCTGCTTCCCCTCTCCTCTCAGCTAGGCAGCACCAATCTTCCCTATCTATGGTGGGAGAACTTTCTGCCTGGGTCTCATGGTCACTAGTAGATTAGAGGACAGATACTTTCTTGCTGGTGGTAGGTAAAACAGTTAAAAATGAGTCCTGGGTAACTGCTCCTTGGGACTTCCAGGGGTTTGAGTTGAGGGTTGCCCTCATCTCACTGAGTAACAGGACACTTAGCAGTATTGGCTTGTGCTGCCAGCATATAATAATAACAGTAACCTGGGCTTTGGGCCATTGCTGAATTGCCAGATTTCTGGGTTACTTTTCATGCTAAGCAGCTAGGGACTGAGAAACTTACAGGCAATAGGCTGCTTCCTTAGAAAGAAAGGACCCTTTGGCCGGGCAGCGTGGCTCACACCTGTAATCCCAGCACTTTGGGAGGCTGAGGTGGGTGGATCACCTGAGGTCAGGAGTTTGAGACCATCCTGGCCAAGATGGTGAAACCCCATCTGCTAAAAATACAAAAATTAGCCGGGCGCGGTGGCAGGTGCCTGTAATCCCAGCTACTCTCACACCACTGCACTCTAGCCTGGGCGACAGAGCAAGACACTGTCTCAAAAAAAGAAAGAAAGAAAGGACTCCTTGATGGTCTTTGGCTTGTATCTCATGACTCGAGCCTGTTACTCCAGTGGTTGATTCTTGGAGTTAGGGGCATAGCCACTGGTCTGCCTAGCTTTTTGTGGTCCTATTGATAACCCAGACAGCTGGGTGAGGGAGCAGATAATGTTCAATTCCTTTTCACTTAAGGTAAGGTGAGTCGTGGTGGGAGTTGAGATTGTAAATGATAGGGTCTTGGTCCAAGAGCCCAGAGTTTTGTAACCTTTTCCTATCAGTGTGAAAACCAGATGCCATCTGATGACTAGATGAAGGTTTCATTCACCTTTTGCAGGCTGTTTTGATCAGGACTAAAGAATGTAGGTTCATTAACTACCAGACACAGAAGGGCCACTAAGGGGTCAAGTTTGCCCACTTATTCAAAGCGATATTGAAGTCTAAAGAGGGGAAGAACTTGAAGGAAACTATGAAGATAAGCACTGGAGTTCACATCTGGGTACTAACACTTTGGTGTAGTCATTGGTACCTCTGTACCCAGGTTCTCTCGTTTAAAATAAGGGCAGGAATCCTTACTAACAATTGTAGACCTTGCAACTGCCTTTGCCAGAAAATATAATTGTGATGCTAAGTGTGAATGCTTAGCAAGAGTAAAATCTGAGATCCATGGTGTGGCTGGCTGGATAACTTGACTAAGGTATAAAAATAAAATTAAAGCTGGATCTCAAACCTTGACTGTTCCATCTTACGTTTGTTTCTTTTCTTCTCCCTGTCCTATAGGTGATGCCACACTCAATCAGAAACTATGCTACTGCTGAAGAGGTATATTGAGCCCTGCCTGGTTAACCTCCAGTGAGGTTATTAGAGAATTGGGAGAGGCTCAAATCAGCATCCTGCACCTAGTTATCAAACCATTGTGAAGTCTTGGTAAGTGGCCAGTGGCTTTGGTGGGCTTGCCCAGTTAGTGGGATGGGGTAGGGTAAGAGTGCTTAATAGGCACTAAGCAATTACTGGATATTTTCACATTATGATATGAAAAAAAAGTCTTAAAATATTCAGGCTGTACTACAGAATAAAGAGTCTAACCTCTTTTTTCCCTATTCTCCCATTTTTATAGATGGGGGAATTAGAAATTGCCCAAGATTATATGAGACCACAGTAGATGGCACAAATTGCCCAAGATTATAGCTAGTTGGCATAGAAAATGGATTTGAGTCCAAGCCAGTACTGTGTCTTCTACTCAGTGCTTCATCTAGGTTCTATCAAATCCAAGGAAGCCATGTGAGACAAAAATGTTTTTATTTCACAGTAAAAGATTTTTTTTTCTTTTTCTTTTTTTTAAATTAGAGATGGGGGTCTTAAACTATGTTGCCCAGGCTGTTCTTGAACACCTGGGCTCAAGTGATCCACACACCTTGGACTCATTTCACACTAAAAGATTCTGTAATAGCTCCTGAGATTTTACTCCTCTGATGTTGGAAATTTCCATAGTGTGAAGTTTTGTTATGCATAAAATCACCTGGGGTGCTTGTTAAACATGCAGATTCCTGGATGGCCAGAAAACTTGTCATTGGTCAAGAGCAACATTAAGATCTGCCTGTTACTCATACTGATGCTTCCTGCCCAGCAAGTTCATCAGAGGGCGAGGATGAATTACGGTTGCCATGAATGTCCTTGTGAGGCAGTTGGGAAGCCTTGGTAAGTTGTCAGTGGCTTTGGTGGGGTTCCCCAGTTGGTGGTAGAAAAGAGAAGGGAAACTGGTCGTGATCTGGCCCTTTCTAGCTTTCTAGCTTATTAAGTACTTACTAAGTGCCAGAGACTGTTGCAGATATTAACAAAGTCTTACCATGGAACTTTCATTCTTGTGAAGTTAGACAAAGGGATAAGTAACCAGTAAATGTATAA